>NC_000020.11:42678355-42981385 GCF_000001405.40 Homo sapiens | reverse complement strand
GGGAAGTAGATATTGCAAACAATCTCCCACCTTCTCTGTGCAGGTGATTACATGCATGTTCTGATTTATTCCCTGAAATATACCATTCACTCCTTAAAAGAAGGACTTTTTCTGTTGTTTGCTTTTCATGGATAGGGACCCTGAAGTTCAAGGAAGTTGAAGGAGGTACATTTACACAGTTGGAACTGCCTAAGTAAAAATTGCACCTGACAAATTTAATCAGGCAAGGAAGATATTATTCAAGACCATTGTAATCAGGTCGAGACAGGACTTAACTCTCCTGAAACAAAGGGACGAGGAATTCTTAAGAGCTGGAATTCTCAGGCCATCTGTGTTTGCTACTTAAGTTTACTAAAGGAAAAGTAAACTTTCTCATATCTTCATGATAGGAGAGGTTAAAAAGTTGGAGAAAGGCACACTGAAGTTGGGCTCCCACTCTTCCGCAGACTGGGAGATAGGGACGCTCTCTCCTTCAATGCTCACATTTCAAATGGTTGCTTCCCAGGTCCTTGAGAAAGACATTACTTGGGTTGTAAAACTAGTAAATGACCAGCAGAATTTTTTTAAAGGAGCAGAGAAAGAATTTGTAGTTACAAGTTTTCTAAAGTAGACGCTCTAACAAAAGGGAGGTGAGGAGCTTATCAGGAAGAAACCTGTCTAAAACTTTAGTCAAACCAAGGGGAAGGAATGTCAAGGCTTTCTTGGTCAGAGCTGAGATTTGACCCCCAGGACCATCTGATTTCAACACTCACGTGCTCCTTCCTTCAAGACCACACACAATACAGGCTGCAGTAGGGTGGGGGGAAGTCTGTCACCATTTAGAGACAGCTTAGGCAGTTTCTGAAGAATTTGTCTTCGAATTTGAATAAGAGAATGTATTTAACACATTGATGAATTCTATAAAATTGCAGCTGCAGCATGTAGAAAAATTAGACCTTTAGTGGTTAAAATCTAGATTCACAATGTCAGAGCAAGAAGGGGTCACGAATACAAGTTCATCTATTTCCCCGTTGCACAGGTGGGAACTGAAGTCTTGCCCAAGGTTACAGAATGAGACCGTGTTGGATCTATGTTTGTACCCCAGGCTCCCAATTCCCAATGCTGAGTTCTTTCTACCCTATTTTCCAAGGTTTTGCACCAGCGGCTTCATCCGGTTTTCTCTTTTTTCTTTTTCTCCTTTCTTTTCTTTTTAAAGGCTCACTGGCAGCTACTGCTCCAAGGCAGAAAATGTATTCATTTAAATGACTTCGTTTGGAAATAGAAGCTTGAATAATGATGTTACCATTTATAATTGCTCTGATTAACCACACCACGTTTTGCAGTTTAGAATAAAAAAAGCCTCATTCCTTTTGTGATGTGAATTTTAATTGCTTTCTCTCAGGAAGACCCCCCCCCACCCCCCCTTCCCGGCCGGCATACTTGCATGCTCTCCGGCTTCTGGAATCTCAAAAAGACCCCCTCCAGGCATGCCTGTGTGCTCCCTGGGTTCTCTGGCTGAGATTTGGGGCTGGACACAGGATAGACGTTCTGGGAATACCTGGGTGATTTGAGATTTTGGGACAAAACCTACCTGACTCTACAGTTATTCACCTTTAGACCAAAGTTTTATACTCCCTGGGGAGAATCACAGCTTTAGGGTTCCCATAAGGCCCAGACTGGAGACCTAGGATAAGGGGATTTAGAATTTTTCTAAGGGTTTTTGGTGCACACTGGAGTTGTCATCCCTGAGATTACAAAGGGGGCAGGATCATCCATAATTTATCTGCCAGTGAATGTGTCCTCTCAGATAGATTTACTTCTCCTTTTTTTTTCAAACCTTAAGGATATTTCAGTTGTTTGACATTTCACCCGTCTGAAATAAGAATCAGCACAGCGTGCAGTAGAAAGAACAAAGTCTACAAAAATATAGGTGAATGTGTATTTGATTTTACGGGGAGCAAGGGCTTTCCAAGTGTAAAAACCAAGAAACAAATGATGAGAAAGGATAATGGAGTTAGTTGTGTAAAATTCATAAACATTTGTAAGTAAAAATACAATTACAAAAAAGGTAAAGAACAACTTGAGGGAAATATTTACAGCAAATATGATTCACAATGGCTAACTATCCTTGATATATAAAGAACACTAATAAGCAACAAAAAGGTGTCTTGACAGAAAAATGAGTTGTTTTTCTTACAACTCATGTAAGAAAAATTGCCATAGTCAATAAAAATCTGAAAAAAAATTAGCTTTCCTTTTAGTTGCTGAAATATAAATTTAAAAAGAATAAAGGTACCATTTTTTCTCGATTTACGTTGACAACAATTTAAACAATAGTGTTATTTCAGGAAAGGGGTCCTGGTCCAGACTCCAAGAGAGGGTTCTTTGATCTCGTGCAAGAAAGAATTCAGGGTGAGTTCCTAGAGTAAAGAGAAAGCAAGTCTGTTAGGAAACTGAGGTAACAAAAGAACGGCTACTCCATAGACAGAGCAGCCGAAGGGCTGCTGGTTGCTCGTTTTTATGGTTATTTCTTGATGATATGCTGAACAAGGGATAGATTATTAATGCCTTCCCCTTTTAGACCATATAGGGTAACTTCCTGACGTTGCCATGGCATTCGTAAACTGTCATGGCGCTGGCGGGAGTGTAGCAGTGAGGATGACCAGAGGTCACTCTCGTGGCCATCTTTGTTTTGGTGGGATTTAGCGGGCTTCTTTACTGCAACCTGTTTTATCAGGATGGTCTTTATGACCTGTATCTTGTGCCGACCTCCTATCTCATCCTGTAACTTAGACTGCCTTAACCGTCTGGGAATGCAGGCCAGTAGGTCTCAGCCTCATTTTACCCAGCCACTGCTCAAGATGGAGTTGCTCTGGATCAAATGCCTCTGACAGTATTGGTGGTGATAAAGTGATATGTTCATCTAGAGGATATAAATTCTTGCAATCTTTCTGGAGAGCAGTTTAGTATATAGTTTTAGAACCTTAAAATGTGCATACTCTTTGACCCTGTATTCTCTCACTTTTCTCAGTTTTGCTTTCTGTGGTTTCAGTTACCCGAATTCACCTGTGGTCTGAAAATAGGTGGGTACAGAACAATAAGATACTTTGAGAAAGAGAGATAAAGAGAAAGATCACATTCACATACTTTGATTACAGAATATCATTATAATTATTCTACTTTATTATTAGTTATTAATCTCTTACTGTGTCTAATTTATAAGTTAAACTTTAACATAGATATTAATATGTATGTTCAGGACAAAACGTAGTATGTATAAGGTTGGGTACTATCCAATGCACCAGGCATCCACTGGAGATCTTGTTTAGGACAAAACGTAGTATGTATAAGGTTGGGTACTATCCAATGCACCAGGCATCCACTGGAGATCTTGTTTAGGACAAAATGTAGTATGTATAAGGTTGGGTACTATCCAATGCACCAGGCATCCACTGGAGATCTTGGAACATAGTTCCTGTGGATAAGGGAGGACTATTATAATTCCATTCCCACGAATTTATTAGTTTAGGGAAACAATTAGAGATGCACATAAAAGGTAATATAAAAGGATTTTATCACAAGATTGAGATAGAAAACTGAGGAAAACAATTTTAAATGTTCAGCAATAGAGAGTAGCTAAAATAATTATGTGGCTTTCATTTGATATAATTATCTGCAGATGTAAAAAATGATAATTACAAGTAATACTAAATGCCCTGTCAAAAGTCACACTCTATTTAGTTTAAAAATTAGCAAACTAGCCTTTATATACAATCTAGTACTGATTTTATTTAAATTATATGTAAACATAAATAAATGGAAGAAAATGAAACAAAGTATTAACAGTTCTTGTCTCTGGGTGGTAGATTATGAACAATTCTTGATTTTTTTCTTTAGAGAATCTTCCAAACTACTTTACATATTTATTATAATAAACAAGTATTTCTTTTAAAATTGGAAAGTGTAATAAGTGATATGAAAATAAAATATTAAAACCAAAACATAAGGGTAAAGAATCAAAAAGTTTTGGGTGGAAGAGTCTGAGTTTAAATTTGAGCTTTGCATTTACTAGCTGGGTGCCCTTGTTGACGTTTTTGAATCTTGACTCTTTTTGTCTATAAAATGGGAGCAAATGTAGGTCTTCACAAGATTATTCTAAGGGCTAATTTAGAACATAGGAAAGAATGTGGTACCAAATAGACCATCAGTAAATATAATGCTAGATCCTCCATTCTCTCCTTTCATCTGTCTGGCATTTTGGATTTGGAACCCAGGGTCTTCATTGGTTTTTGAATTCTCCTATGAGTCTGTGCTTGTTTTAACCACAGAACCACTTGCTACATTTTCCCATAAGAGGGCTAAGTCAGGCTGGCTGGCTGGCTTCGGCAGTGCTGTGGTTAAAAATTTGAATGGGATATTCAGATTATGTCATACATGACCTCTTCAAAAGCTGACATAGGAAGTCTTCCATTTCTTCCCTCTTTGTTTTGTCAGTTTGACAGTTTTCTAAAATTGCAGTTCCCAGAGGTGGCAAAGATGTAACTAAATGGTTATTTGTATACCATGTTTATGGACATATAAACTCACATAAACTTTTATTAGGAAAATTTGAAAAGAAATATCAAGAGCCTTTAAGCATCTTCCTGTATTTTGATGTAGTAATCCCATGTTTAGGATATAGTATTCCATAATAATAAACAGCCTGAGTGTGGTGGCTCACGCCTGTAATCCCAGCACTTGGGGAGGCCAAGGCAGGCAGATCACTTGAGGTCAGGAGTTTGAGACTAGCCTGGCCAACATGGGGAAATCCTGTCTCTGCTAAAAATGAAAAAAATCAGCCAGGTGTGGTGGTGGGTGCCTATAATCCCAGCTACTTGGGAGGCTGAGGTGGAAGAATTGCTTGAACCCAGGAGGCGGAGGTTGCACTAAGCCGAGATTGCACCACTGCACTTGAGCCTGGGCGACAGAGCGAGACTCTGTCTCAATAAAAAAAAAAAAATAAATAAAAAATGCATACTATACTTTAAATACAATTAATTTCAACTCTGTGTTCTTTCTAGGATTTTAAGGGATAAGGTGGGAATTTGGTTGCCTGTATTCATTAAACTTATACAGTTAGGTATCCTTTGGCAGGAGGCCCAGTGCAGGTCTTTCCTGATGATGATGATATGCAGGGCTCCCTGTATCTGATACAGTTTTCTCAATTATTGTAGTCCAGATGAAAGCTGCCATATGGTATAATGCAAAGATCCTGATCATTAGCATCACAGACATGGATTTGCTTCCAGATGTTGACAGGAGACTGATTTGTGACCTTGAGCAAGGTTCCTCCTCTCTGTATACATTCATTTTCTTATCTGTCAAATGGGCATGATAACGCTGGCCTTGCAGGGATTTCATGTGTAAAGGAGGAGAGAATGCATGTGAGAAGATCGAGTGCTTCATGACCCTATCTAAGATGTTCTCTCTTTTTTTTTTTTGGTGGGGGGGTAAGTTGGACTGATAGTTTTTTTTAATTTTTAATTTAATTTTTATTTCTTCCCCAAAACGGGGCATACATGTGCAGAACATGCAGGTTTGTTACATAGGCATACGTGTGCCATGGTGGTTTTAATGTTTTAGCCTTCTTTGCTGATTGCCTTGGGATTTCTACGTAACGGCTAGACTGCCAGATTTCCCACCCATCTATAGCCTCCAGAAAAGTAGTGTTGGCTGGAACCTTAGCTGCCCCCGCTTGGAAATTGGTAGTGGGTATAGGCGTAGTGAGAATTCTGTCTTGTTTCCTCAAGCATCGTCACAATACTATGAAGGCAGTTTAAGACAGAAGCTTTTGCAGAAAATATTTTCACAAAATAAAAGAAGTTTACAAAGTTTAGATGATTTTTTAAAATAAAAATTTGCCAAATGAAAGGTTTTTATATAAAAAAGTACCTATCCATAAAGTCTGGAAAATATAGGAAAATGGATTACAAAAATAAGAATCCATACATTTTTTTGACTACCCAAAGATAATCATCGGTGGTATTTTTTTGTGTTTCCTTTTAGGGTTGTTGGTGCATTTTCATATAATTGAAATCATGCTGTAAATATTATCATGTGTCTTGCCTTTTTTTCCATGTAACCATAGCATATGCACTTCTCTCATGTTATTAAAAACTCTTTGTAAAAATAGCTTTGAGTGGCTGCATGATATTCCATTGAGTGGATATTAGATAGTTTTTCATTTCAATTATTTTCAAAGCAATGGAAAACAACATTTTTTTCACATCTGATTTTTTTTAATCTCTTGTCCTTTGTGTCTATATCAGATATTCCACAGATTATTTCCTTGTTCAGAATGTCTATATGTCAGGCTCACGGAGGCAGAGTTATACTTTTATTCAATGTCTGTGATGACTCATGGTTAAATCTATAATGCATTCTAGTTATTTTTTAAAACGTTATGTTGTCTTTAGCTTCCTTGGAAATAGAGATGATGCAGCAGCACTGATGAGAAATCATACTCAAAAAGTGAAGTGACTGGTACATTTCTGATTTGGAACGAATGCTGATGACAAATTAAAAATGACCATTGGGGGTAGTGCTGGAAATAGCTTATAGCTTTTGTTTTAATTTTTGTTAAGGATTGGGATAAGTGGAAGAAATAAGAAGTATGTTTCCTTTTGTGGGTAATGCGAATACAGTCAAAATTGAACAGATTTTTCCTCTTCTCTGTCTCTAGCCGTAGTGGAACTTGTACTAATTTTCTGGAGTTGTTCACCCAGCACTTGCGATTGCTTTTAGCAGATATGATCTCATTTCAGGAGCCTGTGAAGAGGAAAAGGAAATGTGTTCTCACGACTGTGAGTCAGTGTAGAGTGAAAGAAGCTGCAGAGAAGCTCTGTGTGTGTCTGTGGGTGTGGAATTGTATGATTATGTGTGTGTGTGTGTGTGCGCGCGTGCACTGAGGTATGATGCGTTTACAGAGAGAATGAAGTTGGAGAGGAGAGTGGGAAAAATAATGACAAAGTTGAGTGAAACTCCTGCTTAACTTGCTGAAGCAAGTAAATGCAAAGATGTACTCTGGGGCTTAAAAATTTGGGGGTGATGTGGCTTAGCTGTAGTTGGCAAGAAAATATCTAGAGGTTTTGGTTGTTGGGGAGTTCAGATGGGGAATGGTGATCAGAGAAGCTATGCAATTTTCTCAAGACCTTAAAACTGAATTCAAATTATTATCTGTTTAATTGCAAAGTCCCTTCTCATTGCATTGAGCCACGTACACCTGTTCAGCTGGGGTAGCATCTGCTGCTGGTTGGCGGGATATGGGTGGGTGATGGTGGTGTGCTTAACTAAGGGCAAGTGGCTCTTAAGGACACTCTGAACTTTCAAAAATGGCAGCCTGGGATTACCCTGCTTTCATTCTACACACTCTCAGCTGTCTCCCCAAATACTCTGGGAGAGAAATGGGACTGTAGTGCTAGGAATCACCGTCCTGATTAGCATCTCTCTTCTGCATCTGTCAGATGAGGTGGCTCATTACCTGGAAACTATACTCAGTTTTCTGAATAAATGGAGTACTGGTAAAATAACCCCAAACAAAATGTATCCCAATTAATTATTTCCCAGTTATATCCCAACAATTATTTGAGCAGGTGTGTGAGCATACTTTGTCTTCTTCTATTTTATGTTGTCTGAAATTCAAACCAGAAACATACTCTTTGAGGCTTTAGCCGTGTTTTGTTTGGCAAGATAATTATTCCTGTTTGTTTAATAATTCATATTTAAGTACCTGCTATGTGCCAGATACTGTTCCAGGTAGGTGGGACCACTGTGGGAAAAGGGGCTGAGGTCGCTGCACAGAGAGTTTACAGTTTGGAGAAGAGAGAGGCAATGCATTCGTGATTAAATAATTGCAGATAATCTACAGGGAGGAGAACAATGGAGCAATATGATGCACACACACACACACAAACACACACAGAGAGAGAGAGAGGATGGGATAAAGAAGTGGGGTGGAGATTGCAACAGTTCCTCTGGGGAGGTGACATTTGAGCTGACATTTTAGGTCCAAAAGTTAAGAGGGAAGCTGCCACATGAAGACTTGGGGAGGAGCTGGTTATTTTCAAGGTTTTTTTTCCTCCCCAAAACGTACTACTTCCTCAGTCTTTCCCAGATCAAAATGGCACCACCATCCATTTGGTTCTGAAACCACAAATCTAGGTGGTATCCACGATTCCTCATTCTTCCTTTCTCCCTCTCACACTCTTGGCTCCACCCTGAAAGGTATTCTTCTCTCCATCTCTGCTTGCAGCTACCATCTCTCCCCTGGACCACTGTGGTAGCCTCCTGATTAATCTTCCTGCTTGTACTCTCATCTTTCCCCACACCCTTCATGTATTCTTCATGCAGCTGTTCAGGTGTGCTGATCAATAGAGTAGCCACCAGCCACATGTGAATATTTAAATGAAAATTAATTAAAATAGAATAAAATTAAATATCCAGTTTCTGGGTCACACCAGTCAAATTTTAGGTACTCAGTAGCCACACATGGCTAGTGGCTACTGCACCTGACAATGTGGATATAGGACTTCATTGCAGAAAGTTATTTTTGACAACCCTGAGTTAGAGTGATCTTTCCAAAATAGACGCCAGCTCATGGACCTCCCTGCTTAAAACCTCAAATATTTTCATAGCTCACTTTAGAATAAAGCTCAAATTCTTCTTCTTCCTTTTTTTTTTTTTTTTTTTTTTGCTTTTTGAGACGGAGTCTCATTCTGTTGCCCAGGCTGGAGTGCAGGGACACGATCCGTGATCTCAACTCACTGCAACCTCCGCCTGCTGGGTTCAAGTGATTCTCATGCCTCAGCCTCCTGAGTAGCTGGGATCTACAGGTGTGCACCATCACAAGCAGCTAATTTTTGTATTTTTGGTAGAGACGGGGTTTCATCATGTTGGCCAGGCAGGTCTCGAACTCCTTACCTCAAGTTATCTGCTCACCTCGGCCTCCCTAAGTGTTGGCATTACAGGCATGAGCCACCACACCCAGCTTCAAATTCTTTATTCTGACTTGTAGAGCCCCACATCACCTGGCTCCTTCCCACCTGTCTGGCCTTATCTTTGACTTTCTCTTCTCTAGCCATTACTTTCCAACTTCTTGTTTCTAAAACAAATTGATTGTGCACTACTTGGGGCCTTTGTGAAAGTTCACACCTTGGGTTTCCTCTGCATGGAATGCCGTGCCTCCCCTCCCCAAACAAACAAATGGGGTTGGGGAGGGGAGGCATGGCATTCCATGATGATTCCTTGTTGCCATTTAGATTTCACGACAAGTATCACCACCTCTAGGAGGCCTTCTTTGACTACCTACCATTCAGTCACTGTCATATAACCACGTCAGGTTGTCTGTGCACTCTGGCTACTTTCTGATATTTTGCTTATTCGCTTATTGTTAAATTGTCATCCATTGTGTGCCTCAGCCTACTAGTATGTGAGCTTCCAAAAGGCAAAGGCCTTGTCTGTCTGTTCAAGGCTATAATTCCAGTGCCCAGAACAGTGCTTACCTCATAGTAGGTGCTCAATTAACATTTGTTCTAGAAATGAATGAATCATTGTAGGTAAGCAGGACTGCTCTAGCCCATATGGTTCTTTTGTGTGAATCAGAAAAAGTTACCTCGGGTCTAAGTCACCTTGTGTGTTGGCGATCCTGTGCAACGGAGCCTGGTATCCGTGGGTAGGGGAGTTGGGGAATATTTAGGGAATCTTTCTAGGAAGGAGGAATACCAAGAGCAAAGTAGTTGAAGCGAGAATATACTTGATGTGTTTGAAGCAAACAACAACAAAGACTGGTATGTTTGGAGCAGTTTGTGAAGGGGAACACAGAATGAAAAAAAAATGGAAGAAATGGGTGGGGGACAGACCACATGAGGCCTGGAAGGTGATGGTAAAGGAATTGCGTTTTATTCCAAGTAAAGTAGGAAGCTGTTGGAGGATTTTAAACAGGGGAGAGACATCTGATTTCTGATTTATTTATTCTTACAGTTTTATTTCTTTGCCTTTTTGGGTAAGTCTGTTTTAACATTTTTCTCAGGTATATGATTTGGGGAAACTTTTAGTTTGAAGACTAGTTTTCCCAAGGGGTGGGGAACTTGCTTCTCTGAAGACTGAAAAATTCTTCAAACAGCACTTTCAGATACAGCAATTAGTTTCTACATGCACTTTGACTCTTCTTTGAAATGCTTTCTGACATGCATTGCTGATAATTTTGAAGGTTAAAATCTTTGGCTCTCTCCTAAAGGTGACAGAAGTGCAGACTAAAACTAATTAGGAGAAATTTGTAGTAGTTGATTGTGGCCATTTGTTAGGGTTTTGAAATGCAAATAAAAATTGTGCACAGCACTTCTCTTGCAATGGGAACACCTATTCAGCCTGGTGTTTGGTGTTAGAATTCATCTGCCCATGAACATGAAAGTGTGACCTCCACGTGGAAACACATTATGAACACAGCTTGAATCTGTGACTTGCTGTCGTCTCAGTTTCTTCTCTGGAGACCAGAGGAAAAATACATCCAGTTCCTCCAAAGTATTTTACCATATTACCACGTATCTAAGATGCAATAAAGAAAAAGAAGCACCATTAGTTAAGCTGCAGCTTTCTGAGAATAACAATATAAACATTATAAGTACACATCAATGGTAAGAAGAGCCCCAATTTCAGAGAAGTTAAAATGTGAAGCAAAGCATCTATTTATCCATCCTAATCATCTGTCTGTCTGGGAGCAGAGGCTAAGATTGGACTTGCTATATTCCAAATGCTTTAAATACAATCTCATTTAATCCTCATGACGACTGGTGAGGGGGGTGCTAGCATTACCCCCATGTTCTATATAAGGGAACTGAGGCACAGAGAGGTTATGCAACTTGTCAAGGTCGCATAACTATTAAGTGGCTGACCCAGGATTTCAGCACAACCTGTCTAGCTCCAGGGTCTGTATAACCACTGTAGTGTGAGAAAATGTGATAATTTGATACTGGCTGACCATCAGCCAATTAATAGTCGTCTTTGTTTGCTTCTCATTGTAAAAGCGCAAGTCTGGATCCGAATCCTTGACTGGTAGTTACCTAAGACTGATGTTATTGTTGTGTTTGACTCTTGATTTGAAACACAGGTCTATATCCTGAGATTTATATTAATAAAGCATTGTAATTATGATCCGGATACCCTGGGGATTGCCTTGTACCTCGACTAAGAAGGCACATGCTTACTTCTTGCTCAAGAACAAACAGGGACTGAACTGCTGCGCTGGGAGGATGGGGCTGAGACCAGCTAGCAGGGGCATTTGTCAAAGGTAGCAAAGCCCACTGATTAACCGGGCCAGCTCTGGAGCAAGGCTGCCTAGATGTAAACCTTCATCTGCTGCTTTTGAGCTCTGTAACCTCAGGAAAGTTTCCTACCTTTTCTGAGCCTGTTTCCTCATCCATATAATGGGTTTAACAGGTTCTCAATTTCTTGTCTGCAGTCCTTGGGGCCAAATGTGCTCGGATTTAGATTTATTTAACTTTTAAAGGAAAGCAATATAGTAAATGTACCATATTTATTAATAACATCCCTCAGCAGAGGCTGTGGTAGCACCCTTAAATCAAGCATGTTGATATTTTTGTAGCAAAAAGTATGAATATTAATAGTAAGAAGGAGATAGAAAAAACTATTAGTCAATGTATATCACTTTAACTCAAATCTTAGCACCAAATAAGTCTGTACCAAACTTACGAAAAAATGTTTTGGTTTTCAAAGCTTTTGAGGATTCAGAATTCTTAAATCAGGGTTTGTGGATCTGCACCTGCCCCATAGGTTGATTTTATGGCTTACGTGGAGTAACGTCTTTACCTAGCACATTCCATAGTTCATAGTAAAGTGCTCAGTAATGTTATCTGTTATTATTTGTACATGTACGTTCAAATCATCATTGTTGAGCAGAGGCAAGTATAGCTGGCCGAGAGACCGGTGGTACTGGCTGGACTTTGGCTACCTTGTGGGCATAACTGCTGGATTCTGAGGCTCTGATCTGAAGCCCAGAGTACCTGGCTGCTCTTAGAACCCAGGTCCCCCTCTTCTGACTTGCACCAGCATTTTCACTGGGTTTTGGTTGTTCTGGTAAAGAAAGAAGGAAATAAATGAGAAGAATGCCTTTCCATCCTACCCCTAGGTGGATTCATCCTTTCTGCTGAATCTTTTCTTTTTTATGGCTATAAAATGAGGTGAAAATTGAGAACAATCACCAAAAGAGCATTTTCCTTTAGGCAAGTGTACGTGTGACACCCCATTAACGACAAGTGACATCTTCTTCTATCTAGCGGAAATCAACACAATATTCATGTTAACCAGTCATCGCTGGTGCCCGAAGCGGATGATGACTTGTCAGTTTCCATCCTATCAGTCATTTTCAGGCAAACTGTGTGTGTGGATTCCACATGGACACAGTCGAATGTTCACAACACCACTCATTTCTCTCTAAGTGCCTGATGGGTCCTCTACAACTAGAGCAGAGACGCAGGAGGGTCCCACTGGGGCAGATCAGAGGGCTGGAGATCAGAAGGCTTGTGATGACAGAAGGTGGATGGAAGAGGCAGGCAGACCTAGGCCCTGGTGCCCTGGCCTGCCATTCGCTGGCTGTGAGACTTCAGCTGATGTCCACAAGCCTCAGCTTCCTTGTGCATTGAGCTAATAGTAACTCATTACCTCACCAGGTCATTGTGAGGAGTAAATGAATGATGCATATGAAAGTGATTGATCAGCCCGGAAACTCCAGGAAATGCCAGTCTTGTTATGATGCATTTGCCTTCAGTGGACTTTTGATTTGCCCCATGGAGCCCATTTTCATAACTCGCAGCCGTTCCTCTTATGTCCTGGCACCCTTCTGCATTTAAGTCTCTCAGTGAGGTGTCCACTTATTAGTTCATTTGGAACTTTGCCAGTTTGTGTGTTCAACCGTACATCTGTGTCTTCACCTACCCACCTATCCATCTCTCTCTCCACTGGATCCCTGTTGTTTGCCTGGCTAAGATCTGGGATACAAAGATGAATCAGATAAGGATGAATCTTGCCCTAAAGGAGATCATAGGCTAATGGAGAAATGGACAGGTCAACAGATGAGTGGAGTCAGGTGGCCGTTGTTGCTGTAACTCAGGAGTGGGCTATCGACAATGGGATGCCAGAGGAGACAACTCCGCTCTGTTAAGTGTGGCAGTAGAGGTGGAGGGAAGAGCTAAAGGAAGTCCTCAAAAAGGATATGACAGTTGAACATAGACTTGAAAGGGGGAAGGGCTTACCCAGCAAAAGGAATAGCCTGTGACAGCCTTCCATAATCGGGGCTGAATGTGGAGGTCACTTCTGGCCAGGGGAGAGGGGATTTGGGGGAATTTGTCTTGGCAGATATAAGGGATGGGAGGCTAGCTGGGGCCAGGTGGTAGGAATTCACAAGCACAGACCGCGCATTCTCGATTTTATCCTGATGTCCCTCATTGGGTTGCCAGCATTGAGTGAAGTGTAGGGCAAGAACGTATCAGCCTTTGGTTTGAGTTTTGGAATTTCTTCCTGACATCTGGTAGCGGGGGTGGGCTTGGAGAGGGCGAGGCTGAAGGCAGCGAGGGCAATGAGGAGGCTGCTGCGATGGTTTGAATAACAGCCTAGGAGGGAAGGAGGCAGCATGTGGGGGTGGGGGAATACAAATGCCACAAAGGTATTAGGGGGCTGGTGAATGGGGTTGGTCACTGTTTTCGGTTCGTAGGGCTGTAGTAACAAATTACCATCCATTTGGTGGCTTAAAACAACACAAATTTGTTCTCTCACAGTTCTGGGGTCCACAGTCTGAAATCAAGGTGTCAGCAGGGCTGCACTTCCTTGGAGGCTCTAGGGGACAATCAGTTCCTTGTCTCTTCCAACTTCTGGTGGCTGTCAGCGTTCTTTGTGGCCGCATCATTGCCCTCTCTGCCTTGATCTCCACCTGGTCTGGCCTTCTTTTCCACGTGTCTGTGTCTTTTCCTCTTCTGTTTTTTATAAGGACACTCGTTACTGGATTTAGGGCCCACCTTGGTAAACCAGGATGATCTCATCTCAATACCTTAAATAATTAAATTAAATACCTTAAATTAATTACATCTGCTAAGACCCGTTTTCCAAATAAGGTCAGATTCACACGTTCAAGAGATTAGGAGATGGACTTATCTTCTGGGGGCCACCACTCAACCCACTGCAGCTACCAAAGGGATGGAGCAGTTCCTGTTCTCAGGGTGTCTTTAAGTAGCTACAAGAGGAAGGGCTGGGCTCTTGCACAAATGTCACAGCAAACTTGAATAAACTCATCGTCTGCTAAAGAGTCATATCACCTCCCGAGGTGCCTTTCCAAAGTCTGATGAGTAGATAATACCAGACCAAATGCCTCTCTTAAAGAAGTTGTTGTAAAAGCACAACAAATGGAAGTTAAAGTGGAGGAATTCTTTAGAAATAAAGTAGAAATGCAAGTGACTGTTATTTGCGGAGAATCTAATTTTCTCTGACAGTTCCGCAGGTACACTGAAACAATCTCTTAAGGAAAATGTATTTTCTGAAGAAATTTCTCCTTGATTTTTACGAACTTTTCTCTGCCTGATGATCACGTACAATGGAATGAACTACAGCCTTGCTCTATTTTTGTTTTTCCTCCTTGTTTGTGCCCAGCTGCCGTTAATAATGTTGGCAGAACTCTGTTGCGGGGGAAGCAGCACCATTTTGATGTGGTTCACATGTGATTGCTCTTGACACCCAGGTGAAGATGTTCTAAAACCCACCGTCTTGTTCACTGGGTGTATGTTCTCAGAGTTTCTACTATAAGTTGGGCGGTACCTTCTGTTGCAGATGCAGCGACCAAACAGACACAGGCCTGCTTCTGACTTTTGGTCTCTGGGGGAAATGGATGGGCAAGCGGCTGTGACAGCTCGTGTGACATAGTGTATTGAGATCTATAATAAGAGAGCAGGAGGGACTGAGGGAACACAGAGGAAAGAGGGATTTCTACAAAAATAGACATAGAAATAACCGATAAGTTTATGAAATATTACCAGCCTCGTTAAACATCAGGCATGCTAATTAAGGTAAGCTACTAGGCAAGATAAAATAAAAATGGTATAATACCCAGTGTTGGCAAGCATGTTAGAAAATAGTTTCATATACTGGTGTGGGATTTTAAATTGTGCAAGCTTTCTGGACGCCAATTTGACGAAAGGTTCAAACGACCCGAAAAGGCAAATCAATTCAGATGTCACTTCCTTTCTCTGGTATTCCCAAGCTTCTCATTTCCCCCAACTCCTCTTGGCTATTCCATCATGGTTCTTACCGTGTGGAACTAGAATGACCTATCTGGGTAGTTTTCTACCCCACTGGACTGAGACCATAGCTTCTGTCTTCTCCGGTGTTTAGTGACACACTTTTCTGCACCTTCTAGCTTTGTAATGTCTTTAAGATTAAATGCTCATTGAATATTACTGTTGTTGTAGAATTTTCCTAGCTATTCCTTGAATGTTTGTTTTTATGCATCAAATTTAGGATTGCTTTTTCAGGATCCCTTCTCCACTGTCCCCAAAGAAAATTAAATGGGGGTATCGTTTGGGATTTCTTAAATGTATAGATGAATTGAAAGAAAATCAACATCAGTGCCATGTTAAGTTTTTCCATCTGTGAGCTTTGTGTGCCTCTATTTGTTGAAGTTTTATGGCTCTCAGTTAAGTTCAGTAATATTTTTGCAAGTACTGAATCTTTCTGGTTAAGATTATTGGGGACTTTTTTAAACGGTGATATGCTGGAATCAGCCTGGTACCTGCTCATAAGAGCTATTAAATTTTCAGAATTTCCATGAGGTGTTTGTTAAACACAGGCATTCTTAAACTTAAGTTATAGAAACCTACAACTATATACACTATATGTAAAAACAAAGGTTATCTTCAAAACTCATGACTCCCTAATTATTTTACTACGGTTTATTATCTACACTCTTGAGGTTATTCATGTCTATTGTATATCTGTAAGTTGGAAACACTGTATAATAGTATCTTATTGTATATCTGCCTTCAGTGGTAACATGTTGGTCTTTTGAAGTAGGTCATCGTGGCATTATTTAAGCCACAGAGAGCAGCAAATACTATAAATCCGGGCTTTCTTTCCCAGAGGACCTGTTGTGAACATTTGCAATCACACCTCTGTTTATATATGAGTATTTATAGCATTTTGGGTTTGTGTGTGTTTATGGAATAGGATGTCTTCTTCCCTGGCGTTATCTTTCCAAATTTGTTGGTGGGGTTATATGAAAAAGCAGTGAGTTTACTTATTTACTTTTATGCTGGGTATCTTACTGAACTTGTTTATAAATTACAATAATTTTTCTGTTGATAACCTTGGATTTAGTAGGTAGAGAATCACTTTAAAATAATAATTGAACTATTTTACTAAGAATGTAAATCAAGAATGGATATTCTAATCAAATACAGTTTGGCATCTATTGATATATGATTTTTAACTTAAAATATGTTCCTCTTTGGATTAAACCTATTAATTGATTTATGAATGCTGAAATATCCTTGTTTTGTTCAAACTTTAGCCTCATGGTCAGATAATACAACATAAAAACATTTAAAAATTATCTGGTGATGGTTCTTTGTGGCCTTATTGTTATTTTAATCATCACCGAAAAAATACTCAAAGCACAGGAAAAATAATTAATTCCATGTAGGGAGAGAGGTTTGATATATGTCTTTAAATCAATATTACTAATTATATTAGTCATGACTTCCTTATTTAAATTTTTCCTTTTTGATCTGTCAGGACTTAAAGAGAGTTGTATTAAATTCTCAAACTATTACTGTATTTTGTTGATTTCTGGGTTTCTAACAGTTTCCTTTCTATATCTCAATGCATTGCTACCTGCTACAGAAAAGGTCATGATAGTTGATATATTTCTTTGTGAATTATACCTTTTATCAATGTAGAATAGCTTTTTTGGTATTGTTCAATGACTTGTCTTTGAATTTTACTTTGATATGGATATTGGTACATCTGCATTTTTTTTCTATTGACATTTTCCTATTAAATCCACCCATGCTTTCAATTTAACCTCTTGGCAATCTAATTGCTTAAGATCACATCTTATGGAAAATATTTCGATACACTTGATTTTTGACTCAGTCTGTGAGACAATTTCTTTTGCTAGAGAAGTTGAGGCAATTTATACTAATATGATAACTATATTGTGTCTGAATTTTATCTCACTTAATGCTTTCTATTTCTTATGCTTGTTTTTAAATTTGACTTCCTCCCTAACTCCCTACAGGCAGTAGGTTGCAGGGGCTGGCAACCTACTGCCTGTTTTTGACAGCACACAGGTTAGGAATGGTGGATTTACATTTCTAAAGGGTTACAAAACAAAACAAAGAACAGGCAGCAGCAATAACTGGATGTAGCCCGAAAGCCTGAACTATTTGCTGTTTGGCCCTTAGAGAGCTTGCTGATTCTGTGGTGGGTGATTAGGTTTTCTATTATATTCTGCTTTTGGTTTTACTCTTGGATACGTTTAGCTGCCTTAAGTATGTATCTAAATTTAATTTTTCCTAAAACTTATTTTTAATTGTCTTCAGAATACAAAGTATTTTATTGGCTTTCCCCTGTGCAGGGTAGGGTGGGTAGCATAGTTTGACCTACCCTTATATAAGCCTTACTCATTTTCTCAGTTGTTAATGGTAAGTATGGGATTTTTATTCGTGTTTCTAATTTAATAATTATTATTTAAAGTTATGTCTCTATCTTTTACAAAGAACTATTTATAGCATTTATATTCTTTCTATAACTGTATATACATCAATTTTTAAGAAAATTTCATATTTAATTTGCTTGGGCACTCACGACCAACTTTTAAAAATGTAACTACTCATTTTTTATTTTTTAAAAATGACCCCATTTGGTTAGGTTGTTTTTATTTTTTTATTTTTTATTTTTATTTTTATATATTTATTTATTTCTTTTTTGAGACCAAATCTAGAATCTGGGTCTGTCGCCCAGGCTGGAGTGCAGTGGTGCGATCTCGGCTTACTGCCTCCTGGGTTCAAGCGATTATCCTGCCTCAGTCTCCCGAGTATCTGGAATTACAGGTGCTTGCTACCACATCTGGTTAATTTTTGTACTGTTTTTATTTTTATTTTTATTTTTTTTTGAGACGGAGTCTTGCTCTGTCACCCAGGCTGGAGCGCAGTGGTGCGATCTAAGCTCACTGCAAGCTTCACCTCCCGGGTTCACGCCATTCTCCTGCTCAGCCTCCCGAGTAGCTGGAACTACAGGTGCCTGCCACCATGCCCGGCTAATTTTTTTGTATTTTTTAATAGAGACGGGGTTTCACCATGTTAGCCAGGATGGTCTCGATCTTCTGACCTCGTGATCCACCCGCCTCAGCCTCCCAAAGTGCTGGGATTACAGGTGTGAGCCACCGTGCCCAGCTTGTACTGTTTTTAGTAGAGACTGGGTTTCACCATGTTGGCCAGGCTGGTCTTGAACTCCTGACTTCAAGTGATCCGCCCACCTAGCCTCCCAAAGTGTTGGGAGTACAGGCGTGAGCCACCGCGCCTGGCCTGGTTAGGCATTTCTTTTAGTATTTGGCAGAGGGAGGAGGTAAATGGTGGTGGTAGTGTTTCTGTACATCCTTTCTGAGTCCTTTTACATTTGTAAATACTTTTCTGCTTCTTCCATAAATGAACAGAGTGCTTTAAATCCTGCAGATATTTAATCATTAGCGTTTTCAGCCCAGTATTGTAAAGAAATCTGAGATCAGTCATTTACTTATATAAATGTTTATCCATGTAAATGTCTTGTTTTTTCTTTTTGTATGCTTGGAAAAATGTTATTCAGGATGTTTAGGACATTCAGTGTAGCTTATTTTTAAATCTGTTCTAAAGGTTTTTTTTTTGTAATTTAGGTATTCTTTTCATCCCTATAACATATCTCTTTTGTCTTTCATATTTCTAATTTACTCCTGGTCATTTTATTATTGGGAGCTTTCTGTCTGCACTGGTACCTGTAACAACAGGCTTACCCAGTATGCTAAAGTTTCAGTGCTCTTTGAACTCTCTATGGAAATTCTGCATTTATTATGTTGTTCAACATTAATGCCTCAACTAATGATAGGAAGATATCAACCCTATAAACTAGGCAGAAGGTGTAGGAGCTGAGAGTTAATTTTGCATTCTCTACTCTTCTTTTGGATACATTACCTGTATTAGTTTCCTACTGCTGCTGTAACAAGTTAACACAAATTTAGTGGCTTAAACCGACACAGATCTGTTCTCTTACAGCTCTGGAGGTCAGAAGTCTAAACTCAGCAGGGTGACAGCAGGACTGCATTCCTTCTGGAGGCTGTAGGGGAGAATCTGTTTCCTTGCCTTTTTCAGCTTCTAGAGGCCACCTGCATTCCTGGGCTCATGGCCTTGCGTCATTCCAGTCTCTGCTTCCATCAGTACGCCTCCTTCTCTGACCCTCCCGCCCCGCTCCTTCACTTATAAGGACGTTTGTGATTACATTGGGCCTCACTGGATAATCCAGCCTCCTCTCATCACTCAAGATCCTTAGCTTCATTACATCTGCAGAGTCCCTTTTGCTGTGTGAGGTAGCATATACACAGGTTCTGGGGATTAGAATGTGGACACTTATTTTTAGGGGCCCATCATTCAACTGACCACAGTACCCCTCCCTGGAGAGTGTGGGGGCCCCCTCCCACATGCTCTTCCTTTAGAAGGCAGTTGAGTTGGTTTCTTTTCCTCTCCCCTGCCCTAAAGGAGTGCACACCCCACATCTTTGCTCATTTCTGTGAAGCGTCTGTGATGTGGAATAACATTGTGTTAACCTTTTCCTCTGTTCGAGGACACTCATTCTACTTCCTTCCAGTGAAATGTAGCTATAATCTTTCTTTTTAAGGACTTACTTCCTATTTTCCTTATTGAACCAGCACGCAATTGTGCATAATAACTAAAATATCCAACATCTCTGAGTAAGGGTATCACAATATGGAGGTCTGCTTGGAATGAGGGATAAAAGAAGGTTTTATGTTTTTGGAGCACCAACAGGCACCATAGCAATCTTTATCACCACCTTCTTTTCTTCTTCATTTATGGAAAGTTGTACACAGTGCTGCTTCTGTATTCCACAGTTCTGTGCTCCTTACAGCATTAAAATCTTCTTATCAACAATTGGATTTCAAACAGGCTTTTCTTTATTTTAATTACCTACCTTCATTTTTTTTCTAGCTTTTAAAACCAGATCTCTTTTTATCTGTTTATCTCATTTTTTTAAAAAAAGAATTGTTTTTCATGGAAACCAGGTTTTCTTGAATTTATGAACACAAAACAGATAGTCTGAAATTTAATGGCGTTTCATACAATAAATCATCTTAGAAAAATATACATTTTCTGCATACTTCATTCTTATTTAATTTACAAAATATCTTCCTAGGCCCCATATTGGTTATAGTTTTTCATTCTTAGTGATTTACAAATGGGAACAGCTATACCTGTCTGGGTATATTCTCCCAACATAGGGAAATGAATCATTTAGGGTGCTTCTTACTCTCTGCTCTGGTGCTGTTTATGACATCGTTGTATCACTCTGGCAGCTGCTGCTTGTATTACCTGCTGGTTGTTTAGCAACCCAGTTGCTTAAGGGCTGTGTGTGTATATGTGTGTGTACCTGTGTGCATGTACCTAGTGTGATCCCAATACTGGGGGGAGAGGAAACAGTGACAGATGCAGGCTGGCGACTACACATACCCAGAGAGAAGGTACTTCTATTAATGCGACTACATGAGATATTTTGCTATTACTAAGGTCTAATGTTTGTATCCCTTGAAAATTCATGTTGAAACTTAATCCCCAATGCAACAATATTAAGAGATGGGGCCTTTAGGAGGTTCTTAGGTCATGAGGGCTCCGTCTTCATGAATGGGATTAATGCTTTTATAAAAGGGCTAGAGGGAGCTTGTTAGGTCCTCCAGCTCCCCTTCCACCCTGTGAGGACACAGCAAGAAGGTGCCATCTTGGAAGCAGAGAACAGGCTCTCACCAGACACCAAACCTGCCAGCACCTTGATCTTGGACTTCTCAGCCTTCAGAACTGTGAAAAATAAACGTCTACAATTGATAAATTACCCAGTCTAAGGTATTTTGTTGTATCAGCAGAAATGGACTAATAAATCAGTGAAAATATTTATTAAAATTGACATATGATCTAGTTGGTGACTGTATATGAGGGAGTTCCTAGTAGCTAGTAAATAGGTTGGGTGGTCAGAGTCCAGACTTGCTCATTGTCACCTAAGGACCCAGACACTCCGTGAGTAGATGATGGGAGGGACAAGGTGTCTGAAAAGGGGGCCAGCCCTTGGAGGTGAGAGTGATGTTGTTCTAGGAACCTGAGCATGGGATGAGATGAGCTTGCGAGGTCCCTGGTAAGGAGTGAGTCCCCTCCAGAAGATAAGGCACTGTCCATTGTCGGCTGGGCTATTTCTGTGTCTCCTGTCCTTGTTCTCTCTTGGACTCCCCCCTAAGGACTTAGGAAATCTTTCTGCAAGTTGCAGCCAGTGTCAGCTGTTCACAGAACCAAGGAATGGCTTGTGCATGGGTTCTGACCTTAAAGAAGGGAGCAGAGCTCCCTTGGGGTAGGCGCTAGTGGAAGCTAGAAACAAGGAGGATTCAAGCAGAAGGTGAAAGTCAGCCTGAAACCCTGGGCTTTTGTTTTATTTTTTTTCCAGTTGTCCCACCTGTGCTGGATTTTGAGGGGATTTGGCTTTATTGTATGGTGGAGGCCAGTCACAGCATCTCTCTGAATCTCTGTTTTCTCATCTATAAAATGGGGATAATAGCAATACCTACTTTCAAGGGCTTTTCTGTGAATTAAATGAGATGATGCATCCGAAGTACGGGTCTCAGTCCCTGGCACAGGAAGCTATGTTCAGTCACATCTGGTTTTCTTTTCTTCTCCTTGACTTTGAGATATTCCGCTTAGTTTAGGGCGAGAAATTAGTTATGTCTTTTGGTGATCACCGTTTCTCTAACTTTTTATTTTTATTTAATTTAGCAAGTACTTACATGGCACTTTCTATGAACCAGGTAGTATTCTAAGCACTTGACGTACATGAGCTCATGTAATCGTCATAAGAACCCTATGAGGTAGGTACTATTTTACAGATAAGAAAGCTCACATAGAAAACTTAACCTGTCCAAAGACACCCCACTAAGTTCAAACCCAAGTAGTCCAGTTTTGGGTTACTTTTAACCATTAGGCCAATCTAATTAGGTTAGGGTATTGAGTACAATTAAGTTACATTCTATAAAAGAATAGTTGAGAAATGAGTTGGGAAAAGATACTGGGTGAACTGAAACATTTAATTTAAGACAGACAGTGGGAATACTAAGCGAATTCAGAGGGTGGAGGTTGCATCATATTATTGTCATTAATCAATGCATATTGATTTTCCAGGCAAATACTGAGCTATATTAAGGCTGCAGAGGCAGAGTTGCCACCTTGAAAAAGTGGGTCTCTCTCAGGAGGAGGTTCATAAGTTAACAGCCGAGGGGTGAAGGGTTGGGTGACAATACATCTTGGTGTGCTGGGGTTTGTGTCTATTGTTCCCCAGTATAATTATTAACAGCAGTCCTTTTCTCTCTTAAAAGTGTCCTAGTGTAGATGATAAATTATGTGTTCCCCTAGTAAAGGGGTAGAGGGAGGTGCAGGGGACAATGTGGAGGGGAGAAAAATGTTCTAGCCTAATGTTGTGTAGGGTTGGTGAGGTCACTTGGCTTCCTGGCCATCATTTATCTATCTGCAAATGATTTGATTGGACTAGACACTTTTGATGTTTTTCTGTAGGTTTCCTTTCTTCCTTCCTTTTCTTCCCTTCTCCCCTCCCCCTCCCCCCTCCTTTCCTCCTCACCCTTCCTCCCTTCCTCCTTTCCTCCCTTCTTCCCTTTCCCACCATTCCCTTTCCTCCCTTGCTTTCTTCTTCCCCTCCCCTCCCTTCCCAGCCCCTCCTCTCCCCTCCCTCCTCCCTTGCTCCCTCCCCTCCCCTTCCCTCCCCTCCTCTCCCCTTCCCTCCTCTCCTCTCACCCTTCCTCACTCTCTCCCTTCCTCCCTTTCTCCCTCTCCCTGTCTCCCTCTCTCCCTGTCCCCCACCTTCTGTCCCCCACCCCACCTCTCCCTCTCTCTATCTCTCCTTCCTAACCTGCCTAGCCTCTCGAGGTACACATTAGGGGATGAAACTCACCCCTGCAAGCAAGCATGCTATGTCATTTGCATGTGAGGCACAGAGCCTGTCTGCCGCTCTCTCTGCTGAACTCTTTTTGGGTCCCTTGCTTGACTGACTGCAATAAATGAGGTGTCATTTAAGAGTGCATGATGTGGAGATCACAAGTATTGGGCCCAAAGTACCCAATATTAATTGATAAAAAAGTAATTAATGGAAATCTAATTAAAGCAGACATTCTGCACAGGGCACTCCTGGAATCCTGGGACCATCTCAATTACCAACTTTCCTCTGAGCTAATAATGTGTAATTGGGAGGTTTTAGGCTCTAATGGAAGAGATGAATAAAAAATTAATTAATGAGAAAGAAAATTAAATCTGAGTTTGTTAAAAAATTTCCAGAGATGGGTACAGTGCAGTGCAACAGTAGGTACTAGAAGGTTTATTAATGAAAATCTTTACAAGTGACAGCATCTCCCTTGCAGAACTGACACCCCTCTTCCATGCCTTGCCTCACCCTGTGTCATTTGTCTCTGTTAGGTAGCATCTGATGTCAGCCTGGGCTCTGAGAACCAAGGGAGAGTCTGAATGTGGAAGAATCAGAAGATTTCCCTTATTCCTGAGGAGAGAAAGTATGCTCTGGCGTCTCTCTCCAGCAGTTTCTCTGATATAGAAATCAGTAAACAAAGACTGAGTCTCCCAGTCTTTCAAAAAGAAATACAGTGTTAAATCAATGTATGAGATTAAAAATACATTTACTTTACCTACAGCTATATGAAAAATTAACACCCTTCCATATGCAGGAAATCTGTTTTTATAAATGTTTATGAGCAGGTGACGTTTACGAGGGCCCCTAATTAGATTGGCTTGCCGTGTACTGCTGCGTACTGCCACTCGACCTTTGGCATGATTCATTGTTCTGTTTTATTGATCTGTAGTTAATCACTTCTAGGTTTCGATTTTTCCCTATCAAATGAGCTGGGGAGTTCCGGCATGCTCAGGGCAGCTTTTGATGCTGTCCTAGGTGTTTCTAAAATTTAGTGACCACAAAAGTCACTTGGAGAGCTTGTTAAAAATATGCAGACTCCGTGGTTGAATCTCCCAATGAAACCACTCCTTTAGTTCTGGGTGTGGCCCAGAAATCTGCATTTCCAATGGGTGGTTTAGATCCAGGTGACTTGGGCGCTGGGGTGGTTGGTGAGTTGAATGCTTTTTGCCACTGAATGAAGGAACACTCATTTTTGGATTCAAAGAAACGGTATCTTGGACTCAGTTTATGTGCCTCCTAGATTCACTTGGCCCACCTGTTCCCCAAGCCTTGACTTCTTGGCCAGTGCATAGTCCTGACCGTTGTTGCTGTCACCTGTACTCTTAACAACACTGACTGTCTCATTTCCCCTAGGGGAGAAGGTGAGACTTTGTCACAGTCTCCTCTGCCCTTTCTGCCCAGGTGGGAGCTGCAGAGTCTTTGGTGCTCTAGTGTGTTAGGCCATTCTTGCATTGCTGAAAGAAATACCTGAGGCTGGGTAATTTATTTAAAAAAAAAAAGAGAGAGATTTAATTGGCTCCTGGTTCTGCAGGCTTCCAGAAAGCATGGTGCTGGCATCTGCTTAGCTTCTGGGGAGGCCTCAGGAAGCTTACAATCAAGGCAGAAGGCAAAGGGGGAGCAGGTGTCTCACACGGCTAGAGTAGGAGCAGGTGTCTCACACGGCTAGAGTAGGAGCAAGAGAGAGAGTTACTGGGGGAGGTGCCACAAACTTTCAAACAACTGGATCTTGTGAGAGCTCAATCACTATTGCGAGGAGAGCACCAAAAGGAGGTGCTGAACCATTCATGAGGATCCCACCCCCATGATCCAATTGCTTCCCACTAGGTCCCACCTCCGGCAGTGGGGATTACAGTTCAATATGAGATTTAGAGGGGATAACATCCAAACTGTCTCACCAAGTTTGGGCAGACAATGCTTGGAAAAACCCCATACTACGGGGTAGGATCTGGCTTTTCCAACGACTGCATGGAGGAGCTTGAGTGTCACAACCTGTACATGCAATAGAGTTAACCACCTGTGTGTGGGGGAAAGCTTTAACCAGAGGGCCAGGAACCAAGGCAGCAGATAAATCCTCTCCCTTCCTCTCCTGGAAGGGAATGCGCTAAGGCCAAGGGCTTCCACACTGCCGTGTGCCCAAGCAAGCGGTGATGTTTACTGGCAAAGCTGTGGCTGGCCCGGGGATGCACTGCCTTGTATAGGTTCATCCTCCCTCCCTCCCTCCCTCCCTCCTTCTCCCTCCCTCCCTCCTTCTCCCTCACTCCCTCCCTCCCTCCTTCTCCCTCACTTTTTCTGCCTTGGCTTTGCCCCTGCAGTGAAGTCTTTGTGAGAATGTACTGCCTCAGCCTCTGTTCCTGGGCTGCACTGTGGTTTGTGGGCTGGGGATCAAAGTCAGGTAGTCTTCGTGAGCCTCAGCCTTTGCGTCTGGAAAATGAGGACAGTAATCTCAGTACTTTACTCATGAAGAAATTGTAAAGCTTAAGGAACAATAATGTAAGTACAAGTGAAAGGATGTTATAATAAATAAGTGTTAATAATCATACTAATTACGGTTATGCCCCTCAGTCATGGCAATTGAGGCTTATTCTTGGGAGGCCTCAGGCATGCACTTAGTAGGGTGAACCAAACCGACATTGTCCTTGAACTGTGCTTTCCAGAATGTGTTCCACAGCCTGTTAAAAGATGCTGCTTGTGACAACAAACATAAAAAGCAAGTGTGGGAAATTCTGGGATTGTAGGCTTTTAATGCAGGACCTTGTGGGGTCTGTGAATTGCCATGTTTTTCAGCCGTGCAACTTTACTAACTGGCCAGTAACCTAGAGTAACCAAGTTATTTAATGTATCTGTGCCTCGCAGGGCTGTGGGAAGGATTAATGGTGTTAATACAGATAAGCTTGTAGAATAGTGTCTGGTACACAGTAAAAGCTCAATAAATGTTGATGATGATCATTAATATGATTTATATTGCTATGGCAACGTGTGTTGTGCATCACTAAGAGGGGGATAGAGTGTGCGGCGTTTCTTAAACTCATGTTGTCCATAGGGAATGAGCTTCTGTGTAACTCCTCCTCCCTCTCCTCCCTGGCCCTTCCCTCTTTGTCCTTTCTTTTCCCTTTCTACCCTTCCTTAACCTTCTCCTCTCCCTTCTCCCTCTTCCTCTCCTCCCTACCCTTTTCTTCTTTCCCTCCCTTCCCTCCTCCTTTCCCTTCTCTCCTCTCCTCTTCCATCGTCTTCTCCTACTATTGTGATTCTAAGGATGTCTCCTTGGACAAAGGTGACCTAGAAAGAAGTGAGTGACCAGCATCATTTAAATCCTGGATATATTGCTCAGCTCAGGTCAAATTAGAGATATGGTAGCCTCTCTAGAGTTTATGCCATTTTTCTTCTGCAACAGGAAATCTCTTTTGCTTCCCTTTCTTCCTCCCCTCCCCACACACCCTTCCTTTTTAGGAAGGTGACTGCAAATGGTAAAAAAAAAGCAAACACGCACGTTGACTGAGCATCTTCTATGTAGCACTTACTGCTGAAGATGTGGATAACATGCTGTGCTTGCCTTTCTGGAACTTGTAGGCTGGCAGAGCTGTCTGATAGGCAAACTGTTGCATGTATCGTCAGGTCATGGCTTAACTGTAGGAGACAGAAAGTGATAAGAGGTGCTGGGATGCTGTCCTCCTGGACCAGGGGAGGGAGATTTGGCCCCAGAGCACTCACCCAAGTCTTCCATCAATTCCTCCCTCCAGTCCTGCTCACCAAACAAGAGCCTTATCATGATTTTGCTTCCCCAAAGTTCCCTCTAGAGAAGAAGGCACAGGTTAGATAACAGGAAAATCTGATCTGCTTGCAAGGTCTGTTTCTCCTGGGACATCAACAGCCTGGAATACAAGTTACACATCAACCTCTTATGAGTTGGATCTACTGAGTTAGTCTCGCTGAGACCAGTCAACTCTGGCAGGATTGAACTAACGGTGTGCAGAGTCGAGGGCCCACCCTCAGCTCAGGTGACTATACCAGGGTCAGCCATCCCACGGGAGGTCTTAGAGTCCCTCCTCCCCCTGTGACATCTCCCAGACTCGTCCATTATCTCCCAGGCTGTGATATAGCCATCCAGGGCAGTGATTCTCAATCTCAAGTGATTTTTCCCTTCATGGGATATATGGCCATTCTGGGGATATTTTTGCTTGTCACGACTGAAAGGGGTACTAATGATATCCAGAGGAAAGAGATGCTGCTAAGCACCCTACAAAGCACTGGACAGCCCCCTAAACAGAGAAGAATCTGGTGCAAAATGCCAATAATACCAAGATTGAGAAACCCCGGTTTAGCCAGGCTCAGTCATCTGAGGTCCTCTCTGGAGAGACTAAGAAATTGGCAAGGTGGAATTCTGCTGCCTTTACATAAACGGGAGGGCTCAGCTTCTCCACGGGCTGGGCAGCTTTAGATGGCTGACTCTTCTGAGTGCTGGGGCCAGAGGCTCTTCTAGGAGTGTGATAGACTCTATTCTACAGGGTTAACTGCAGGTGGAAGTGAGAAGATACTTCCCCCGCCAGGAACAGAGGTCATCTGAGCTCTTCTTCAAGTGAACAACAAGTTATGGCTTAACTACAGACTCACCTATACTTTTATCTTGTGTGATTCACCGAGGGATGGCAGTGGGTACCATGGCAGGGGCACTTGGAGATAGTTAGATCTGCTTTCGAATCCCAGCTCTACCTCTTACTGAGCTGTGTGACCTCTGGTACATTTCTTAACATCTCTGAGCCTCAGTCTTCTGCACACTGTGGATGGCCAGGCCTGCCTCACTATGCACCTGCTAGCTGAGACCTTGGCAGTGGTGGAAGGCACAGCTCTGTCTACCCTCCCCGCCTTTATGCAGCCTTGCCCCTCTGCTGACTCTCAGGATACCTACTCAAGGGAGCTGTCATTTAGTTTAGATTTGGTTTCCTTTCCTCCACCCTCAGAACTTCCTTTGGGTTGGCCTGGTCCAGTTTTCTTTGCAGATTCTGCAGTGGCACAGAGTGTTGTTAAAAAGAGAAAGGCTGGTGGGGAAGAAACCCATTTAAGGCATGAGCTGAAGGGCATGAAAGTGGAGGTAATGGCTTTGCTGCGTTCAGATCTGTGTCTACAAAGGGACTATTTATCCAACCTAAGATTTTTTTTAAGAGTATATACAAAAGAATCCACCGTCTCATTTATTAGGTACCTGCTGTTAGTGCTATTGTACCCATTTTAATGGTGGGAAAAAGAGAGCCTCAGAGAGGTTCTGTGTCTGCCCATAAAGCAAGATGCTGGTAGATCTATTTCCAGACCCCCTGCTTTGTAACCCATTCTCAGGATTGTCATGTGGACCAAATGGAATAGTGCATTTATGTACTCAGTGAGGTAACTGGAGCATATTAGTGCTTGGCAGTGATGAAGTCGACCTAGAGCAAACACTTATATACTGCTTACTGTATTCCAGGTGGTGTTCCAGCTGCATTACATATTTGCACACCTTAGTTATCATAAGCCTAGAAGAAGGTACTTATTCCCATTTGACAGATAAGGAAACTGAGGCACGCAGAAGTTGTGCAGATTGCCTAGGGTAATGGAGCTAGTAAGTGGCAGAATTGAGGTTTAAAGCAGGCAGCCTAGCTGTTCCAGTGTCCCTGCTTTTTGTTCCTGCACTGTTTTGCTTAGAGTTCTGCCTAGTTATTCTTATTTTTGTTCTCACTGTCCTTCATAGCTACGCAGAGGCAAGATGATTCTGATGGAGGAGGACACAATCCTAGTTTATGCAGCCCTTTGATTCTGGCTCCATGAAAGTTCAATTTTGGTGATTGCGCCAACTGCGATGGATGGGCCCAGGCTTCTGAAGTGGTTTTAATGGCTAGCCATGGTGGCATGACGTGTGGACTCATGTGGTGTGGAGCAGGCTTGTGGCACACAGCTAGTTGCGTCCTTGGGAGAGGGGAGGAAGTAGGCTGGACACTGCGTGGCCACATGATCCTGCCCTGCTATGCCTTTGAGTCTCTCTCGACCTTCTGACTACTGTTTAACCCTAATAGCATTTAGTATTCCTCACAGCTCATAGCCCGGGTTCAAGAAGCAGGGATTTGGGTGCCTTTTCCTAAAATGGAGGCTTTTGGTGTTAAAAACATTTTCTTGGCCAGGCCCTATGTCTGACTCTTTCACATACTTCATCTCATTTATTCCTCATAGCAACTCTGGGAGATAGGTACAATTATCCACAATCTACAGCTGAGGAAATTGAGGCTTACACAGCGTGTAAGTGGCTGAACTGAGATTTAGACTCAGGGCTGTGCAACTCAGTCAGCTATCAAGGCCTGCTGATAACTCTTGAATCTATTTCTGCCTCCGTGTATCCACTGCTGTTATCCTAGACCAAGCTACCATCAGCTCTCACCTGGATCATGGTAATAGATGTTGCACTCCTCTCCCTGCACCCACTCTTATTGCCTTTAATCTATTTACTACTTTAAAGATATTGAAATCTTAGGTCCTCAAGGATTGGGACCTTATCTCAGATATCCAGTGCTGAATCCTCAGTGCTTTTCACATCTTGCCTGGTACATGGTAGGTGCTCAAAAATGTAAATGAATAAATGGATGGATGATTAGATTTACATCTTAGAAAAATTATGCTGATGGGTGATTTCTCTATCATCCATCCATCCACTCGCTTACCCACCCCCCCATCTATTTATTCATCTATCCCTCTCCTGTCTGTCCATCTATCCATCTGCCCATTCATCTGCCCATCCATCCACTCATCCCCCATCTACTCATCCATCATCCATTCACACATTTATAATTCATCTCCATCCATCCATCCACCCCTCCATGAATCCAAGCATCCATCCATATACCCACCCATCCATCTACCCATGTATTCATCCATCTCCTGTTTACCCATCCATCTATCATATATCCACACATCCACGATTAATACCCATCCATGCATCCCTCCATCCATCCTTCATTCTCTCATCCATCTATCATTTTATTTCTATTCATCCAACCAGTCATTTGTTAGAACAGGAAAAAGGCAAAATACATTTAGTGCTGTTAGGTCAGAAATAAAAGTGCTCTTTGATGAAGAAAACATCACATTATTTCTTATTTTAAGAGTGAATCTTGATTGAAGCAGACAATTTTCATGAGTTAACACGTGCCTCAAAATTTGGACCTTCATCTAAAATACTAAAATATAACCTGTGCCTTTTCTAATTTTCTCTGTAGATGATCAGAGACAGCATGAGCAATTCAAATACAAGCCAAACTCTGTTTCCTTGCCTGCTAGAAAGCCACTTGCACTTTGGGGTGCAAAACAGAGATTGCAGACATATTAATATTTAAGGGCATGGAGACTGTCTAAAGCTAAGGTATAGGCATGTAAAACACGTACCCAATTACAGAGTAGATTTTTATAATGTCTAGGTGGAAGGCTGTGGTGCCTCCTCTGTAGTGACTCCGTCCACCATCTTGGTTACCACCCCAGAACACCAGGGATCCCAGTTCTGCCTCTCAGGTTGGGGTTTGGAGCTATTGGCACTACGAGGGGATGCCAGGGATTCCATGCTGTTTCCACAGACTTCTGCCCATGGTCGTAGTTAACAAAGGCAGCTAGGTGAGAAGGGACAGGATTACCAGTGCAGGAGCCTCATAAATATGAGATGAGATGGCTGGGATGGAAATGAAAGTTGAGATGCTCAAAAATAAAGCGTGAAAGAGTCCTGGCCCCATATAAGAACAGGATTGATCTCTGTACGCTGACAGAATGTACGATTTCCCTTCACTTTACTACAGTGCTTCTGTTTCTATAGAAACCACCAATTTTATAGACAGATCAGCTCTGTGAGAAGGCGTGGGGAGTTCAGTTTGAAGCCAAGTGCCGTCAGGGCACCAGTGCTCCCAACCCTGAGGAGGGGGCTTTCTTCTTTGCTAGCTAACTAGCTCTCTTGGGGATGGTTAATGATTACTAGGCTTGGATTCTGTCACTGTTATTATAATAACACTTGCAGTACCGCTTTGCTGCCACAGAGTCCCAAAGACACGGTTAGTTCTAGGACTCACAGAACATTTTCATGGAGGGCAGTGGCACTCAGGCCTTCTTCCTTCCTTTCATTTGTTCGTTGGATACATACTGGATGTCTTAGCACCAGCCACTGTGCCAAGCCCTGGAGTAGTACAAGGTATGGTAAGGGAGAAAGACAGGCAAATCAATAACTTTGTCTCAGTTCTACAATAGAGATTTTTTCTGGCCAGGGTGAGCTTAGAAAGTAGTGTTTTGTTTTGGGTAGATTTCAGGAATGGTTTGGCAAACATAAAAAATAGCTGAGTGGTTCAGTTATCTTTGCTGCATAACAAGGTACTTCAAAACCTAATAATGTAAACCAACAACTGTTTAATGTGTTCATGATTCTGTGGGTCATGAATTGGAGCAGGCACATTGGAAAAGTTTGTCTCCACTCCATAATGTTTGATGCTCCCGCTGGGGTGGATCAAAGGCAAAAATGGCTGGCCAGCTCAAATGAATCCATATAACTGGAACCTTGCTTCTTCTTCAAGTGGCATTTGCTAGAACTGGAATATCCAAGAATGGTTGCTCTACTCACATGACTAGCACCAGGGCTGAGAAAACTGGAATAGCTGGAGGGTAGTTGACATTGCACTCTGTCTCTACATGGCTTTTTCCTGTGGCTAGCTTGGGCTTCCTTCCATCATGGCCACCTCAGAATAGACCAACTTCTTCAGTGGCAGCAGATGTTGTGAAGTTTATTATGACCTAGGCTCAGAAGTTCCAGAACATCACTACTACTGCGTTCTATTGGGGAAGAAAATAACTAAGGCCAGAGCAGATGCAAAGGGAGAGTAGGAATAGGCCCTAGCTCAGCCCTTAGCTGAGAATGACTTGCATGTCCAGGGAGGCAAAGAATTGATGGCAGACATCTTGGAGATAAGTTTCCCCGTTGAAGCATCCCAAGTTTCTGTTTTTAGCAATGGGATGATATCATAGTAGAGAGGAAGTCAACATTTGTAATAGGGTTGTAGTTGGCAGGATATCCAACAGTGGGATGAGGACAACATGGGGGGTTGGTTGTGTACATGGTGAGCAGCTCTTTTAATCAAGCCAGATTTGGGTTCATGGAACGTGTTCCCAGCAGCCTGTCCATTTGGCAGAGGTCATAAAAATGTCCATGGACAATTGGATACGTGGGTCTGATGCTCAGAGTTGAATCAGGCCTGGTGATACAGATGTGGCAGTCATCGCTCTAGCTGGGGTTGTTGGTTATCCATGATAGACTCCAACCCAAAATGGCATAAGCAAAAAGTAAATGTATTGGGTCATTTACTTGGAAACTTCTAGGGTGGGGTCCTTCAAGCATCACTGAATTTAAGGACTCACATGAGGTCATCAGTTTCAGATCTTTCACTCTCTCTCTGTCTTATCTCTTCACTTTGCATTTTTTTTTGTGTGAGCTGGCTGAACTCCTGGATGCACTCTTTCCTTAGGGAAGCAAGATGGCCAAATCCCTATTTCTCTAAGCTCACTGGAAAAGAGAGAAGTTTCATCACCAACCATTCAAATCCTGGGCCACACTTACATTGGCTTGTATTGGGCCACATGACCATCCCTGAGCTGTTCACTCAGGCCAGGGGCAGGTGAGGCTCTGAGAAGCCAACTCTGAGATATGTGCCCATACCTGGGGCAGGCTGGAGTGGGAAGGGGTAGTTCTCCAGAGGATGAACCGGGTGTTCCTAGATACAAATGATGATAAGGTGTAGGGCAGCTCAAACAGTACTGCCCTCCCTGGGTGGTAATGAGGCCATGAGATAGTCTGGGAAAAGGCTGTTGTTGAGTGAGAAGAGAAGGGGTCCTGGTGCAGGGCCTTGAAGAGCATCTCATGGATCAGCCATGGAAGCAGACACCATAAAGAGGCTGAGATGGACGGAGTCCTCAGGGAGGTAGGAGGAAAACCATTGGCATGTCACTTTCTAGAAACCAAGGGAAGGATACGAAGAGGGAGAGAGTGGTCAGCATTGGAAATACCTTGCAGAAGTCAAGTGGGGTTCACTCATTCATTCATTCATTCATTCATTCAACAAATGCATGTATTGAGCACCTACTGTGTGCCAGGCACTGTTCTAGTACTAGGGATACAAAAGTGGACAAGACAGACATAATTCCCTGTTCTCATGGATTTTACATCCTAGATAAGGATGAAGGAGTGGTCATTAGATTCAGTGACAAGGTAGAGACACTCGTCAGTGACCTTGGCAAGACAATTTCCGGGAGTCCTGGGGTGGGGTGGCCTCATGCACTGGATTGGAGAGTGAGTGAAAGGTATGAGGGTGGACAAAGTGAATGAGCACAATTCTTGCAAGAAGTTTGGTGTGCAGGGGAGGAAAGAAAAGGAGCAAGGGCTTGAGTGAAAGAGACATTGAGGAGATTTTTAAAGTTTATTTACTGTAATATGAAAGTGAGGCTTTCTCTTATTGTGTATATTTTGTTCTTCTGTGCCCTCAAACATTGCGATATTGTTTGGTCTGGTCCCCCAGAGAAGACCTCTCTCCTTGTCTATTTGCCTGAAGGAGATTGGCCTCTGGAGGGAGAGGGGAAGCATTAGAATTTCCCTGCTCTATGGAGAACAGGAGAGAATTCCTGCCATCCAGAGATGAGAGGAAGGGGACCCCTTCCCTTTTCTTCAGTGACTCTGCTGCCAGGGGCTGGGGGAAGGTTGGGCAGCATTGAAACTTTGCAAGATGCAAGGAGGGTGCATTTTAACAAGCACAAGTCTCTCTAGTCTAAACAAAACAAAATAATCCAACTTTCCTGTAAGCCTGCATTCTTGATTCCAAATTTCTTTATCTCTCCCATCATGCCAGCTGCCTGTGAGTGGCTGGGAATTGGGTGGAATGCAGGTAGTACGGGCACAGGGGTTGGGGAAATGTGAATAATTGGCCCCTGGAAAATTCAGAGTTGATTCTAATTCACCTAATTTTGGAAGCACGGCTCAAAATCCCATACCTGCACTTCTCATGCAACCTCAGTCAGAAATCTCCCTGTAGCCGCTCTCTTTGACCTGAATCGAAGTGGCTGGTTCTTGATGTTGTACCCTCAGATGACATTTGGCACTGTCTGGAGACATTTTTGGCTGTCAGAACTGTGGGAGGGGTGATCCTGGCATCTAGTGGGTAGAGACCAGGGATGTTGCTAAAAATTCTAAAATTCACAGGACAACCCCAGGGCAAATACCTTGCTCAAAATGTCAACAGTGCGGTGATTGAAGTTGAGAAACCCCGTTGTAAATCCTGCTGTTTTTGTGTTGGATGGAAGTTGCCATGACATTGAGTGAAGAAAGAAGGGAAGATTTAGGGCAAGAATTATACCAGTATATATGGTACATGTTGCTGATACTCCCACTAGGAAGTAATGGGTGTTTTGTGCTGAGACTGAATTTTTTGCCAGATAATCTAATGGTTGTATTTATAGTGACAACTCAGGGCCCCTGTCTAAGGAACTGATAACATTCTGACCCTCTGTCATGTATGTAACATCTTTTGCTGATGCCACAGTGAGGTCAGATCACAATCTGTTGTACTTAAAATACAGCACAATTTAAACTTTTGGGGTTGGTTAGTTCTTGGGATTTCTGGGTTTGGTTTTCTTTAGCAAAAGTGCCCAGGTATGTAAATATTAAGGTTTTTCCTTTCTCTTTGTGAGTATTGGACCTCCCAGGACTGGCCAGGGCTGGACTCTGGTGTCCTCAATGGGTCTGGTCCACATTCAGGCCCTGCCATCTGCTGTGGCACTCCTCAGGGTGATTCATTGTTTGGGGGCAAGTTCCCCCCAGGGATTGCCCACCTGTTGCAGAAGGAGAAAATTTCCAGGTGCAATGATTCCGATGTCCCCATTTCTTAGTGGGTCTGAGGAGGTTGAGAAAAGTCTGGCTATCAGCTCTGTACTCTGTGCTGCTCTCTGACTCGACATCTCTAACTGGCCAGGGGCCCAAACTTGCAAGGACATAGTGATCCCAGCTATATTGTGGATGAACCTCTAGAACATTATTCTAAGTGAAAGAAGCCCAACACAGAAGGTTGCGTATTGTATGATTCCATGTATATGATATGATTCTGGAAATGTGCAGACAAGGCAGATCCATAGAGACAGAAGGCAGATTATTGGTTACTAAGGGCTGGGGAAGGGGAACTGGAGTGACTGCTTAATGGGTCGGGGGTCTTCTCTGGCGGTGATGAAAGGGTCTTGCAACTAGATAGAAGTGTGATTGCACAACATTGTGAATGTACCAAATGCCACTGAATTGTACACTTTAAAATAGTTGTTCTATGTTATGGGAATTTTACCTCATTAAGAGCGAAGCACCCCAGTGGACAGAGCAGCTCAGCTGGTCTGATGCAGAGCACAGAGCCCTGGGTCCAGCACAAGGGGCAGTGACCCCGGTGACATGGGAGGAGGGGCCCTTCCTCAGGGAAACAGGCACCTTGGAGGCCCTGATGGGACAAGCCCTGCCCTGTTGGACACTGGAAGCAGGGAGCATCCGCTGGGGTTTTGTCTCTTCCATGTTTTGTTGGAAGTGATAAATGAAGCTTTGCATCTGCTTCATGGCAGATTAGTCCCGGGAGAAACAGCAGACGCCCTGGCAGACATGGTTAAATCCTCCTCAGTGGCCGGATTTAAATGCCTTTAGTTCCAGAACAGAGATAAACTATCCAGAGCTGTGATTGGTGGTGGCACAAGTCAAACAGCTGTCATTTATTAGCTGTGTGCCTTTGGGCAATTTATTTAACCTCTCACACTCCAGTTTCCTCACCTGCAAAATGGAACCGGTGAGGCCTAGATCATTGTAGATAAATACATACATACATACATACATATATATGTATCTTTAGAGTTACATTATAATAAATGTAAAGATACATATTATCTTTACATAATATATAAAGTATATATATAAATATCACATATTTTATATAAATATTACATATTTTATAATATATAGTATATATAAATACTATATAACACACACACACACAACATTTTATAATGTCTGGCCACAAATGACACTGGTGAATATTCATTTTATCCATAAAAATGTGGAGTGGGTTTATTCATTCATACAGTGAGTTTATTGAGCTCTTGCTATGTACCAGGCACAGGGAACAAACACCGACTCAGATGAACAATATTCTTTGCCTTCATGAAGCATATATACCACTGGGAGGTAAGATATCACAGACACATATTTGCAAATTACAATAAATACTGGGACTAAAACCAACCAAGTGCTTAATGCAGATAGTCTTCAACTGTGGACTTGATATACGGTAGTTGGGACAGATTCTCTGGGGAGACGATATGTAAACTGAGACCTGGTGGAAGAGAAGGTACCTCCTTCTCTTGGTCATGTGAAAAGTGGGGAGGTCTCCAGGTGGAGGGCATAGCACGTGCAAAGGCTCTGGGCTGGGAGAACGTGTGGCTTGTTCAAAGAGCTGTAGGAAGACCAGTGAGGCCAGGGAACAGCAAGTGGAAAGTAGCTGCAGGTAAGGTTGGAGGAATAGAATTGAGATGCTCTTCAGGTAGGCCTGGTGGGCCATCTCAACGAATTTGGATTTTATTCCAGGATTAAAGGGAGGCCAGTGCAGGCACTGGTGTGACTGGATTTTTGTTCCAGGAGTGTCACTGCTATTGGGAGGAAGAACGGTTTGGAGAGCTTCGTGAGTGGGATAGGAAGAGCAGTTTGCAGGTTCTTGTATTCCTCTCCATGTGGAAGCCGGCATTTCCTTTGCTTGTCTGCCTAGGAAGACAGAAATTCCAGCAGAAGCACTTTCCGCCCCCCGGCTCTAAAATCCTAAACTGTGATGTTTTCTCTGCTCTCCCTTGTGTGTTTCTCAGAAGTCTTCATGACTCAGTGGCAAGATAGTGGACCCAGGAATGTGGAAGGTGTTACTGGAGGTGGAAAGACACAGAGCTTTTCTGGGCAGTGGGGGCTTAATTTCAAGGAGGTTTGTTTGTTTGTTTGTTTATTTATTTATTTATTTTTATTTTTTGATACAGTGTCTCGCTCTGTCACCCAGGTTGGAGTGCAGTGGTGCCATCATAGCTCCCTGTAACCTTGAGCTCCTGAGCTTAAGTGATCCTCCTGCCTCAGCCTCCTAAGTAGCTGGGACTGCAGGCATGCGTCACCATTCCAGGCTAATTGTTTTTCAGTTTTTTTGTAGAGACAGGGTGTTGCTATGTTGCCCAGGCTGGTCTTGAACTCCCAGGCTGGAATGATCTTCCTGTCTTGGCCTCCCAAAGTGCTGAGATTACAGGTGCGAGCCACTGTGCCCTGCCCCAGGAAGGTTTGTTGAGGTGAACTATATGTTGAACGAGATTAACTGGATGGTGTATGGTGAAGCAGATGGCTTCAGATCCCTCATGGAGGAAGAAGGGGTTGTAGGAAAGTGAAAGATTCAGGCTGAGTTGGAGGCTGTGCTTCCTCATCCCTGTGCCTGATTTGCATCATTCCAGAGGACTGAAGCCACTCGGGGGTAGGGGTGTCCTAGGAGAGGCTGCTGCTGCTCATGCCTGGCACCTGGGAGGGGAAGTAAGAGTAACTTAGTCTTCAGTGGACAGCTCTTCTCATTAGGTCAAGCTTCCCTGCACCCGCTCAACTTTAGGCATTGGGCACAAGCTTCTGACCCGAAGGCTCTGCGTGCGTATCCCTTCACAAGCCAATCCCCAAAAATGGTTGGCTTTAGAGCGGATGGGTCACTTCCAGGAGCTGATGATCTCTGATCTTACTGCCCTGGGATGATATCCATTGAGTGTTTGGGACTTCTCGGGACATCTTCCACACTGTGACATTTTCCCAACCTCAGCCTTTTTGGCAGCCAGGCAACTCGGCTTCTGTCTGCCTGGATATTCTTGGAATGCCAGTCTTAGCTGAGGTGTGAACCCCTGTTGAAAGACTCTTTTCCTCAAGTTGCGTTTGGGTTTTGATCTAAATAAATGGATGAGTGAAATGGTTTCCACAAAAAAACTGTAAATGACAACAAACGATTGGCCCTTCTCATGCAAAGTGGAAGTGCTAAATATTGACATCTGTGGATGCCAAGTCTCTGTTGCAGAGTTTAATATGCAATTAGTGTAAGCTTTTCTTTATTAATTCAATGAGTATTTATGGAGTCCTGACCAAAGTAGTTAATAATAATAGACATTTATTGAACACTTCTTATATGCTGGGGAATACCTAAATATTCTACATGTATTAATTCTTAAAATCCTCTATCAACTTGATGGTTAGTACCATCAATATCCCTATTTCGAGGATAAAATATTGAGGCTTGGAAGAGTTGGCCGCTTGCTAAAGGTCATTTAGCCACAGTTAGTGAAGATAGGGTTTGAACTTAGCCTGTGTAAACCCAGAGCCAGCAATCATACGCCCATACTATGTTCCCCAAGTGCCAAGCCCCATGCTGACTACCAGAGATACGAGAGAGAACGAGATAAAGCTTCTGCTCTCCTTTCACTCTTAGTCTAGTGTGAGGAGACAGACTTTAGATAAACATCTAGACAATTACAAAAACAATAAAGGCTATGAATGTGAAGTGTAGTAAGAACACGTGGTGGGGTACCCAGCCTGTTCTGTTTTTGGATGGGGAAGGCTTCCATAGGGAAAAGAAATTTAAGCCCAGTGCATATCCTGTCTAGAAATACCACACTTGTGTCATTTGTTTGTATATGTTCTTCTCTGGAAACTGCGGATGGGTTGGGTGTTAAAATGACCTACCTTTCCTGTTGGTTGCCCAGTGCCCCATCCTCCTCTTGACCCAGCCAGCCAGTATGGACATGGCATAACAAGTACTATTTTCAGGATGTCTTTGAGCTGGGCATCTGCAGATACTGCATGATATTTTGGGAATCGGGTTTCTATCAGTGGACTTCACAGGACAGCAGCTCCCCCTGGGTGGCCTGTATTTCACTCCAACTACAGCCATAGTGTTTCTGCAGCCTGAGTATTCTTTCTTCCGGGCTCAACCCTTTTCTCCTACCCCTATCCCTTGTAAAGAGTTGCATTTTGCTTTTTTTTTTTAATGGGAGGAATGACTTCTCAATTGTAATGTGCTAAAGAAGAGCTACTTTGATGTGGCCTCTTTTATGACACTTTCTGGGCCACTGAAAGCAATGCTTTTTAAGCATGTCATGCCCAATATCATGTTGCCTCTCATCCATTAAAGCTACATGAAATTGTTTGACATCAGCATAATTTTCTACTTGGAGGATGTTCCATTTTGCTAATAGTTCCTTTCCTAACCTCAAGGAGTTCACGACCAACCTGGGCATCTAAGAACAGCCTGTGAAGTTGAAGTCCCATCTCTCTCTTTCTGCTGTCTCACTAGTGACATCATTAAAGGAGGTTTTAGGATGGTTGATCTGGGGCCCAGAAGGACGGGAGGGTACAAACATGTAGCGTGGAGTCAGGTTAAGAAGCCATAGCAACTGAGCTAGATCAGGAGTCAGAGGAATGAAAAGAAGGACTATTTGTGAATGAAACGGTGAACAGGAAAATTAGTAGGACTTTATGACCCATTGAATATCTGTATTGAAAAAGGGGTAGGGAAGAGGCAAGACAATTGCAAATTTTCTAGATGACCAGGTATATTTTACAGAAAAGGAGAGTCAAGGGGAGGGAGATTGGAACTGACATTTATTGAGCATCTGGTATGGGCCAGGTACTATGCAAAGTCCTTTGCCTGATGACATCTCTTAATCTTAATGATTTTTGAATCCTTTGAATCACCATCTTATTTCATTGATGAGGAAACTGCAGCTCTGAGAGGTAAGCTGTTTCCAGCTGAGTGGGCTTTGAAGCTTTTTTCTCCACTTTTATTTTGCTGAGGACCAGACTTACCTAGGAATAAAATCTATGGAATTTAAGGAACTCAAGGTAGAACCGCATAACAGAAGTCTTATTATTATTATTATTATTATTATTTTTTTTTGAGATGGAGTCTTGCTCTGTCGCCCAGGCTGGAGTGCAGTGGCATGATCTCGGCTCACTGCAACCCCCGTCTCCCAGGTTCAAGCGATTCTTCTGCCTCAGCCTCCTGAGTAGCTGGGACTACAGGCGCGCGCCACCATATCCTGCTAATTTTTTTGTATTTTTAGTAGAGGTGGGGTTTCACCTTATTGGTCAGGCTGGTTTTGAACTCCTGACCTTGTGATCCACCTGCCTCAGCCTCCCAAAGTGCCGGGATTACAGGCATGAGCCACCGCACCCAGCTGAAATCCTATTTTTTTGTGTGCTGAAATGTACCCAGCTTCATGGGAAGATAAAACCATATGGTGGGGTTTTTATTTGCTAAGCATACTGTGGCTCTCTGGACTCTTCCCCAGGGAGATGCACATCATGTTCTGGTTCCCTTGTGTCTGAGCTAGGTGTGAGCTTTTTTTCTTTTTTTTTCCCCCACCTAAGAGCAGACATCACATATGACTGTATCACTCACGTGCCTAACACACTGTCAATGCTCCAATGTATAAACAGTCTCCCATCTCCTCTTCAACTTCATCTCTGATTTTCATATCTATCCTGTCTTTTTGGATTCATTTTACCCTTTCATGTTGCTTTTCTGGTCATTCTAGCCCATCAGTTTTTATCTCTCTTGAAATACATGTCTTCTTTTCCTTGGTTATGGCTATGCGAATACAACTCATTTCCCCAGTGAGCTTGTGAGCTCTTTGACAACATCAAAGGCTGCTAACTGAACATTTTACATCCCCCAGAATACCTGGCATAATGCCTCAGGTCCAGAGCCAGTAAAGTATAACATACAAAGTGTGCATTTCAGAGGTAGAAGAAACTATATTCAAATCTTGGCTCCACCATAGGTGGAGACATCAGGCAATATAGATAGGTAATCTCAGATAAGGTACTTTAATGACTTCGAGCCTCTGTATCCTCACTGGTAGAACTAAAGTAATAAGGACTATCTCCTGGGGGGATTATATTTTAAAGATTAAATCAGATATTATGTATTAAAAGCCTGGCACCATGGCTGACACACACTAGACACTCAATAAATTCTAGTCTATTCTTATCCATTGCTCTCAGTGGGTGACAGAATAGTGGTGTTGAGTGGGAAGATCATCTTTCTGTCCAACAGGTACCCTCTGAATGGATAAGATTATATCTATTTATCTATTTATTAGATAGACAGATGAAGGTAAGGTGAATTATCTTCCCTGTCAAAACTACCACTCCATCATTTTACCCTACATTTTTACTTCTGAGTCCTTATTTGTACTTGAAATGCTATCATTAATAATAATATCATTTATTCACTCATTTTTTAGTGTCTTTTTTTCTTACTAAAATATAAGCCCTTTGAAGGCAGAAAAACCTTGTTTGAGTCACTGCCATGGCCCCAGCTCTTAGCTGAGAACCTGAACTTGAAACTAGTAAGTTTCAAGTAAATAGTAGATGAAGGAATGAAAAAGACAAAACAATGGATTTAGTTCCATTTGACCGAAAAAACAGTGTCTCAACACCAACTATGAGCCAGGTACTGAATGAGACAGTGGGTACAGAGAGTAACAAGATAGGCCTTGCCCTCAAGAAGGAAAGGAAAAGGAGGGGGGAAGACAGACAAGCTCCACCTCTCAGTCTAACAGAAATACAATCTCCATCTTTTCCAACTTCTGAGCCAGTGTTGGTAGAAGCATGGGCTGAGATGGCGGGAGTGATGAGCAAACCTGGAATTAAAGCTGTATGTATTCAGAATCATTCTCTACTTTGGAATTGGCTCCCCTCCCTCACCCCAGATTAGCCTGGAAGGCCACCTTGCTTGGCAGGGGAAATTGACATCCCATTGAAATTGACGAAATGTTTAAGCATTTGCCATCAGAGTATGCTAAGCACTGCCATTTGGGGAAAACTCATTTAATAAGAGGTCTGACCCATGCAAATGTGAGCGAGTTGGTTGGTTTGTCTCATCTTTCTATGGATTACACAGAAACCAGTGATGGTTAAGGGGGCAAGTGAATTGATAAAACCCTCTCTGGAGATCAAGTACTAAATGGCTTCTTTATTGCTCACCTCTCAAGGAACCTTCTGTTTAAACTGCCGCCAGTAAGTGCAGGTTAGACCTGTGAAGTTATTATAAATGCTGTTCTTAAGCCTAAGCACTTTATTTTTTAATTGGTTTCTTTTCTTTCCTTCCTTTTTTATTCCAAACTACTAATGCCATAGGAAGAATGAAAATTTGTAATTTCTTAAGACACAGGAACTATTGAGAGAGAGAACAAAGAGACTATTGAAACACTATAGACTTTCAGTAAAACCAAAAACATGCATAACTCCTTACCTTCTTTCATTGCACAATGGAGCACTCTCTAGCAAGCATGGGGGGGAGGGAGTTAGGCTGGAAATACCCTGCACAACTCCTTATTAAGTGAGAAACAGGCTGGGGAAGAGAGGAAGGGAAAGGCTCTTACTGACATGGAAAAATGCAGAGAGGCAGGAACTTAACTGTCCTTGCCAAACTCTTTCTTCTTCAGTGCCTCTGCTCCTTCTCTCATATGTTGCCAGCCACTGAAGGCCCATCTATATTATGATTGGGCCTGAAAAAAAGTCAGTGAATGTTTTAAACAGATTTTCTTAGAGGGCAAAGAGTTATAAAGAACCATGTGCAGACCCTAGCTATGCTAGGCTGTGAGAGAAAATGGTGCTTCGGTGGAAAACAGTAATTGTCTAGCTCTAGACTCTAGGGGTAATCCTTCCTGGGTATCTGATTTTGATTTTATGGAAACTGTTTTACAGTTTTATGAGTTACAGATACTGATATGCACATTCCATCCTGTCCAGTAGAGGTTCAACTGAGCTACCCAACCTTCCCCCTCAAAAAATTTTACATCCATTCGTACACCCATTTAAATGTTTCTGTTAGCTGTCTGTTCTTTGGGTTCTCTTTTAAACCACTTGTAGCATCTTTCTAATCTTCATTAATTAATGATAGAAATCCATTGATAAGATCTTTGATAAATCATTGATGATAAAATCTTTAACACATATTTATTTCATATCTGTATGAGTCATGATTTTATTATGTTTTGAAGATTATCTTTTAACACTAGTTACTTAAAGGTAATCTTGAAGTGACTTAGCATATCTGAGTCACTTGTGTTCTCATCTGCAGAATGGGAACAATGATACAGAGTGTAATTATCTCAAAATTTTCCAAGAGTTTTCCCATTCATTCTCCCATTTAGAAGTGATAGCTAAATGATACTTCGCAGTTAATCTTCAGTGATTATGGATGGTGAATGGGATAATATTTGTAAAAACACTTTTACCAAGTGTGATTCACAGAGTATGTCTCAGATTTTAGCTGGCACTCTTCTCATCAGTGTCAAATGAAGATTGAAGAGCTGCTCTCAACTCTCTGAAAGCTTGTGATTTGGAAGGCAGGGGAAATTTTCTCTGGTGGCTCCACAAGGTGAACTGGAGCCAATGAATAGAAACTATAGGATTTTATTTTGGCTGATAATAAAAGGGAAAGACTTTCTGAGAACTAGCTGTAACATTGGAGGGGGCTGCTTTATGGGGTCATGAGGTTCCCATCACTGCAAGTTTACAGGGAGAGACTGTCTGGCTCAGCATAACTGCAGTAGTAAACAGATTCCCAGACATGGCCCTCATTTCTGAAAATCTTAATGCAGAGAAACACAGGCACACGTGGGAAAGATGACCACAGCCTACTGCCAAGGAGCTTGAGAGCCACAGTCTCTGACTGCTAGAGATCCTATGACACCCAGTGCCTGTGTATGCATGTGGATAACGTAGGAGCAGTGCGTTGGATAGTGCCTGGCATGTAATAGCTGCACATTAAATGCTGGTTTCAAGTAATCTATCCTCTTGGAATAGTTTTATGATGTGCCTATATAGCAAGACTTGAGTTATTGTACAGTAATATGATATGCGCACATAACGTGTAAAGCCGAGATTCCCACTGCGCAGGGATGGGCTGCTGGCTAAATGTGGGACTTAGGAGGTGTTAGGCACTTGCAGGTACAGTGAAGAAACTGAGGCTCGAGTGTGCTGTGTGGACCACGGTCCATCACCCAGATGCAGGGCCGAGGCTTTCAGAGGTTCTAACTTTGATCTAATGATCACCCTAGTTTTCTACCACTTCCAAAACTGAACTCTTGGTCTTTACTTCGTTTAGAATTAAACGAATCTTCAATTCTGTTCTCCCAGTTGCTAGGGCCAAAACATTAGAACTATGTCTTATTTCTTTGTTTCTTGCCTTCACACTCCACATCTAACCCATCAGCAAATCCTTAGGCTGTGCTTCCAAAATATATCCAGAAGCCAACCTACCCACCTCCTGTGCTGCTGCCCCAGATTACGTCATCATTGGCTCTCATCTAGAGTAGACCTGCAGCCTCCTCAGTGAATTCCTGCATTTTGCCCTTGTCACCCCACTGACATTGGTCTTCCACCCCATAGTCAAGAGGAGACTTGTTAAGCTATAAGACAGTTTATATCACTCCTGTGTCTCAGGCCACCCCCCACCAGTAGCTTTCCATCTTATTTGCAATAAAAAACAAAGTCCTTACAAATGCTTATGAGGCTTTCCGTGATATGCCCATGACACCTCTGTTCACGTATTCCTACTACTCTTGTCACTCCACTGCAGCCCCTGGCTTCATTCTCCTGTCCCAAGACCCTTGCATCTGCAGCTTCTGTCTAAATGCTCTTCCCCCAGACAACCATGTGATAGCTTCTTGACCTGTTTCATGATTTTGCTCAAATGTTACCTTCTCACTGGAGCCTTTCCTATGTGGTGTTGATTTCAACCTGTGCCCCCACCCCTTCCCCAGCATTCCCTTTCCTGTTTTGCTTTCTCTATAGCTGTTATCACCATCCAACACACTAGTTATCCCATTTACGGTCTTTCTCCTTCCATTAGAATATGAGTTTTATGAAGACAAGGATTTTTGTATGTTTTGTTCACTTCTGCCTTTGTTCACTTAGCATTTAGAATAGTGTTTGGTCACCTGTACTCTCAGTACTTTGGGAGGCCAAGGTAGGCAGATTACCTGAGGTTGGGAGTTCGAGACCAGCCTGACCAACATGGACAAACTCTGTCTCTATTAAAAATACAGAATTAGCTAGATGTGGTGGCACATGCTGTAATCCCAGCTACTCGGGAGGCTGAGGCAGGAGAATTACTTCAATCCAGGAGAAGGAGGTTGTGGTGAGCCAAGATCGCGCCATTGCATTCCAGCCTGGGCAACAAGAGCAAAACTCCATCTTAAGAATAGAATAGAATAGAAGAATAGACTGGACTGGACTGGACTGGACTAGACTAGACCGGACTAGACGAGAAATGTTTGGTCCATAGCAGACAGTCATTAAATACTTTTTGAAAAATGAATGAATGAATGAATATCCCAGATACTCTTATGTTCCAGGCCTTAGGAGAGAGGCTCTGATCATAATTTTCTGAAGCCTTTCTGTGGAAAGAGGCCTTGCCATGGCTCTCAATAATCTCTGTCTTTGAATATTCGTTCCTTTGTGTAATCCCTTCCCTTCAAGTGTAGACTGGACCTAGACACTTGTTTCTAAAGATAAGTTATGGCAGGCCAGGTGCAGTGGCTCATGTCTGTAATCCCATTGCTTTTGGACGCCAAGGCAGGAGGATTGTTTGAGGCCAGGAGTTTGAGAACAGCCTAGGTAACATAGCAAGACCTTGTCTTTACAAAAAATTTAGAAATTAGCCGGGTGTGCTGGTGCGTGCCTGTAGTCCCAGCTTCTCAGGAGGCTAAGGTAGGAGGATTGCTTGTGCCCAGGAATATGAGGTTACAGTGAGCTATGATCATGCCACTGCACTCCAGCTTGGGCAAAAAAAAAAAAAAAAAAAAAAAAAAAAAAATTATGGCAAAAGCAATGAGACGCCCTTCCAAGATTAGGTTGCAAAAGGTTGTGGCTTTTTTTTTTTTTTTTGAGATGAAGTCTTGCTCTGTTGCCCAGGCTGGAGTGCAGTGGTGCAATCTTGGCTCACTGCAACCTCCACCTCCTGGGTTCAAGTGATTCTCTTGCCTCAGCCTCCTGAATAGCTGGGATTACAGGCACCGCCACTATGCCCAGATTTTTTTTTCTTTTTTTATATTTTTAATAGAGACGTGGTTCCACCATGTTGGCCAGGCTGGTCTTAAACTCCTAACCTCAGGTGATCCACTTGCCTTGGTCTCCCAAAGTGCTGGGATTACAGATGTGAGCCACCATGCTTGGCTATGGCTTTCATCTTGCTAGCATTCTCTCTTTGCTGGTGCTTTCTCTTACCCTCTCATTTACTTGCTGATGAAGCAAGCTGGTGTGTTGTGAGACACTCTATAGCGACACTCACAAGGCAAGGGACTGAAGGATGCCTCTGGTCAATAGTTCAGAGCTAATATCTCTGTCCAACAACCCCTGAGAAACTGAGTCCTGCCAACAACCCTGAGAGTGAGCTTAGAAGCATATTATTCCCCAGTGATGCCTTCAGATGGGACCACACCCTGGCCTACATCTTGATTACAGCCTTGTGAGATGCTGACAGAGAGGACCCAGCTGAGCTCTGCCTGGATTCCTGACCCACAGAAAATGTGAGATAATAAATGTATACTGTTTTAAACTGCTCAGTTTTAGGGAAATTTTGTTATGCAGCAGTAGCTAACCATTAGACTTCTTTTTCTTTGTTTGAAAACTATTTTCCTTTATTAAAAGAGTTTAATTCCCTTTACTCTTGTTGTTTCCCTCAGCTACAGACACACATTCACATATTCCTTCTCTTTCTCTTTCTCTGTCTCTCGTTTGAGGCATTCATGGCACTGCAATTTGACACACCTCCAGGCCCAGCAAACTGCCTGAGACCCTGTTAGCAACGCCGTAATGAGATGGGTAAATTCTCAGTACCTTTTGACACTGCCCAAGGCAAAGTCATAAGCGATGCTTGTTCGATAATTCCAACGTGTGTCACTGCCTGGAAGGCCATCTGGTATTTATAGGAATCTGAAAGTTAGGCACTGGGGAAAAATGAGTTCCAGACTGTTGCATGTATTTTCAGATAGAATCATATTCTCTGAAAAATTGCATAGGATGTTGAGCTGATAGGGGATTCACCATGATTGTATGGCTCACTGGGCTTGTATTATGGTTGAGAAAAATCATCTTGTCGGGTTGGGAGGATGACAGTCACATCTTCTCAGCTGGCTGGTGATAGATGCTTAAGGAGAGGCTGAAGACGTGGCCTCTTCTTCTTCTGACTTGAAGCCACTGAGTTGCATTTTAAAGTAAATCAACAAAAAGAGGGATGCTTTGACAGGAACCTTGCTGAGGCTCATCCGGTTGGTGGCATGAGCTGGTAGACAAAACTAAAAGCTTTGAGATAAGCGTTTGGAAATTCAAAGAGACATCTTGTCTGTCATTTATAATGGCTAAAAACTTTGAAGAAAATGTATTCTCACATTGAAGGGTTTGGGGGAGGTGAGTTTAGTCAATCAATCAATCAATAGACCAGGAAACACTCACTGTATGCCTACTTTGTGCCCGGCACCATGCTCGGGACTGGAAAAACATAGTTAGATTCCAGTCCTTGTTATCAAAGGGTTCAGGGAAGAGTGAGGTGGCCCACAAACATGTAAATATATTTAAAAATTGCAATACAGTGAAGTGAAGGCTTGTGCTCTGTGGGAGACCAAATTGATCCTATTTGCAGGGAACTAGGGAGGATAAATAAAGGCCTTTCTGAGCAGGCAAATAAATTGGGTTGGTAGGTGGCAGGATAAAGATCTAGGGGAGCAGAAGACATTCTTGGCTGAAGGTTTGGCCTGTGCAAAGGCCCTGAGGTATGAATTAGCTTGGCCAGGCTGGAGGAATTGAAAAGTTGTGCAAGGCTGTTGGGTGCAAGGCAGGAAAGAGGCCAGACAGATGGGGGAGTCTGGTCCAGAAAGAGCCTGAGGGCCAGATTAAAGATTAGATTCTGTTCTCAGAGCAACAGGGAGCCTGGGATGGGTCCAAATAGGGCAAGCTTGGTCAGATTTGGGGTTTGGAAGGATCCCTATAGAGGAGAGGTTGGAAGAGGTGAGAATGAGGGCAGGCTGACCAATGCTGCAAAGATGAGGACCCTTGTTTCATTATCACTCTGAAGTATACTTACTGCTTGCCATTTTGCATTTTTCTCTTTGTATTAATAGCATCCAATTCCAAAGGCAGTAGACGCCTGTTGAGGAGGTCGTGAAGGTGGAGCGGTTGTTTCAGAAGTAACCTAGGTGTCCAGGGTGGATAGAGGATTTTTAAGGTCCTTCTCCAGGAGCTCAGTGAAGCCCCCGCCAGAGCCTGGGCTGGTGCTGGGGTGACCAGCTGTCGTGGTTTGCCAGGATTCAGGGCTTCCAGTGCAGAAACTGGGAAAGTTCTTGGAAAACTGGGACACGTTGGTCACCCAAGTCAGCAGGGTGACGCTGACCAGGGTGCACAACATGACATGCTACCTAGGGTGGGAGACACAAGGCTCTCTTCCTTTCTTACCACCACCCCTCCACCTTGCTTCTCAGCCAGACCTTCAGAAACCACCCCATTCTGACTTTTGGAGCTCTTCTTCTGGGCTGCAGCTTAGTTCTCTGTCCTCTTTGTCCTTGATAAGCACCGGCCACCTTTTAAAGGCCTGACACCTTCACGTGCAGCCTGCGCTGCAGCCAGACCCTGATCTCTTGGTCTAGACCAGGCACATGCCCCCTTGAGAAGTGATGTCTGCCTTATCAGAGCTTCCTTGAGTCCAGGATCCTCATGGGGAGGTCCAGATTTCCCCTAGGCTTGGCTCTAGCCCTGATCCACAGTTCTAACCTACGTCTTTGGCACCTCAGGGATGGGGCCCTGCCTTCTGTGTGCCCCAGGCACCTGCACAGCCCTGTGTTCTCATAGTCACCCCTGGTCGTGTGGGCCTGCTTCTCTGTTTCTCACCCTCTGACAGGATGAACTTGCAGGACTCACGCCCAAGCCAGGCCCGTGTGTGGCATTCATGGGACAAGGAGGCTGCTGTGGCCTCAGATAGTGGTTTCCAGCCTGCATGTGCAAACTGGGATGGATTCAGTCAGGACACATGTTGACAGGATGAGTTTTAGTGCCACGTAGCTGAAATGAAAATCACTGGACATGACCTTTACTCTATCATTCCAGGGTTTACTGGTATCAGCCATGTCTCTGGCACCTACCTCCCCACTGCTAACCAGCTGTAAGTTGTCTCTGTGCATGCCTGGTGTCCAGTTACAAAGAAAATGTGTCAATCCTTTGACAAATACTTGTTGAGCGCCTACGCTGTGTCCTCTCATCTAACTCCCATCTGATGCGGAAGATCTTGCAGCGGCATGTATTAGTGATGGTATGCTCACCCGCTCCCTCTCTTGTCTCCTAGAAGCCTGCACAGTGCTTGCTCTGCCTCTTCTATGAGAAGGTTCTACCTCATTCTGAGCAGAACCATCTCCTTACCCTCTGCCCACGTAGGCTCCACTTCTCTTCTGAGCCAACGTGCTAGTTCTTCAGCATTTGGGAGGCAGTGGCTCCCACCTTGTGCTGTCATGACAAAATGCATAGACTGCGTGGCTTAAACAACAGGCATTTATTTTCTCACAGTCTGGAAGTCCCACATCAAGGTTCTGGCCAGTTTTCTCTCTGGTGAGGGGCCTCTTCCTGACTTGATTCTCCATGTGTCCTCACCTGGCATTTCCTAAGTGTGTGTGTACAAAGAGAAAGAGATCTCTCACCCTCCACCAATCCCATTGGATTAGGACCCCACCCTTATGACTTCATTCAACCTTAATTACCTTTTAAGAGCTTATCCTACCTTTAAATATAGTGACACTGGGGGTTAGAGCTTCAACACGTGAATATTTAGGGGATATAATTCAAATCTTAGCCCTGCTCTTGTCCAAGTCTAACTCCTTACCCCCACTCCTGTTCTGAGAGCTTGGCACCCAAAGTTAATGCACTGCCAGGGATATTGGTGGTGGTGGTGGTGGCTAAGATGGGGAGGGGGTTGAGGGAGGAAGGTTGATTGGTCTAAACAGCATAAAGATAAGGAGTTTTTTGTTGTTGTTGTTTGTTTAAAGCTTCTATATTCTAGATACCAGCTACAACTATTATCATAAGCTCAGCTCATTTATTTGGCAGCTGTATCTTGCTACTTGCTGAAAGGTACATGTGGTAGCTATGGTATAAAGTTTTGTTTCATAATAGAGAGGGAAAGTCGCAAGAATTATGTATGAGGGTCTGGGCATGGTGACTCATGCCTGTAATTCCAGCACTTTGGGAGGCCGAGGCAGGAGGATCATATGAGGCTACGAGTTCAAGACCAGCCTGGGCAACATAGTAAGACCCTGTCTTTGCAAAATAAAAAAAAAGCCAGGCATGGTGGCCTGTGCCTGTAGTCCTAGCTACTTGGGAGGCTGAGGCAGGAGGATCACTTGAGCTGAGGAGTTTAAGGTTACAGTGAGCTATCAGTGTACCACTGCACTCCAGCCTGGACAGCAGAGCAAGATCCTATTCCTAAAAAAAAAAATTAATTAAATAGAAATAAGTAAAAAAAGTAAAGGGAATTGTGCACAAGGGTAGAAGACTTGAGGCATTTAGGGAACTTGCTTGGTACCATCACATTGCAAGTGCTCTTAGTGGAGTTTTGTTGAATGAATGATATGGAGCTGAATGTCCAGGGGCCCAAATCTTCTGAAACAAAGACCTGCAGTGGCAGGGATCCAGCCCCCTCAGCTGATGATGATGTTGGCATCAGAAGAGGGACCTAGGAGGGCAGTTGGGTGGTTTTCCATCTCACTGATGCTGCAGGCTGCTGTCAAAAGTTGTCAGTGCTTCCAAAGCAGGGCTCATCTTCCTCATCATCAGTAAGCACTCCCCAAGTCCTTTCCCTGTCCTCTTCCCTCCTTTATCAGAAACTAGTCCGGAGAGATTATGCTTAAACTTTTCCCAGATGACTGCTTTCTTGGATGGGAACCAAGCATTTGAATGGCAGCCGCCTACAGCCAGGCGTCCTAATTGGGGGACCATTTGCAGCCAGATCAGGCACTGAGATGGGGACACAGAACTTGCAGTAATGGGTCATTCCAATACCCATTTAGTAATCAATAGTGGAGGAGAAATTTCAAGTACTTAATAAATTGTTTGCTAACACATTGTCATGGCAACTGCTAATCCTTAGGTTTCAAGAATGGGTTCTTGAGTTGCTTTGTCTGATCCACGCTTGCAGGAGCCAAGGACGCTTGTATTCCTACAAACATCAGACCAAATATTATTTTGCAGAATTGATTTAAGGGGAAAATGTTCTCCGCTATTTTGACTCTGAGGGCTGTGAGAATGAGGCCAGGTTTGTTCAAAATGGGCTCCAAGCCCTTGTCTGAACACCATCTCTCCTTCCCTAACTTCTCTGTCCTCTTTTATTATTAATTTTTAAATTGAAAATAAATTTGAAAGTCTCTATATAATGCATATTTTCTGTAGAAAACTTAGGAAAATAGGAAGAAGCACACAGAAAAAATAAAACCCATCCATAAGAACAGAGATGATTAATGCACTTTCTTTTAGTTGTATTTTTTCCTATTCATATTTATACACCTCTGTCCTTTAAATGCAATTGGAATAATTATACATGTGACAGATGATTTAATGTCCTTCTTTATTACTTAACATTTTATTGTAAACATGTCTCCACACTTCGGGCTCTTTGGAACTCTAAATTATTGATAATGACACGCACTTCAAGTGCGTGAGTGTATCACAACTTATTTAATTAGTCTCCTGTTTTTGAATTCCTTTTGCATTCTTGTAAAGAACACTTCACTGAGTATCCTTGCATGTAAGGCACAAAATATCTCCCTAGGAGAGAATTACTCTCGCATGCTAAGGATGTTAGAAATGACACATGTGTCCGAACTTCCTTCTGGGTATCTTGTGGTGACTTACTGTCTTACCTGCAGTACCTGCTCTGCTGCCATCTTGCCAAATTGATGGGCAAAGCCAAAAAGAAAGCAGGGGGTATGTTCTGTTCTCCTGGCCATTTTGTTATTCTAGTATTTCCAGTTTGGGGTTATCCAGACAATGTCACTGGTAAGAAAGGTGTTAGATATGACAGGAATCAAAAGATGGGACTGACAGGGTCAGTACTTGGAGGGAATGTCCTTCTCTTTTGCATTGAAGCAATTGGGGACAGGTTTTTGTGTTGAGTGGCAGCGTCTTCCCTGAAATAGTTGCAGGAAGGGAGGGACGTTTCTCACCTGGAGAAGAGAAGGTGGGTAGGGATGGGTGGAGGCTCCAATACCTGGAACATAGGAGTTATTGTCACAGCAGGGCTGTCATTTGCCACCTCTTAGTTGGTTGACCATCCCTCTGACACCTTTCTTTTTGACCCCTTCTTGGATCCCTGGGCAATTGTATTCACACCTCCTGGCCTACTCATCAGAAACACCATGGTAGGGTCTCCCCATGGCCCCTGATATTCTCCCTCTGCATTGTCACTCACCCCGACATATGACAGACACACATGTTCTGTGGCAAGGGGACAGGTGCACCCCAGAGATTCCCTCCTCCTCTTACTGCATTTCAACCTGTTTGTCCATCCCACAGCTCCCAGCTGCAGGTGTCAGGGCTCCCCAGACAGATGCAGTCATCTGTGTCCTGTCTGGACTGTGTCCTCCTGTCCCCTCCCTCTGCCCCTCTCTGGGCATCTCTGAGGGCCACCTTGCTGGGAGCAGCTGTTGATTCAGATTGTCATCAGGACTGTGATAATTAAAATTCAAAGCTCTTCAGACATTTGTGTTCCACTACATTGAAGGAGCAGCTGTTTAAATTTGGGGCAGGGAACCAGAGCCTTGTGCAATGAGCTTGGGTTTAGATTAATCGAGTCTGCAGATTCACTTCCCATCTCATCATCCAGATAGAGGCTTTGGGAAAGCAACCTTCACCTTCCCTGCCTCCTTACCCCGTCCCAGTTTGTACTCACAACTGCTGCATGGCAGGCCCTGTGCTACACGGTGCTGCTTAGCAGCCAATAGCATGTGACTTGGAGGTGGGCTGCATGGGTATAGATCCCAGCTCTCCTCTTTGTTGACTGTGTGACCTTGAGCAAGTTACTTCATCTCTCTGTAAAATGAGGAGAAATAATACATAGTGGTCTAAGTACAACCTACATGCCTAATTAGGAAGCGTCTGTTTGTATTATTGGAATTTTAGTTAATGCCCCTGACAGCTCAGTTCACTGTACCATACCTGGGCCACAGAAGAGGAAACAGAGCCCTTTGGAGGTGAAGTCCCACGTGGACTTGCATGCTGATGGTGAGTGACCTGCTGGGCTGTGAACTCTGGTCTGTTTGACTGCAGGCGTGGGTCTACCACACCACCATGAGTAGCTCCCTTTCCTTTTTTCCTTCCCCTTCCCTTTCCCTTTCCTTTCTTTTCTTTCTTGCTTTTCTTTCTTCTTTTTGATGGAGTTTCATTCTTGTTGCCCAGGCTGGAGTGCAGTGATGCGATCCTGGCTCACTACACCCTCTGCCTCCCAGGTAGAAGCGATTCTCTTGTCTCAGTCTCCCAAGTAGCTTGGATTACGGGCATGCGCCACTACGCCTGTCTAATTTTTTTGTATTTAGTAGAGACGGGGTTTCACCATGTTAGTCAGGCTGGTCGCCAAATCCTGACCTCAGGTGATCCACCCGCCTCAGCCTCCCAAAGTGCTGGGATTACAGGCGTGCACCACCACACCCAGCCCCCCTTTTTTCTACAATCTTTCTGCTGGTCCCCTTAAGCAGGTCTTGCCTTTTGCTCTTCCCATTAACTTATGAGGCAGTGGCTTCAGCTCTGGGAGCTGCCAACACCTGCCTTACTCCTGAGGGCAAATGGGAAGTCCTGGATGAAGGGGATTTGTTTATTCCTTCCTGCACCCTCAGGTTTTCCTTGGTGGACATCGAAAGTCACATCAAGAGCAACCTTACAACCCCACCTGCACATCCCAACCCATGTTGTTTTAGCTTCTATGGCTGCTGAGATCTTGAATGAGTGTGTGTGTGCCAGCAGGGAAACATCCTTTCCCTGGTAATAGCCATCTCTGGGATGGCCTGGAGCAGGAGTTGAAGTGACCCCCATCTGGGTGGCTGCTCCATCAGTAATAATGATGGCAGCATTTGTGGCAGCTGCCGTCCTTTCTTGGGGATGCATTGTAAGCCTGGCTGCCCCCTTGCTGAGGCTTGACGTGTATTATTTAATTGCATCCCCACAACAATCATGCAGGCAAATATGATTTCCTCTGTATTGCACATGAAGAAATGAGACATGGAGAGGTTCAGAAACAGGTCCTTGGGCACACGGGGAGGAAGCAGAGGCTGGGATTTTAACCTAGCTCTATGGACCCTGGAACGTGTGTGGCTCTGATGCACTCTATGCATTCTCTGCTCAGGGAAGTCATCCCACCAGAGGGCACAGCCAGAGTCTTGGCCCCAGATTCTCTGGAAAGTACTTCTGGTGGAGGAATATCTGTCCCCTCTAAATTATGTCCCCCGTGTCGTCCTGGATCCCTTGAGGATTGCTATAAGCTCCTTCAAACATAAGGCACAGTGGGGTGAATTGCACTAAGAGTTGCTTAGAAAAAAAATATTTATTATTTGCTACTCAAACCTGCTGGGGAGAAGCTCAGAGCTAGTGCAGCCCATTGTTGGGGCCTGTGACCTGGGAGAGGGCAGTATCAGGGCTCTGGGGTAGTCCAGGATGGAGAACAGGAGAGAGGGGTGGATGCAGGGAGGCTTGACATCAGAGCAAGGCTAAGTCTTGGTCAGGGAGAGAGGGCCCACCAGAAATGACCCCTCAGGCAGGTGCAGAGCCTGCTGCATAGAGGCAACAGGTCTGAAGGTGGGATATGGCCCTCTGCAGGTCAGACCCACAGGCTGGCCTGGTCTGTTGAGGCAGCCCCGAGTCAGTGGGCAACTTCCTGCCTACACCCCCTGAGAGGGGACGGCCCATCTAAAAGCTTTACCTGGCAGGGTCTAGCCCCTCTTAGAGGGGGCTTCCAGAAGAGTCCTGGAGTGAAGTGATTGATAAAGACCTTATATGGAGCTGGGAATGTCTGGGGTCGGAAATCTGCAAAGGGACTGTGCAGTACCAGAAGGTACTCATGTGCAGTTGACAGCTCCTTGTAGGTATCAGAGAGTGCCAGGGAATGAAGCCCTCTTTTCTTCAGCTGCTCTGAATTCTCTCAAGGCATGGCCCTGGACCAGAAGCATCTGCCTCACCTGGAAACTTGCTAGACATGCAGATTCTCAGGCCCCTCCCCGGACCCACTGAATCAGAAACCCAAGGGGGCAGGGCCTGGCAATCTGAATGATTCTCCAGGTGATTTTGATTCACCCTCAAGTCTTGAAAACACTGCCTCAAGCCAATGACACCCGAAATATGGGACATTACTGGTGGTTCATGGAATTTTTTGTAGTGTGTGGGCAGGGCATCCATGAGCATTGAATTCCATGGAGAAAATGCTTCATTTCTTTTCTAATACCTCTTTATATAAAAAGAGCCTCTGAGTTTTAGAGCTTCTATCACTCCTTGCCCTTCCAACACTTACAAATGCTCATTTTTCCCTAGGAGGAACCATGTTCTAGGGTCAGAACCCTAGGGGAGCAACAATATCTAGCCAACATTTACTTATGTTTTTGTTTTTGTTAATTTTGTTTTTAGCCTCATTATGTGTTTATAGCAAATGAGACCAGGTTTTCATTTTGGTAGTGATACGGAGTTTCCTTTTAAAGTAAGTTAAGAAAAATGACATATTAAAAAATATTAACTAAATATTAGTACAGGTGCTACTAGCATTTGGAAAAGCTTGTGTCATGAGGAGTGAGAGAGTTTAGGAAGCATGCCTAAAAGCCAGCATTTCTGCAAAGACTGTGCTCACAGACCCGGGAATGCTTCTGGGAGTTGATTCTCATCATTTGTGGCTTTAAGGTTTTCATTTAGGATGGCGCTTCTCTCTTTTGAAAGGCTCAATGCAGCCGCAGTAATTCTCACACTGTGGACAATGCGCCACCTGCATCAGATTCACTTGGAAGGCTCTTTAAAAATGGATGCTCAAGTCCAACCCCTGAACTATTGAATCAGAGTCCCTGGAGCACAGCCCAAGAATCTGCGTTTAACAAGCTCCCAGGTGATGTACATGACCAGTGAAATTTGGGAACCACAGATGAGGCCCTAAGTACACAGATTTGTGAATCCAGCTGACCTGTGATCAAATCTCCACTCACCTTTGCCAACTCATCTAATCTCTCTCAACCCCATTTCCTTATCTGAAAAGTGAGGTTAACAGCAGCTGGTTTTGGGGATTGATGTACGGATCGGGATATTTGCCAGCTGTGATGTTCTGTGCACATATTAGCCGTTCTGTGTGAGCTCAGCTTTCTTCACCTTGAGGATGTGAGTCAAAGTGATTTCACTTACGCTTAAGCCATCATGGCAGAGATAGAGATGTTTGTATGGGGTTTAGGAAAAGTGTGGGCTCCTCTCACCAATTTTGCTCCTTATAGGAGTACTGTTGGACATCAGGTTGTTTGAGTTTTCTTCCCGAGGTTCACAATGCTGGTGAATGCTGGCCTCAGATGCTAGTGAATGCTGCACAGCCTGCTTATCAGACCGCGGCTGCATCCATTACCAGAATAGAAGGCTGTTTTACACACAAATGCCATGGCCTTCCTAGCTAGCTGCATGCTGCTTTAAACCCAAAGATCATCCAGGGCTTTGTAGCACATGCTATAATTTTTTTTTTAAATGGAAGGGTTAAAAGGCAGGTTATAAAAGTCATGATATGGGAATTCTTGTGAGAGTTCATAGCATGTATTAAGAATGTGCCATCTGGCCGGACATGGTAGCAAATGCTTGTAATCCCAGCATTTTGGGAAGCCGAGGTGGGTGGATCATTTGAGGGTAGGAGTTCGAGACCAGCTTGGCCAACATGGCAAAACCCCATCTCTACTAAAAATACTAAAAATACCAAAAATTAGCCAGGCATGGTGGCACATGCCTGTAATCCCAGCTACTGGGGAGGCTGAGGCACGAGAATCGTTTGAACCCAGGAGGTGAAGGCTGCAGTGAGCTGAGATCACACTGCTGCACTCTAGCCTGCTGGGCAACAGAGCAAAACTCTGTCTTAAGGAAAAAAAAAAGAAAAGAAAAAAATGTCCCATTCATCTTGAAGTGGATAGGGTATTGATGACGCTGGACACTGCTGGCCCAAGAGGCCCTGGCCATCCTTCAGGTTGTGAAGCATCCACTGGCCCAGCAGTGCACGTGGAGTACCTGGGACTGGTGCCAGGGCTTCTGGCTCTTTCAGATCCTCATTGTGTGACCTTGTTAAGTCATCTGCCCTGTTCAGGCTCTGGTTTTCTTAAAGGCAAAATAGAGATAATAATGAACTTGTCTCCTGGGGCTATGATGAGGATGACTGAGAAGATACGTGTGAAAAGTGTGTTGTCACTTAGACAGTGGCGCGTGGGCTTTATCTGCCAATCTGTCACCTGGAAAGTAATGTGCAGACATTTCCTGTCAGGAGGCCTTCATTCAGTATTAATCTGCGAGGTCTTGCACATTTAGGTACTTTGTGGCCATTTGGCTTAGAGATTGCAAATTCACGGACCATGAGCCCAGATCAATGCACAGATTGTCTTCTTCTTCTGAGTATACAGTGTTCTTTAAAAATTGCTTTTGGATGCCTTCAGATAGGATTTGTGTTCTTTGGTTCATTGAACATCCTACCCAATCTGTGGCTTTGCTTATTTATGTCACCTGTGAACCCAGAAGTCCTTGGAAGTGACCTTTAAAGTTCTGGATTGCTAGGTTTTTTCTCCAGGTGCAGGGGCTGAACATGCTGCAGGTGTGACTGGCTCTCCTACAGGTATGAATTGGCACCAGCAGGTGTGATGGGGCAGGGGTGGAGTGCTGAAGGGCCTCCCTAAATTCATCATGGAGCTTCATGTGTCTACAAAGATGGGCTATAAGACCATTCGCAAAGTAGCCATGAGTGAAGTGTTGGGAACCACAGGGGTGGGATGCCATCTTAGCTTGGGGTGGGAGCGATGGTCAGGGAAGATTTTCCTGAGGGAGGCTTGATACTTGAACTCCATTTCCAAGGGTGAGGAGACAGCAGGGTAAGGGTGGTCTATGCTTCACCTGCATACAAAGATAAGGGCATGAAGGGCATTACAGACTACAGTGCGTTTGAGTGACCCTCAGCTAATCTAGGCTGAGGTGTGACTTCTGGGGCAGATGGAAGCAGCAGGGGAGGACTCGCCCTCCAAGGGCATCATCCTAGATGGAACACAATCAAGATTCCTGTAGGACATAGAATTCTACTCAAAAGTGTGTAACGAAGAGAATTGAATGAAGTAACTGTTAGTGGTGTGGGCAAGACTAAGGAAACCTACAAGGGATGCTGAGGCACCAAGCAAGGGAAGATTGAGAGGAACGGGTTTGGAGAAGAGTAGTCGATATTGGCTTTGGGCATGTGAGACTTGAGATGTCTACTGGACATCCAGGTCGATACATCAACTAGGCAGTTAGATATACAGGCCTGAGTCCAGGAGAGAGGTGTAGAATAAGGATGTGAAATTGGGAGTAGTCAGTGTATGGATACTATTTCAAGTTGTGGGCTTAGATGAGATGCACAGGGTTGGGACTTAGAAGAGAAGAAATTCAAGGACTGAGCCTAAGCACTCCACCAGGTAGGTATCAAGATGAGGGAGAGAGTCCAGCATGGAGGCTGAGAAAGAGTAGGTGGAGGGCCAGGCGCGGTGGCTCACAACTGTAGTCTCAGTACTTTGGGAGGCCAAGGTGGGTGGATCACGAGGTCAGGAGTTTGAGATCAGCCTGGCCAATATAGCGAAACCCCATCTCTACTAAAAATACAAAAATTAGCTAGGTGTGGTGGTACACGCCTGTAGTCCCAGCTACTCGGGAGGCAGAGACAGAAGAATTGCTTGAACCCGGGAGGCAGAGGTTGCAGTGAGCTGAGATCATGCCACTGCACTCCAGCCTGGGTGACACAGCGAGACTCCATCTCAAAAGAGTAGGTGGAAGACAAGCAAGAGAGAACGCTGTGTGGAATCTGAGAAAGGAGGAGGGAGCCATCAATGCTGTTAACCCTGTTGATGAAGCAAGTTTGATGAGGGCCAAGAATTCACCTCTGGACTCAGCTACATGAGGGTCATGGGTGGTCTTGAGGAGGGCAGTTTCACTGTCCCAGTGGCAGCAAGACCCTGATTGGAGTGAGTGAAGGTGCAGTGTTCTGAGATCGGATGCTGCCGCTATAGATTACAGAATTCCTTCCCCTTTTGTCTCGTTCTGAGGCACAGCAAAGAGATAGTGAACATGTATGACTGTTAGATGTCTAAATTAGATTTTAGAAAATTTTTGTGTTGTTTTTATTTTAGAGACAGGGATTTGCTCTGTTGCCCAGACTGAAGTGCAGTGGTGCAATGCTAGCTCACTGCAGCCTCCAGTTACTGGGCTCCAGCAATCCTCCTACCTCAGCCTCCTGAGTAGCTAGGACTACAGGTGGATGCCATCGTGCCCAGCTAACTTTTAACATTTTTTGTAGAGATCTCACTATGTTGAGATCTACATTTTTATAGAGATCTCACTGTGTGGAAGTCTACATTTTCTGTAGGTATCTCACTATGTTGCCCAGGCTTGTCTTGGACTCCTGGCCTCAAGTGATGGTCTTGCTTTAGTGTACCTTCTTATTTTGAAAGAAATAAAAGTAATACACTCATATATTTCAGAAATTTTGGAAAACAGAGATGAAAATAATCCCCTAATTCCATCGCTCTTGTACCATCACTGATAGAATATTTTAATGTCCAGCCCCTGCTTGTCATCCCCCTACCATGCTTATAATTATCGGAATCACTCATAATGTTAGTGCAAGCTCATTTTCTATCCTGCTTTCCTCACTTAACATTTCATCATGAGCATTTTGCCGTGCTGTCTCTTTGCCAGGCTAACCTCAGTAGTTAAAATTTGCATGATCTCATTAGGACCTGTTCCCAACCTCCATATTTCCTGTGGAGTCTGAAACTAATGAAGGGGATGAAGAAAATGTCTGTAAATATTTTGTTGTTTTGCAAACACAAGCACTCTTAAATCCAGTTTAATGATTGCTCAGTTTAATTAAACCCTCTTGGTCTTACTTGTTACCCAGTTCTCTGCACTGATTAGAGCCCCTCTCTGAAAGGAAAAATTCAAATGTATGCTGCAGTTTGTTTTTTCTTTTTCCTCTTCTTTCACAAATGTGAAAGGAGAAATTTGAAAGGAAGAATGTGATTCTGCTTTGTGCATTCTTTTGACCCAAATTGCTCAATAGTGTTTTGTTTGGAATAAAGTGTTCTAATCTTTTTGTATGTATGTGACCATGACTTTTTTTCCTCTCCTCTTGGAAAAAAAAAAGTATTAAGGTATTATTTTTAGACTTTAAAATGTAAGGCTACAGCATAGTGAATTTTGGTCATTGTACACAATCATGTAACCACCATCCCATCAAGATATAGAGTCCCTCCCCTTCCTTCTCTCCCTCTCTTCCCTTTTGCTTTTTATCACCCTCCCCTCAACTTCCCTCCCTGCCAACTCCCTGCTCCAGGCGACCACTTATCTGCTTTTTGATACTACAGTTTTTCAGTCTCTATAACTTTATATAAAAGGAATAATATGGCATATAGTCTTTTGTGCTTGACTTTTTCAGTTAGTCTATGCTTTATGAGATTCATTCATCTTGTTGCGTATATTAATAGTTCATGCTGGGTAATATTCCGTGGCAAGGATCTCCCACAAGTTGCTAAGCCATTCGCTTATTTTTTGTTCTTGTCTCTGACTCAACTCATTCACTTTATTCATCCTTAAATTGCAAGTGATAGGGACAGCCAAAGAGCTTCTTTTAATATGTTCTTGATCATCTAGGACATTCAAAATGCAAACTGCCCCACCTGTACCAGGGCTCACCACCCCGCTTTGATGTGATGATCAGAAGTTGTAACAAAGTGGACTAGAATTCTAGGCGGGGATTGGCCTCTGAAGTCAACAGTTAAGCTGGGAAGTGCGTATTGTCCAAATTAACCTTAGGAAATCTCTTATGGCACCCATGATAAAATATGTTTTGTTGAATAAATCTCATGCACACTACAGTTTAAAATTCACTGAACTACACTAAAAGAATGAACAAAAGGAACATTCGTAAGTAAATGAATGGACAGGAATCTATATTTGAGGGTGGGGAATTCGAAGGTCTTCTTACTTGTCTACAAGGTTTAAAGGTTTCTGCTTCTGTATTAAGTCTCTGTAACTTTAATTCAAATGATTTTTCTTTTTGGTAGTGGGGATACAATGAGATAATATTTGCAAAACACTTGGCACAGGCTTGGCACATAGTCTGTGCTGCAAAATGTTTTATGGATGTGAATCTATGCTTGCCAGGTCGGAATCACATAGAACCCCTGTTTTTGGAAAAGTTGTTAAGGACTTGGCCACCTGCTCTTAGCGTTTTCCAGCTGGCATCTCTGGGGCAGCCCCACAGACCAGCCATCACTCTCATGTCTTTGAGGCTGGGTCTCATAATCCCATTGTCATCCATCTGTAGACCTGTGTTCCAGTCCTCAAAGGAAGCTCAGATTACAGAGCACAACCATACTCAATGGAGTAAGGAGAGCAAAGCTTCAAGAAGAGGAAGTACAAAGAGTCCATCTAGCTCTCCCCCAGCCCAAAGCCCCAAGTAGTAACGTTTCCTAAGATGTTCCATTAAAATTCCCAGCTGCCCGACCAAATAAATGGGTGTCCCTTTATGCCATCTCTGGGGGATCCCCAGGCTGGAGGGGTGATGGGTGTCCCTGGTGCCTACAGAGAAGGACTCTTCCCCAGGAGTGTTTTGTGTTTCATTTTGTAGCAGAGAAATGAGCTTTCATTTGCCTGCTTTGCCTCCTGGTGTTGGCCCTTAGTCCCTGAGACGTGGGAGAAGCTGATGTCCTTTGCTATGCAAAATCTGTTTTACTGTTTAGTGAGTTGCATAGGTGGTGCGGCATGAGCTGAGAGGGCCTCTTCTGGTGTTGAGGAGTGGAAAGAAACTAGAAGAGGGAGACAGGCTGTGTTTAGGGCACCCAGATTCAGCTTTTTGCCCATCTTTTCTGTGGAGATCTGACAGAACACACACACACAAAACTCGAAGCTAGTACCACCAGTCCTTTTCATCTGGGCAAGCACTGTCTGACCCCTGATTGCAGCATGCCTCATAAACGGTTGAACTCTCAAATGAAAGTTGGTCTTTGTCTCCCTTCCTTCTAAACTAGAGACAGTGTCAAAAAAATGTGCAAGTTTGTACAGTAGTAAGGAAAGATTTTATCAACGGGAATGATTGCAATGGGAAAAGGGGGGTGGTTGCAATGGGGACAGGATCAGCGTGGGTGAGGAGAGCAGGTGGCTTGATCGATGAACCAAACTGGAAATGTTCTTTGTGGTCAGCAAATCCTTAGAAGGGGCCCATGGGAAGGAGTGAAGCCTGACTAAAATTTGATCCAGTCAGATTGGTTAATGTAGACAAACAGTGCAGCTAATCATTTCTGAGACAAAGAATAGGAATTTGGAGGGCCTGTGTCTGGCCTTGTTAAAGGATCATCCACAAGTCTTATCTAAGCTGTACAGGGAAAGGTGGTTCTTTGCCGTAAGCTGTTACCTGGAGATGGGGGGATTTCTTAACCAGGAGCACAGGGCTTGGGTGAAGTTCAACCCTGCCAACAGCAGCTCTGCCCTGACTTACCCACCCACTGTGTTGCATGAACAGATGGCACTGGTTGACCTCTCACTACTGGTCTCCAGGATAGAAAATGATGGCCCTGGACCATCATTTTCCAAGTGAGCTCTTACTGCCCCTGAACTGAAAGAAGACAAGAACTCAGAAGGAGATGAAAGAGCAGATCAGAGGACCTAGGCACCTGAGCTCAGGTGGGCAAAAGTGTTGCAGGATCAGAGAGATGCACCTCTGGGACACGCGACCGCTAGTACATTTAGCCCAAGGAATGGCAAGCTTTATCAGTCAAATGAGCAAGTCCTACACCTTCAGGGAGGAAAGAGTAAAGGTTTTTAACACTTCCCTCTCCAGTGTCAGCAGCGGAAGTTCCTTTTGTATGAGATGGAGAATGAAGGAGAAGAGCTAACTATCTCCATCCCTCACCTCAACTTTCGCTCATTCCTCACTAGTTATGACTTCTGGAGGCACTTTGTTTTTTTATCAGTAAAATGGGGGCAGTAGTAGCTGTCTCATCTCTCAAGTACCAAGGTACAGGTGAGTTCCCTTCTGTTCTAGGTTGATGGGAAGATAGGGGGCAATGCTATTTCACTGGTTGTTCAATTTTCCTGAGATTTTCCTTTGATAACAATGCTCATGGGTAGGAAGAATCAATATCGTGAAAATGGCCATACTGCCCAATGTAATTTATAGATTCAATGCCATCCCCATGAAGCTACCAATGACTTTCTTCACAGAATTGGAAAAAACTACTTTAAAGTTCATATGGAACCAAAAAAGAGCCCGCATCGCCAAGTCAATCCTAAGCCAAAAGAACAAAGCTGGAGGCATCGCGCTACCTGACTTCAAACTATACTACAAGACTACAGTAACCAAAACAGCATGGTACTGGTACCAAAACAGAGATATAGACCAATGGAACAGAACAGAGCCCTCAGAAATAATGCCGCATAGCTACAACTATCTGATCTTTGACAAACCTGACAAAAACAAGCAATGGGGAAAGGATTTGCTATTTAATAAATGGTGCTGGGAAAACTGGCTAGCCATATGTAGAAAGCTGAAACTGGATCCCTTCCTTACACCTTATACAAAAATTAATTCAAGATGGATTAAAGACTTAAATGTTAGACCTAAAACCATAAAAACCCTAGAAGAAAACCTAGGCAGTACCATTCAGGATATAGGCATGGGCAAGGACTTCATGTCTAAAACACCAAAAGCAGTGGCAACAAAAGCCAAAATAGACAAATGGGATCTCATTAAACTAAAGAGCTTCTGCACAGCAAAAGAAACTAGCATCAGAGTGAACAGGCAACCTACAGAATGGCAGAAAATTTTTGCAACCTACTCATCTGACAAAGGGCTAATATCCAGAATCTACAATGAGCTCAAACAAATTTACAAGAAAAAAACAACCCCATCAAGAAGTGGGCAAAGGATATGAACAGACACTTCTCAAAAGAAGACATTTATGCAATCAAAAAAAACATGAAAAAATGCTCACCATCACTGGCCATCAGAGAAATGCAAATCAAAACCACAATGAGATACCATCTCACACCAGTTAGAATGGCCATCATTAAAAAGTCAGGAAATAACAGGTGCTGGAGAGGATGTGGAGAAATAGGAACACTTTTACACTGTTGGTGGGACTGTAAACTAGTTTAACCATTGTGGAAGTCAGTGTGGCGATTCCTCAGGGATCTAGAACTAGAAATAGCATTTAACCCAGCAATCCCATTACTGGGTATATACCCAAAGGATTATAAATCATGCTGCTATAAAGACACATGCACATGTATGTTTATAGCGGCACTATTCACAATAGCAAAGACTTGGAACCAACCTAAATGTCCAAGAACGATAGACTGGATTAAGAAAATGTGGCACATATACACCATGGAATACTATGCAGCCATAAAAAGTGATGAGTTCATGTCCTTTGTAGGGACATGGATGAAACTGGAAACCATCATTCTCAGTAAACTATCGCAAGGACATAAAACCAAACACTGCATGTTCTCACTCATAGGTGGGAATTGAACAATGAGAACACATGGACACAGGAAGGGGAACATCACACACCGGGGACTGTTGTGGGGTGGGGGGAGGGAGGAGGGATAGCATTAAAAGATATACCTAATGCTAAATGATGAGTTAATGGGTACAGCACACCAACATGGCACATGTATACATATGTAACTAACCTGCACATTGTGCACCTGTACCCTAAAACTTAAAGTATAATAATAATAATAAAAACAACAACAACAACAACAACAATTGGGCACTCATGAGGGAAATGGCATTTAAAAACAATAGCGGGCCGGGCATGGTGACTCACGCCTGTAATCCCAGAACTCTCGGGGAGACTGACGCAGGAGGATCGCTTGAGCCCAGGAGCTCAAGACCAGCCTGGGCAACATGGCAAAACCCTGTATCTACAGAAAAAAAAAATACAAAAAATTAGCTGTGTGTGGTGGTGTGCTCCTGTAGTCCCAGCTACTCAGGAGGCTAAGATTGGAGGATTGGCCGAGTTTGAGAGGTTGCACTACAGCCTGGGTGACAGAGTGAGACCCTTTCTGAAAATAAATAGGTAAATGATAGACAGATAGATAGATAGATAACCAATCAACTGAGTAGCCGTGATTCACCTGTCCCCAGCTGTGAGGAGTACTCTTAAGGTGGCTGCCTCTATGCCTCTGAGCTGTGTGGGACAGAATGTGTGGGCAAATCTGGTCCTCTCTGAAGATGCACGTAGATTACGTGGCTGTGCAGTCTTTCCCGGTCCAGGAGAGCAGCCAGGCCCCCACAGGGACCCTTATGCAGATCAGAAGGCAGCTTGCTGGGGGCCAGCTACTGTCAGGGAGGGACCCACAGGCCTTACCTATAGCCTGGCCAGGCCTGAGGGCATTTTCTGAGAGGCTAAGCAGTCTTCCTGTGGGGTTCTCTAAGCCGTGCCTCAAACATACTCTTTAATGGAAGCTCAGATTTCGAACCGCATTGTGCATTGCAGTGGGGCTCCCAGAGAGGCCCTAAAATAGCAAAAGCTGTAATCTGGGGAGTGATTTTCTCTTTGCTCTGACCACGAAACATTAACAACGACATTAGCACAGTCATTTTACTTTAGATGGCCAAAGTTGGGACTGCTTCCTTAATTATATCTTTTTCCCTCCTTAGCTTTCATTTTATTAATCATTGGATAGCATATTTATGAAGTAGGCCATTTGGAGAGGGATAAGGGTTTAGAAAATTGGAATGGTAAAGGGTACCCTAGCGTCATGTTTTCCAAGCCCCTGCCTCACACAGATTGGGTGCAATGTTTGGTATGTATTTTTTTTTTTTTTAACTGTACACTTTTAAGGATTTTTTACAGAATAACATAATAAGCCCTTATTGCCCAGCTTCAGCAATTAACACCTCATGGCCAATTTTGTTTCACCCATACCCCTATCCACTTATCCCTTATGTATTGATAATGTGTTTTTTCAATTATCGACCAAATTCTCCCATGCTGTTCCTTTGTTGTCAAATCCTTCCCTCACCCTCAACTCCTGATAAGCACTGATCCGTTTGTGTTTCCTCTAGTTTTGGCTGTTCCAGGATGTCAGATAAATAGAACCATGCATTCTGTAGCCTTTGAATCTGGCTTCTTTCAGTTAACATAAATCATTTGATGCTTGGCCATATTGTTGCAAGCGTCAATAGGTCATTCGTTTTTATTGCTGAGTAGTATTTTATTGTATGGATGCAAATGTGGTTGGTTTTTGAATTGGGTTTTAAGGATCCACGGACTGTGGAGACCACTGGGATTGCTTTGATGAGTCATTCATACAAATATGTGCAATAGGTCCCGGCTTCTGGGAAAGAGGGGGATTTGAGCACAGGCAACTAATCACCCCACCTTCCTTGACATGAACCAACATGACCAAAATATAAAAACCTGACATGAGTAGGGTGGGAACTGGAAAAGATACCACCCTTTTGCCTCATACTTAGTCATTTCTAGGAGATACAGTGATTGAAGAGGATCACCTAGGGCTGATCCACAAATCCCTTTCCTGAGAAAGCAAAGACAATTTGATTGTGAGATTTGTCAAGGGACTATAGAGGACAACTACACAAGTGAAGATGGATGTAGCTGTGAAAAACAAAACCAAACAACAAAACACACAAATCTACTCCAGTGTTGTGTTAAAGGAGTAATATACCATGCTACAATAGGATTTATCTTACAATTGTAAGGAAAATTCAACATTAGGGAATGAATTAATATGTATTACATGGATAAATAAAAAATAGAAAACCATATGATGAGTTCAATAGTCTCAAAAAGGCTTTTGAAAAATCTCACACTCATTCTGGTTTAAAATTAGCAAGCAACCCAACACCCCCAATGCTTGGGACAACTGGAAATTGAAAGATGAGTTCTTATCATACTAAACATAAACAAACAGCTTTTCTCAATCTAAAGTTAATGTCATCATTTGTCATGAAAAATTAGAAATATTGGCATAGAATTTGCTATTAAGACTAAGTTGTCTGATAACCTCATCATTCAATCTTGAAAAGGTACCATAAATAATGGCTGTTGTGGGTTGAATTGTGTCCTCAGAAGAAGTTATTTTGAAGTCCTAATCCCCAGTAACTCAGAATGTGACCTTATTTGGAAATAATGTCTTTGAAGATTTAATCAACTTAAGATGAGGTCCTTAGGGTGGACCCTGATACAGTATGATTGGTATCCTTGTAAAAACAAAAAAAAAATTAGGCAGGGAGACAGAAAAGACAATGTGTGGAGATGCAGGAAAGATGAAGGATTGGAGTGATACATCTTCAAGCCAGGGAATGCCAAATATTGCCAGCAAACCACCCAAAGCCAGGGGAGAGACATGGAACAGATTCTCCCTCTTCTCCCTCAGAAGGGGTCAATCCTGCTGACACATTGATTTCCAGCTTCTAGCTTCCAGAACTGTAAGATAATACCTTTCTGTCGTTTAAGCCACCCAGTCTGTGGCACTTTGTTATAACACTCCTCAGAAATGGATATAGCATAACATTTATTCAGTGTTCATTCTGTGTAAGGTACCTTTTTAAGCACTTTGTATCCATACAGTCGTTTTAATTTTTACAGCAATTTTGTAAAGAAGAGATGATTGTTTCTATTTTACTGATGGAGAGACTAAGGCACAGAGACATTGGCAAACTTTCCCAAGGCCATCCGTAGTAAGAGGTAGGATAGGCATTTAAACTCAGGTTGTCTGTTTCCTGAGCTAGTCTCTAGCACTAGCATTAATTATGCCATGTTCAGATCCATAATAATTACAACATGTTGATACTGATATATTTAGGCACATAGATCAGTGGAACAGAATAGAAAGCTCAGAAATAGAGCCATGTATTTATAAGCATTTCATATAGGACATCCGGGAGTAGATGGATAATTTTAATGATGCTGAAACAATAGTGAAAGTGTTTTAAAAAGTAAAATAAAGTTAGATTCTTACACTATGTCATGCATTAAACTTATTTCTAGAGGAAGTCAATATTTAAATGTATTCATAATTTAACAAAAGGATCAAGAATGATACAGGTGAATATTTATTTCTTCTGTAGTATGATACGCAAGTATCTGATACTCTATGTAGGCATTTCTACCAGAGTGGGAAATGATTTGTATTTATACTCAACAATGTACATGTACCAAAAATAATTAAGAGGTTAAAAGAAACTAGAGAAATGTTTATAACTGAAAATGTAGATAATAAGTTAATGTGTTTACTAAATTAAGAACACTTACAAATTAGAATGGATAAATAGTCCAATCATAAAATGAGTGAAGGGCATAACCAGGCAGTTTACAAATGAGGAAATGCCAAATGGCCAGTTGAACTTATAAAAAACATTCAACCTCACCTAATATTCAAATAAGTTAAAATTAAACTAATGGGCCTCTGCAGTTCACCAATTAAAATGACAAATGACAATGATTAAAAACAGTGATGATACTTAGTACTAGTGAGGATGCAAGGAAAATGAACAGTCTTATACATTGCAGATAGTAGTGTTAATTGCAACAACTGTCCTGGAAGATGGTTTGACTGTATATATAATTTGTGCTTGCCCTTTGACCTTAGAAGTGCAGCTTTTAGAATCTTATCCCAAGGAAATAAATGTGGATATTTCCTAGGGTTTATTACCTTGCCTTATAAGTAGTAAAATTTGAAAGCAAAAAAAAAAAAAAAAAAGAAAAGAGGATTTGGGTTAGTAAATTAACAGCATGCAGGATGGCAACCATTAAAATTGGGTTTTAGAAGAACATTTAGTAAACTAGGAAAATATTTCTGATACTGTAATGTACTTTAAAAGCAGGTTGCAAAGATTTATGTTCATTCTGGTTCCAAATGTTCTTTGGAAAATATATGTGCATATCTGTTGTTGGAAAAAAAGTCTCAAAAGCCATAGATCACAGTATGAACAGTGGCAACTCCTGGAAAAATGCGGTTTAGAGGGGATTGTGTTTTTAAATTTTCCTCAAATTATTTGGAGAAAAATGTGTTATTTTTGCAATTAGATTGAAATGAATAAACCTGACATATGCATGCATACAGATTCATGTGCATAGATTTATATATAAATAAATATATGGAGGATGCCCCTAGATAATGTATACATTTTCCAGATGTTAACTACACCAAAAAATGCAATGCTGTCAAATGCACTGGTGCCAGTAGGCATTTGGAGTATTTGTCACTTTAGGGTAATCAGAATAATTACTAGTTAATATCTGTCAATAGTTATGGCTTGTTAAAATGTGTGTTGTTAAATTATGAATACATTTTATAGGTACTGTATTCCTAATAATAATAATAGCTAGTATATATTTAGCTCTTAAAATGTGCCAGACGTTTTTCTTGGTTCTACATGTTTGGCATCTTACTTGAATTCCTCTAAGAAATTCTATGAGGTTGTATGTGTCTTTGTCTGTCTGTGTGTGTACTAAGACACACAAAGCATATAAGATAAATATATTAGATTCTTAAGAGAGTCACCATGATTTAAAAAAAAAGTGTTTCCTATGGTTAGGCTTTGTGACCTCACCCAAATCTCATCTTATAATCCCCATAATCCCCATGTGTCAAGGGAGAGACCAGGTGGAGGTAATTGAATCATGGGGGCAGTTTCCCCCATGCTGCTCTCCTGATAGTGAGCAAGTTCTCACGAGATCTGATGGTTTTATAAGGGGCTCTTCCCCTCATTGCTCGGCACTTCTCCTTCCTGCTGCCTTGTGAAGAAGGTGCCTTGTTTCCTCTTTGCCTTCCACCATGATTATAAGTTTTTTGAGGCCTCCCCAGCCATGCTGAATTGTGAGTCCATTAAACCTCTGTCCTTTATAAATTACCCATTCTTGGGCAGTTCTTTATAGCAGTATAAAAACAGACTAATACAATGTTCTTTTGAAAGTCATTTCAAAGAAGATTTTGTGTTCCGTAATCACCTCAACCTTGATTTCACCCTTATTTTGTGTGTTTGTCTCTTATGATGCTCTTGTGGGCACCAAGGCTGCGTGGAGAAAAAGGGGTTCCCTAGAGGCTCACAGCAATGTATGGCTGAGATCAAGTATGTGACTCTCAGTGATCTGTTTAGTTTGACCCCATAGCCAGCTGTCGATTACTTGGGGGAAGTCCAGTGGAATGAATTTCCTTTAAGCTCATCCTGTCAACATCATTTCTCCTAAGATTTCAGTAATGGCTAGACAACAGAGTTTCCCTATCTTACATAGTTTTTCCCCCCAAAATAGGAAATGATAAAGGAGGATATAAAAATTTTCATTGATTCTACCACTGAGCTGGTTGCTGTTTCCCAACAAATTCCTGGTACATGGATATGGCCAACCGCGGCACAGCTCTATTCTCAGGGCTTGCCTGGAGGAGCCTTCCAGGGTTGTAGAGAAGCTGCGGTGAGAAATTTATGTAAAAACTCATAGGAGGAAATCAGGGTGATTCTTGTGAATCCGAATCAAAACAGTTTTGAACTCCCAAGCGTGCAGCAGGATTTCTGGATGGTCTTTGGGGGCTGCGGTTTGGGCTGTCATCTGATGTGGCCTGGGGCTTCATGTGAAATATATCTGCAGCCAAACAAGCTGCAGGGATGGAAGGGGATAAAGTAACCAGCTTTATGGTGTCCCTGTAAAAGATTCAAAGGTGTGATTGAGGCGTGGAAGAAGCTGCTAGGGAGAAAAGAATAGGAGAGTAATGAGAAAATTAACGAGACTCTGAAATACCGATTGGCATCAGCAAATTTTAACAAACTAGGAAAAGTCTGAATTACAGTGTTTTGCTAGAGCTGTCGACAATAGCAGTGTTTTCTGGCCCGGTTGTTGAATGTTTTTTCTCCCCAAGGTGAAATCCAACATGCTTGTGTGAAAGCAAGTGAATAATGGTGATCTGGTCCCCCAAGGCCCAGCCCATCTCCTGCCTGAGGTCTGATGTTAGAAAGGTGAGACACACAGCTTTACAGGTGCAGTAGAGGTTGGTAAATGCTGGATGGGTCTCAGGTGCCTCCATCAGACATGTGGCATGGCTACAGATGAGGACATCCATCACTGCCAGAGCCAGGCACATGCCACACCCTCTTGTGTATCTGTGGGAGAATTTCAAAGCCCTGTACCTGTGGAGCTACGAAGCTTAAGCTTCACAGTCTATCCCCATTGTGTTACCCTTCCAAGGCCCGAGGAAGGGCTGTGTGCAATATGTTCAGATAGTTGTATATTTTATAAAATGATTAGAAGTAAGATAATTTTAACCACAATTGGCGAAGACTATTATGATTCCACTCCAACTTCCCCTTCATCATAATGTCCTTTTAGGGGTGAGGGGTGGGAGGTGGCAGTTTTGGAGTATGCAGGGCATTTTAGAAATCTGGGTAAGCAGAAGTTGAAGTCAAGCTTGGGTTAATAGAATATAGATAGCTAGATCAATAGAGCAATGATAGATGATAGGATACATACACACATAGATATTTCTCTTTTATGTATGTATGTATATATGTATGTATTTACTTACTTTTAGAGACAGGGTCTTGCTCTGTCGCCCAGACTGAAGTGCAGTGGCAAGATCATCGCTCACTGAGGCCTCAAACTCCTGGGTTCAAGTGATCCTTCCACCTCAGCTTCCCAAGTGGCTGGGACTACAGGTACATGCCACCACTCCCAGCTAATTTTTTATTTTGTTTATAGATGGGATCTGCTATGTTGCCCAGGCTGGTCTCTAACTCCTGGCCTCAAGTGATTCTCCTGCCTTGGCCTCTCAAAGTGCTGGGATTATAAACATGAGCCCTGGCACCATCCTGTATTTCCTTGTGTATAATTAAACCAATACTAGCTACCCTAGTGTGGAAATGGCTTCCATAAATATGCCTAATGTCATGAATTCAAAGACTATTTGATTACTCAGTGGACAATCACACTTATAATACCCTGAAATAGTATAGCATACACATGAAAGAAATTTGATAGAGATTTCTCCAAACTTGACCACAGCCTTAAAGTTTACATGACTCTATATAAACAATGACTTGTGAACTTGAAGGAGACTTTAAAAATATTAATAATAATAAATATTAACCTGCTAGAGGGGACACTGAAGTTTCTAGTCTCTCTATAAAAAATGATATTGCAAAATTATTGTCATAAAGAGATCATCCCAGAAAATATGTCCAGAAATGTAGGGGAGAATATTGTTAGAAAGATAATTTATAAAAATATTATTTTTCTGGATTGTACAGTGTTTGTGGTATTTGCTGGTTGTTAGGAATTTATTATTTGTTGTGAATTATTTTCTCATGTCAGATAGTCTCTTTTCTAAGTTTGTACTATTTTCCTTAAAGAATGCTCCCTCCCTAAGGTGTTTAAGATTCGGGCTATAAAAATTCAGACGTGCTTCTGGGTGGCTATTATTATTATCTTCTTAGATGAGGAAATTGAAACTGGGAGAGGTTAAGTGACTTGTCCAAGGTCACATGGTCGTGGGCTGGACATCAGTGTCTTCAAGATGCTTATCCCCCGTTCTCTTGCTGCCTTCCCGGTGGGTCGTGTTTGGGATGTGAGCTTTGCTTCTTTCTGCCTTAGCGCAGTTGCAGCTCCTAATGGCTGGAGCCCTAGAAGACATGGGGGGCTACTCTGCCACCAGTACTTCACCGACTTTCAGACTGTTACCTCTTCCCGAAGGGTTCTTATGCTTGGTGGGGTACCCAGGAACTTCTCTTTCATTGGCTTCAGGGTGTGTCAGCCCCTGGAGGAAAGTTGCACAATCATGATGGTTTATTTCTGTTTGGTGGGCTGTTTTGGGGCACCTGGAAAATCATTTTGCCATTTCTTACTATTTTCACTCTGCCCCCACTTGTACCCTTCCAGTTATGGGGCTCTCCTGGATGAGAGAAGTTCCCAGGGCCTCTGAGAGATCTGAATTAGATGGGAAACAAGGACAATAACAAACTAATGACTTCAAGTACTGTTGATGCAAGAGGCTGAAGGACACCCAGGTTGAGCATCCTTCATCTTTTTTGTAGCTCTCTCACGCCACGGCCCCTGACATGCCAGCTGGCGGATACTGCTGGGTTTTCCGAAATTCCTCCACTTCATCTCATACTGTACAACTCTGTTAAGAACGAGTTGTGTAGTGTATAAATTCGTGGCATTTTGGGTGGGCCCAAATTGTGTCGCGTCCTCCAAGTCAATGAGAAAAACATTAAAAAAAAACTTCAATGTTTGTGGTTTCTTTGTTACTTTTGCTTCCTTTTCTTCATTCCAGTCAACGTTGAGGTTGGAGGGTTTGATACACTGATATGGATTCTGCTTTTTGCATTTTTACTTTCCCTGAGATCCTTTATGAACACACGGATCTGTCTCCTAATCCGATTGTTTTTTCAGGTTATTGGGGTCTCTGTGTGGCTTTCTCTTCTTGTTTCACAAAGGGCTGCATCTCTTTGTCTCCTATTTAGGACACTTCACACTATTTAAAGCGTTCTTCGGGTTCTTTCAGTGGATCATTTTCAGAGGTCTTCTTTTTAAATGTTTATGATGATTTCTTTTTCTTTCCTACTGTATTCATTTTTTTCATTTACTCATAATAATTCTTATTTTTTCCCCTCACTGTTACATTTTCTGACTGTAGGTAGTAGGTTGTAAGGAAGAGAGAGACTCCCGGTGCCTAAACCAGGTGTTATATTAGGGGGCCTGTGACATGGTGTGCTCTTTGTTAGATGCGGTAATTTTGAACTTGGGGGTTGACAGTATGGAGGAAACACATGGTTTATCTAGTTAATTCCAGGCAGATGAGGTTTCACATTTTTTTTTTTCCAGATTAGAACAAGAGTGTAACAGAGGTAGTCTGTCATTTGCATTTTAAAATCCATTTTAGTTTCCTCCAGATGCAGGTGAATAGTTTTATTGTGAGACTGAAACGGGAAAAGTTCCCCTGTCCCCCTCACAGGGTGTGTGATGGGGGTGTGGCTCACTTCTTCAGTGCCCTGCTGCTCAAACCTCTAGGGAAGCATGCAGATGGGTAGGCTGTAGGGCTCTGGTCTCACAGCAGCATCTAGGGATGAATGTTTACAACTGAAGCCTCAGTGGGCATGTGCTCTTTTAGTTTAGCCATCTGTAGGTGGCTTGTGTTAGTCAGCTCAACTAGACCCCCTGCCTTATTGCAAGGACAGAGGGCTTTCTGTATCCTGAGAGTTTCTTGCCTTGATATACTGGAAGAATCGGATCACATGTGGGCTTGGAGAAAAAGTGCAAGGTTTTATTGAGTGGAAGTAGCTTTCAGCAGATGAGGGAGCCATGAGGGAGATGGAGTGGGAACGTGGCTTTCCCCCTGGAGCCGGGCCACTCAGCGGCTGTGCTCCCCTCTGACCGCCCCGGCCAAATTCTGTGTCATTTTGACGGTCAGCCTCCAGCATCTGCTGGTGTCTGCCAGTGTGGTCTTCTGCCAGCATGCTCCTTTTGACGTCCAGCTACTTGTGTCTTCTTCCTCTGATGTGTTCCTCTTGATGTCCAGACGCTTGTGGGTTCTTCTGCTGATGTGTTCCTCTGGACGTCCAGCAGCTTGTGTGTTTCTGCCTGCTGTGGTCTCGGGTTTTTGTTTTTGTTTTGGTTCTTTTTTTTATATATATATACTTTAAGTATGTGCACAACGTGCAGGTTCGATACATAGGTATACATGTGCCTTGTTGGTTTGCTGCACCCATCAACTCATCATTTACATTAGGTATTTCTCCTAATGCTGTCCCTCCCCCAGCCCCCTACCCCCCGACAGGCCCCAGTGTGTGATGTTCCCTGCTCTGTGTCCAAATGATCTCATTGTTCAATTCCCACCTATGAGTGAGAGTATGCGGTGTTTGGTTTTCTGTTCCTGTGTTAATTTGCTGAGAATGATGGTTTCTAGCTTCATCCATGACCCTACAAAGGACATGAACTCATCCTTTTTTATGGCTGCATAGTATTCCATGGTGTATATGTGCCACAGTTTCTTAATCCAGTCTATCATTGATGGACATTTGGGTTGGTTTCAAGTCTTTGCTATTGCGAATAGTGCCACAATAAACATATGTGTGCATGTGTCTTTATAGTAGCATGATTTATAATCCTCTGGGTATGTACCCAGTAATGGGATGGCTGGGTCAAATGGTATTTCTAGTTCTAGATCCTTGAGGAATCGCCACACTGTCTTCCACAATGGTTGAACTAATTTACACTCCCACCAACAGTGTAAAAGTGTTCCTATTTCTCCACATCCTCTCCGGCATCTGTTGTTTCCCGACTTTTTAATGATGGCCATTCTAACTGGTGTGAGATGGTATGTCATTGTGGTTTTGATTTGCATTTCTCTGATGACCAGTGATGATGAGCATTTTTTCATGTGTCTGTTGGCTGCATAGATGTCTTCTTTTGATAAGTGTCTGGCCATATCCTTTGGCCACTTTTTGATGGGGTTGTTTGTTATTTTCTTGTAAATTTGTTTGAGTTCTTTTTAGATTCTGGATATTAGCCCTTTGTCAGATGGGTAGATTGTGAAAATTTTCTCCCATTCTGTAGGTGCCTGTTCACTCTGATGGTAGTTTCTTTTGCTGTCCAGAAGCTCTTTAGTTTAATTAGATCCCATTTGTCTATTTTGGCTTTTGTTGCCATTGCTTTTGGTGTTTCAGTCATGAAGTCCTTGCCCATGCCTATGTCCTGAATGGTATTGCCTAGGTTTTCTTCTAGGGTTTTTATGGTTTTAGGTCTAACATTTAAGTCTTTAATCCATCTTGAATTAATTTTTGTATAAGATGTAAGGAAGGGATCCAGTTTCAGCTTTCTACATATGGCTAGCCAGTTTTCCCAGCACCATTTATTAAATAGGGGATCCTTTCCCCATTTCTTGTTTCTGTCAGGTTTGTCAAAGATCAGATGGTTGTAGATGTGTGGTGTTATTTCTGGAGTCTCGGGGTTTTTATAGGCACAGGATGGGGGTGTGGTGGGCCAGGGTGGTCTTGGGAAGTGCAACATTTGGGCATGAAAACAGAAATGCCTGTCCTCACCTAGGTCCATGGGGTGGAGCCCTAGCCAGGGACCCACCCTTCTCTTCCCAGCACTTCCCTGCCCCCTTCCCGTATCAAGACCTTGTTTTCAATTCTGTGGAAGGTTTTCACCTCTTCCACTGTTGTTATGGGCATTGCCTTGGTACTGTGGTAGACTGTCAAGAGCTTCCAGCCAGATCCATTTTAAACAGAAAGTGACTCAGCCAAGGTCATGCAACCAGCTGGAGGAAGAGCCAAGTCTTTGATGCAGGACTCCTTTCTCTCAGGCAAATCCTCAATCTTCAAGACCACCTGCCTGTGGTGTCCTGTCAGGCCCCGAGTTACTATGTGATTTAGCAAGTTGCAGCTTCGTTAGAAGTTCACTTCTGTTTCAAAGAGTTTTAGCCTGAGGTGGAGTGAGGTTGGCAGAGGCTGCTCTCATAGGATCATCTGCATTGGTCCTTTGCAGATTAAAAAAAAATGTGCGTAGAGCTGGAAGTTGCTGAGTGCTTGTTCCAAAGAGGAGAAACATGTTTATGTATCCTGGATGCACATGAACTCCCGGGCATCAGAGAGGTAGAGATGAGACAGCTTTGAGGTAGATGGTCTGTTTTTTTGCTTAGGAACCTTAGTGACTGCCCTACCATCTCTCTTTGAAATTCATCAAAGACCACTTCCTGTAATTGCTAGGAGAGTGCCTGCTTCTCCTTTGTGTACACTTCCTTCTTGGTGAGATTCACCTATCCAGGGAAACAAAGTGTCAACATTAGAGAGGAAGAGCAGAAGGCTTGCTGATTTAACTGGGTGACGTGCTAGTTCAGCTGTAATTACATCTACCCAAGACACCATCACCATCCTTGTGATCTCAAAACATGCTGAATCCACCATTCCCTTTGGCTTGACCCAATCTTGGTATCCAAATAATTTCAGCTTTAGCTTAGTTGAGGCTTCTTTGTATTCTGTCCTTAAAAACCTTCCATCCTACAATTAATGCACACTTAACGGCCAAGGTACACGGAGTCCAACTGGCAACTACAGACTAAATTGCCAAAGCTTCACTGTTTTGAGAGGACTTCTGACAACCAACTGTACTTATGATAATACTCAGACCGCAATAATATTTTATCTACACAATTACCAGTTTGGTGATTTATAGAACGCCGGATGCTATTATCGAGTTTAATTGACTGTATGGAACCCTAGTCTTTACTTGATGTAATTAAATGTTAATATACTTATAAAAACTGGGTACATAAACCAATATCTGTCAGCCAGTCCTAAATGTTCCTTGGGCTTCTGCATGCATAGCATTTTGCAGCAGAAAGATGATGGCTTTTGGAGAAGGAAAACAGTCAGAATCCACAACTGTAGGGAATATGGATTGGATTCTTAACTTGCTGGATTTTCAGTTTATTTATCTTTAAAATGGTGATGATTAATTCTTGGATTACAAGATGGTTGTTAAGATTAAGTAAGATTACATGGAATGTCTGGCCTGATGCCTAGCAAAGATTAGCTGCTCAATAAGGATCCATTTCCATACCCACCTTAGGCACATGTTTATTGCATGCCTAACATCTTCAAGGCATTATGTCATGTCAAGAGCCGAGATGGGCCCCTTACCTGCTTTACTTCTCTCCCTGTTTTCATTGTTGATCTCCCCTACTAGTATGTGAGCTCCATGGAGAAAGAGGTCATAGCTTTCAATCACTGCTTTATCCCTGATAGCTAGAATAATGTCTAGCATACACCAGACACTTGATCTAGCATTAATGAATGAAATCCAGATATGGGTTGAATAAATTCAGCGAGGGTAATAAGGAGGAGTGGGAATTTCATGCAAGAGACATTATCATAAAGTTGAGCAGGTTTGTGCTTTGGGATCAAGTTGAAAGTAATTCTAATCCCGACTCTGTCCTTTATAAGCTGTGCAGCCTTGCAGAAGTGACTTAACCTCTCTGAGCCTCAGGTTCCAATTTTGCAAAATCTTGTCTTGAATCCTAAAGAACAACTCACAGGGCTTCTCTAAGGACAAAATAAGGCAGTGGTTGGAAAGTACCTGGCATCTAATGGTTCCGGATTATTGAGTGGGCACCAAAGGCTGATTTTCCCAGGGTAGAACTTGAGAAAGCTTTGCATGACATCAGGATGTTCTCTTCTGGGGATTACCGGTGTCTTCTCCTCCCTCTGATCCTCACTGGGCCAAGGTGGGAGCACCTGGCTTCTGTCTCTCCTGAGCTGCTTTAAGCCAGGTCACTAATGGAGCTGAGATGTGGAGTGGGGTCAAAGGGCACTCCAGAGTTCCACAGAGAGCCATGTGTGGACCATGTGACTCTACTGACCTTGAGCCATCAGGACAGTGTACTCACTGTTCCAGGAAGTGGAACTTGCTGGGGGAGGCCTGCCAACAGAGGCTCTGGACCTTAGTTCTTTTCCTTTTTTTGTTTCCTCTGAAAAAAATTGTATGTTAAAAATAAGTCACTTTCAGAAGAAGAGGTTTTTAGAAAGCCAGATGTTCCTGTAGTGGTAGCAACTTTTGGGACTAGCAAAAATAAGCTGCCGTCATCCATCTCCTGGTTTCCTGCATGCCCTGGGTGACAGCTATTAGATTGCCTTCAGGCCTTTGGAAGGAAGAATGAGTAAACTTTTTCCATCAAAGGCTAGATAGTAAATATTTCAGTCTTTACAGACCATGTGGTCTCCATCACAGCTACTCAACTCTGCTGCTGTAGCTGGGAAGCAGCCGTAGATGATATGTAGGCAAATAAACATGGCTGTGTTTCAATAAAACTTTATTTACACAAACAGGAGGCAGGCTAGGTTTCTAGTTCATAGGTCATACTTTGCTGTACTCTGTGTTAAAACTTCCTGATTTGGAGAAAGACATTGGTTTCTCTATTTATTTTTCTGCTTCCTTTCCTTAATGGGGCAGGAGGAGTGACACCCAGAGAGGAGGGGGCATGAAGCAGCCCATGGGGGTCTTGTGGGGTTGGTGTTTCTTACACAGAACTGTGCTACCACTGTGGTCAAGTCGATGTATTCTAGCAATCGTGGCAAGCCAGAACAGAAGACACAAACTGGTTCCCTAAACAAGACAGAGACCGTGGGGGACGTGCCAGGAGCTTCCACAGAGACAGGTATGGGATTGCGGGTGTTAAGTATATGTCATTGAGTATCTAAGTGTAGAAATTTATCAGTGTGGACATACACAAGTGTTTCATTTCTTCTTTTAAATTTATGTTTATAAAGAAGGGTGTGTGTGTGTGTATGACATTCTGTGATGGGAGTAATAATTACTAATGTTTGTTGAGAGCTTGCTATGTGCCAGGCACTGTGCTGTCTTACATGTTATTTAATCCTCATGACAGCTTATCAGGAATGTACTTTTGGGGTGGACAGACCCAACACCAGGTCGTGAGGGTGATGAAGTCCGGTGGAGTCAGAGGAATGAGAAAAGACAGTTTGAGAGAGAAAGTGTGTCCAGGGGGCCAACGCAAGTATGGAGGCTGCAAAGACCCCAAGCTCTGGAAGCCCAGACTATTTATTGGTGATCAAACAGAGAAACAGGTGTTGAGAATGTGGGGGTCGAAAGGGCAAGTGCATGATCTACAGCTGTGACGGCTTAGCATTTCCTTTGCAGCATATGGAACATGTTCTGCTGCTTGAGATAGTGGAGAGCAGGTTCTTTTAACTCAAGATACAATCAGTCCTGGGAGAGCAAGGAGCCAGCAAGTCTAGACACATTCCAGAGGCCACGAGGGGTTTTATGCCTTGAGCCCTGGATTCTTTCCAAGCCACGAGGGGTTTTATGCCCTGGGCTTAGGTTATGGTGCTTCAGGGTAGGCTTCTACCCTTTAGCACAGAGCTTGGTGTTCCAAAGGCCACGAGGGGTTTTAGACCCTGGACCCCGGACATGTTCCAAGACTCTTTTACAGTATGTCAGACATGCAAGCCCTGCCTCAGCTTCTCCCAACACTCAGCTTTTCTCCCAACAATGTACTATTATTATCCACATTTCATGGATGAAGAAACTGAGGAGGGCCCACCATGCAGATTTCATCTCCTGTCTTCTATGTGATATGGGCTCTGGGTGGCATTACCACTTTTGATGCTACGGGAATGAAGTGTGATGGGGGACATGGTGAACTGAAGCAAGATTTTAGCCAGTCAGAACTCAAGGATGTGGCTGTGATGAAAGGAAGTGCTGGAAAGGGGTAGAGAGATGACAGGACTTGGGCATTCATACCGGGGACAAGCCAGGCATCCATGTTTGCTAGGAGTCTCTGCCTGCTCACCATCAGGGACCACTCAAGAGATAGCACCTGAAGACAGCTGATTATAACTTATTACTGAGGAAGGGGCCTCACACACACCTGACTGAATGGGAAGGACCTGGGTTTAGCCCCCTGGCTCTGTGAATATAACTTAGCTTGAGCCAAGCTGGGCTTTGAGATGAACCAATCTCAGAATTTTCTTCTACCACCTGCTAGTCTGTGACTCTCAGAATGTGACCTCACCCCCACTTTGATGGATTTACAGGGCAATTTGCCTGTTGCAATGCTTTGCGGAATATCTCTGGCCATTTCCCAGCTGTGATATTTGGGTGATGTTATTTAACTCTTGGTTTCATCTTGCATAAAGTGTGGATAGTGACAGTACCTAACTCATGGGGCTCTTTTGAGGATTGAATGAGGTAATCCATGGAAATGGACTAGCACGGTGCATAGCACATAGTTCCCAGTACATGCAAGCTGCTATCATTATTGTTCCCATTTTAAAGATGAGGAAGTGGAGGCTCAGAAATTTTCTTCTGACTCATCCAAAGTCACAAAGAAAGTGCCATAACCAAGCCATGCATCATCCTCTGATACCAAATCTTGTGCTTCTGACACTTCATCATATTCTATTTCATTCATTCATTCATGAGCATTTAAAGAGTTTCCCTCAAGCTCTCAAGAGTTAAAGTACTAGGCTCTTTGATGAGTCTAGTGAATAAAAGGGATGCACACTTCCTGCCCTGGTAGACTTAGGCTGGTAGTGGGAAGACAGAAAATAAGTAAATGAGTAAATAAACAATTTTAGAATGTAACTAAAGCGTTTGAGAAACAGCCTCGTCAAGCATAAACAAGGTGGTATGATAGAGAATGACTGAAGAAGGGAGGAGGCTGTTTTGCATTTGATTTTTGATGTGGAAGATGCCCAGAGACAGCCACATCACGTGCTAGGGCAAGAGTGTTCCATGGGGGAACAGCAAGTGCCAAGACCCTGAGACCGTGAAGAGCTTGGCTTGGGCTTCTGCAGGCTTCAGACGCTGACACAGCTGCCAGGAACCAGTTTAAGCCTGTCCTTCTGTGTCGAGAAAACCTTTCCTCACCTTTTCCCGACTGATCTGAAGTTTCTCTGAGACGGGGGATGACCCATGGCCATCTGTTTCTTTCGCTGCTCCCTCAAAATAAAAATGGAAAAGATAGCACTGTTGCGTGAGAAAAGATGAAAGATGCTATTCTGGCATCTGAGTGGGCAGAGCTCTGGGCTGGGGCCCCCTTTCTTTGTAGCCTTGCCCTTTTTATGCCTGTTTGTCCACCTGTAAAATTAGCAGCTGGGCCAGACCGTCCCTTCTCTCTTTAAATTTGATAGAGCATTGGAATCCCTGCATCTGCTCCCATGCTGTTTTTGGGAAAGAAGACTCACTGGGTTGGGCGGGACCACTTTTCAGGCTGGTTGGACTCTCCAGCTGGCCTCCAACTTGAAGCATCTTCACTCGTTTCAACTGAAGGTGACTGTTCTCTCCCCCTGTTCTCTCAGCCTCTCCTCGGCAGGTTGAGGCTGGCGCTGACCCAACAGAGGGCCTCCTTCTTTCATCGCACTTTCTCCTTGGTCACAGTGCATCTCACAGTGTCTGCTCACAAACTGGTGCCTGGGAAGGCTGGGGCCCGTGAGAAGACAGAATCTGCTTGCCATACCCCATGATGTTCTTTTTTCATAATGTACAAATGCACCAGGCAGAGGCCCATAGCAGACCATGTAGAGAAGATGGTCTGAACAGAGGCTCTTATTTTCAGGGAACTCTTGGTACTTTTTGTGTCCCAGCAAATGTAGCTAGGTACCATGAAGGGAGGACATAATTGTAGTCCCATAGGATGTCAGAAGTCAAAGGATTCTTAGAAGGTGGGGGACAGTGCCTATAATCCCAGTGCTTTGGAAGGCCCAGGAGGGAGGATCACTTAGGGCCAGCAGTTTGAGACCAGCCTGAGCACATAGGAAGAACCCATCTCTACAAAAAATTTAAAAATTAGCCAAGTTTGGTGGTACATGCCTGTAGTCCTAGCTACTTGGGAGGCTGGCACAGGAGGATTGCTTGAGCCCAGGAGTTCCAGGCTTCAAGTGAGCTATGATATGACACTGCACTCCAGCCTGGGTGACAGAGCAAGACCCCGTCTCTTAACAACAGCAACAAAAAGGTTCTCGGAGAGGGTTCAACTTGCTGCTTCTGTCACACATGGAGAAATGCTGGCCCTAGAGTCTACATGACTTATTCAAAGTCACACAGTAGTAAGGGGTGACAGAAGCTGGGATTTCCCATGCAGACCAATAGCATACCACAATTAGCCCTGATGATCTATAAGGGATATGATGGGCAGACTCAGATACAGTTTCTTTAAAACATTTTGTTTGTTTGGTGAGATTATGCCAGCTGACCACATGTAATACATCTGCCTTTTCCATTTCTAATTTATAGATTGGGATTAAATATTAATTTAACACACAACTTGGCACTGACTACGTGCCAGGTACTATTCCAAGTGTTTACAAATATTAAATTACCCAATCCTCATAACAGCCTTAAGAGTTAGGCACTATTATCCTAGTTTTACAGATGGAGAAATGAAGCACATAGAAGTTACATAAGTTGGCCAAGGTCATATAACTAAGTAAAAAAAAATAGCAGAGCTTAGATGCTGGCTCTGGAGTTCATAGCTTTAACTGCTACCTTGTTCTGTGTCTCCCTGGGCAAAGAACATCATCCACCACCCAAGGTGGGCATTTCTGGGGGCTGCTTAACCTCATTGAACTCTTTATTTAATATGTGAGAAAACTGGAGACCCAAAAGGGCATGAAGGCATCAGATTTGGTTCTAGGGCACCGCCGTTTCTGTTACCCCTGGGCTTTTCCCACTGTACTGTGCTGCCTTGGAAGTCGAAACACGTCTCTGATCTAGAAGACACCCAGCAGCAAGTTCATTATTCTCCCTTGAAGTTCCTTGGCTAACTTCCACCTTTGTTGTTTTCATTCCTGGATTTAATATAATGGGCCACATTAACCTGAGTTGCTGCACAAAGTCTCACAGAAAAAGAACCAAATGAACAGATCAGACACTGTTTTCTTGGTCCTTGGGGAATGCTCGAGCCATCAGAGAGACATCATCTTATTTATAATAAATTCACTGCTCAAAGAGCTTTAAAACTTTTTTTTATATTAGGAGTATTGTTTGTATCTGTTGAGTCCATGAATGTATGACATTGGATGACTTTATAAAACATTCTACTAATTGGATTTGTTAAAGCAAATAAATCAAACACTAATTGGAACGTGCCCTGCCATTATTTTTGCTTACTGAATTAGATGTAATGGTGTGAAGGCCTTCTTACCATATTTGTGCACTTATTTAAACACCCCCCCGGCACACACTTCTCCAAATTCAATTATATATTCAGAAAAGGAATTCAATTTATGGAAGGCTGGTTTACATTCATTCCGGGGGCAAGAATCAGCTACCCACGATAGGGTGTTCACAATTAATAAGCCCCACTTAGATATTACCCTGCCTTCAAAGCATTTGTTGGCACGAGGGTGGAATCTCCATGATTTGGGGGTTGAGGTATTTTATCTTTGGAATATGTGTCCACAGAGCAGGATTGGCTTCAAGGGCACTGAGTCATACAGGCCCTGGAACTCAGAAGAGAAGAGCCCGTGCTTGGTTTAATGCTCTGCTATCACCATCTTGATTTCTATTTTTTTTTTTTTTTTTTTTGAGACGGAGTTGTGCTCATGTTGCTTAGATTGGAGTGCAATGGCATGATCTCGGCTCACCACAACCTCCGCCTCCCAGGTTCAAGCGATTCTCCTGTGTCAGCCTCCCGAGTAGCTGGAATTACAGGCATGCGCCACCACGCCTGGCTAATTTTGTATTTTTAGTGAAGACGGGATTTCACCATGTTGGCCAGGCTGGTCTCAAACTCCAGCCTCAGGAGATCCACCCGCCTAGGCCTCCCAAAGTGCTGGGATTACAGGCATGAGCCATCGCGCCTGGCACCATCTTGATTTCTTAATTTTGAAGAAGAGACTCTGCATTTTAGTCTTGCAAGGGGCGCTCCAAATTTTGTAGGTGGACCTATCTTGGAGGTCGCCTTGGTTGTCAGACCTTCTGGCCAAGAAACAAACCCATGATTGGAGTCTTGGCTCAGTCCCTGATCTGACGCTGAGTGCATCATCCACTCCTGCCTCAGTTTCCTTATCTATAAAGTGGAAGTACTACTCCTTACCAATGAAGAACACAAGCTTGTAGTGTAGATGAAGTGTTTAATTAAATCTAAAGAGCTAGTGTTCTTTACTCAATCCCTTATCCGTAGGGCTAGCAGACAATGGGAGACGTGTTCCTCCCTCCAGTTCCCAGAGACGGGAAGAAACATTCTGCAATCGAGTCTTTGGAGGAGAGGGTCAGTAGCACATGGCATACATTCAAATGGCAATACACGGGACTGTATTAAAATTCAGTGACTGCTAAAACTGGGAATTTTTATGTCGTTAAAGAGAAGTCAGCCAGCTATAGCCTACCAGCCAAATCTGAGTGTTCACTGGTTTTTATATAGCCCACAAATAAGGAATGGTTTTTACATTTTTAAATGGTTAGGAATCAAAAGAAGAATACTATTTTGGGACATGTGAAAATCATATGAAATGCAACATGCAGTGCTAATAAATAAAGTCTTATTAGAACACAGTCATGCCCATTCTTTTTGTATTGTTTCTGTACAACAATAACATTGTTGAGTACTAGTGACAGGGAACATGTGGCCCCCTGTGATGGGTGGGATTCTAAGACAGCCCCCAAGATTCCTGGCCTCTGGGGTACACATCCTGAGTACTTCCCACTCCTTGCGTGGACTGTGCATGTGATGGATTTCACTGTCTTGATTAGCTTATCTTAGTGAATGACAAAGGTGAAGGAATTTTGCGATGTCTCCCCATGTGACTGTGTTTGGAGACAAGGCCTATAAGAAGGTTAAATGAGGTTATATGCATGAGACCTTAGTTCCATTGGGCTGGGAAGATGCATCAGAGTACACAGGCACCAAGGAAAGGCTGTGTGAGGACACAGTGAGAAGGCGGCCATCTGCCAGCCAGGAAGCAAGCCCTCACCTGACCCTGCCCAACTTTGGTCTGAGATTCCTGGCCTCCAGAACTGTGTAAAAATAAATGTCTATTGTTTAAGTCACACAGTTTGTGGCATTTTTTTACAGCAGCCCTAGCAGGCTAATACAACCTGCAAAGCTGAAAATATTTACTATCTAGCCTTTTATAGAAAAAGTTTAACAACCCCCCAGTTAAAAAATAACTGCTTTGACCACATTATTTTTCTGTGCCCTGTAACCATTTATTCTTGCTACATCTTGAATCTGTCTGAACAGCTCACATGTGTGAGCTCTTCACATACCAGCGATTACTATGTGAGGCCCACACCACCCCCTGTTCTCTGCATGTGCCTGCCTTCCTGACTTTAAGCCCCCTACTCCATTTCTTCTCCTCCCTATAACACTATGGCCTCCGTTATGAGGTGAAGGGGCAGAGCCTACCCCCTATGCCTGGTCCTCCAGAAGTGCAGATTGGCATCCTGGGCCTGGGCAGTGAATGGGGGCAGAAGGCATGCAGACTGGCTGAATGCCATTTTACAGGGATTGGGGAAGAACTGTGCAGCCACTTATTTCCCTCAACAGGTTCCTTTCGAGGTCAAGGTTATCTTTTCAGTTCATCACCATGGCAACCTAGTATAATGAGTAGGTACATAGACTGAGCTAGTCTGGGTTCAAAGCCACGCTTTGCCACCTGTTATTTGTGTGATCTTGGGATAGTTTTTTTTTTTAACCTTTCTATGCCTTCATTTCTTTGTCTATAAAATTGGGGTTAATGATCATATCCATCTCGTGGGGTGATTGGGATAATTAAATGAGTTACTACTGGTGAACACTGAGAACAGTGCTGGGCACTGGACATGGTTATCTTGACTATCTCTCAGATCTAGTTGGGATCTGTGTCTGCTCAGCAGCTTTCTGTCCCCGTCTCTTTGACCTTGCATTGTGATTACTTGGTCCTTGCAAACCGTTATCAAGCTCAGCTCACAGTTTACTCCTTAGCAGTCTCAGCTGTCATTCTGGTCCTCTCGCAAATACTCTCATTTCTCCTTGAATGACTTCTCCACCTGTCCGTGGTCTCAACTTACTCTTCTCCATTTCCTGGTGGCCTTATGGCGCTTCCTTAGATCAACCTTGGACTTCCCTTCTTTCTCGGATTCAGAATCTCCATCTGTTTTGGCCCTTCATGTGATCAGAGCAAATGTTCTTTTTTTTTTAATTTTTTAATTTTTAATTTTTTATTATTATTATACCTTAAGTTTTAGGGTACATGTGCACAATGTGCAGGTTTGTTACATATGTATACATATGCCATGCAGGTGTGTGGCACCCATTAACTCGTCATTTAGCATTAGGTATATCTCCTAATGCTATCCCTCCCCACTCCCCCCACCCCACAACAGTCCCCAGAGTGTGATGTTCCCCTTCCTGTGTCCATGTGTTCTCATTGTTCAATTCCCATCTATGAGTGAGAACATGTGGTGTTTGGTTTTTTGTCCTTGCGATAGTTTACTGAGAATGATGATTTCCAATTTCATCCATGTCCCTACAAAGGACATGAACTCATCATTTTTTATGGCTGCATAGTATTCCATGGTGTATATGTGCCACATTTCCTTAATCCAGTCTATCGTTGTTGGACATTTGGGTTGGTTCCAAGTCTTTGCTATTGTGAATAGTGCTGCAATAAACATACGTGTGCATGTGTCTTTATAGCAGCATGATTTATAGTCCTTTGGGTATATACCCAGTAATGGGATGGCTGGGTCAAATGGTATTTCTAGTTCTAGATCCCTGAGGAATCGCCACACTGACTTCCACAATGGTTGAACTAGTTTACAGTCCCACCAACAGTGTAAAAGTGTTCCTATTTCTCCACATCCTCTCCAGCACCTGTTATTTCCTGACTTTTTAATGATAGCCATTCTAACTGGTATGAGATGGTATCTCATTGTGGTTTTGATTTGCATTTCTCTGATGGCCAGTGATGATGAGCATTTTTTCATGTGTCTTTTGGCTGCATAAACGTCTTCTTTTGAGAAGTGTCTGTTCATATCCTTTGGCCACTTTGTGATGGGGTTGTTTTTTTCTTGTAAATTTGTTTGAGTTCATTGTAGATTCTGGATATTAGCCCTTTGTCAGATGAGTAGGTTGCGAAAATTTTCTCCCATTTTGTAGGTTGCCTGTTCACTCTGATGGTAGTTTCTTAAAGGTCCCAGCCTGATTTCTGAGTTCTTCGCTCTTACTCCCCTGCAAGGCCTCCCCTGGGTTCACCGTGGCCCCCAGGAGAAGCCCAATGACAGTGGATGAGAGCTTTCTCTGTGGGCCCCAGCCTGGCTCCTCTACGTGAATGGAGGTCCTTTTTAATATATTCAGGCATTCACTGAACAATAAAGTGCAAGCATATACTATGGGACAGACTCTGAGGAAAGAGACCCTTGTGGCATGTCCCTGTTGCTATGGAGCTTTAGTTGGAGGGACGCAGTCCTGTGGTCTCAGTCCCTTCCCCCACCCCAGGGTCCCCAGTGCTGACGTCTCCCCCAAGAATCATGAGAATGTATGTGGAGTGAGCTACTAGGACTTTCAGCACCAGCTATGGATCAGGGAGCAGGTGTTTCTGCGTATCCTCATCCATGGCAGATCACCTTAATCTCCAGCCACGTTCATCAAAATGATGAGCTCTACCAAAAGTAGTGCCTACCACGGAGGGCAAGTAAAGGCAATTTTCCACCTTTTTTAGGTTTAGCCCAGTTTTCTTTTTTTTTTTTTTACTTAGCTCCACTGCTGGATATTAAAAGAACATCTTTCTATTCTGGAAGCATCATGGTGAGACCAGATTCTGTGAACACACAGAGTGTTCAAAAGAATGCTGGGTTGGAGCAATGGAAAGTACCCAGGCTTTGGTACCATCCAGTCTAGGGCTCACATCTTGGCTCCATTCCTTCATGTGGGTGAGTTTGATACATCATCTATAAAATGGTACAATCAAAATGGCAGGGCTTGTGGTGAGGGTTAGATACTGTAGGTAAAGCCTCCATTACATTCAACTGTGAATAAAAGGAGGTGTTGCTATTAGTACTGCTGTACATGATGTCATTGTTTTTCCCTCGCTGGGTAAGTTCCTTAGGAGCTCTGATGACAAGTTTTCATTTATACAAAGAAGAAAGCAATACTTCTTTCTTAGAGCAAGGGTTGGCAAACTATAGCCCCTGGGCAAATCTAGGCTGTCACCTCTTGCAAATAAAGTTTTATTGGAACACAGCCACACTCATTTATTTACATATTTTTGCACTGCAGTGGTAGAACTGAGTAGTTGTGACAGAGGCTGTGTGACTACAGAGCTGAAAATATTTACTGTCTAGTCTTTTATGGAAAATGTTTGATGACTCCTGTCTTAGAGAGTGGTGGTGTTTGAGTCACCTACATCTACGTTAATATATATACAGATATACACATACACCTACATAGTTCAAATACAGTGCCTGGCACACAGTGGGAGCCCAACGAATCTTTTAGTTCCTCTACAAAACTTAATTCAGCTCAAGAATACACAGGATCATATCTAAGAAATGCAGAGGAAGACACATTTATATTTTTATTGAATTCTATTCCTCTCTCATTTTCAAAAGAAGAGCTCATGTTTTTTAAAAAAATTCTGATTGACACTATAAACTTTATTTATGCTTTAATGTATCCTAAAGTATGTATCCTGCACTATTTTTACTTCCCTTACAGATGCTGATATGCTATACACTACCAAACCCAAATGGATTTTCAAAATCCAATTTCCTTGCTACAGTTTTCCATTTCTCTGTTGACTTTTTATGTCTGATTCACATCAGAGCATCTGGGGCCATTGCCACATTTTGACCTCAGCCTGCCCAGGGAAATAGCTCCTCTGGGGAGGTGCTGGGTCCTTGGCCAGTGGCTGCACTTCCCTGTCCTCCCCCAATTATGTGGATCTTCACCAAACCTCAGCTGAGCCCAGCTCCTGGGATGGGGGTAGATTTTTTGGGTTTCCTTCCTCCCAAAAATGATTGTGGTGAGGTCGAGATCACTTAAATGATGTCATCTGCTCTTCAAACCTGAATGAGGTTAGCATCCAGATGAGTGTCTTTGGGGACTGTATTAGTCCGTTTTCACACTGCTGATAAAGACATAGCCAAGACTGGGTAATTTATAAAGAAACAGGTTTAGTGGATTCACAGTTCCATGTGGCTGGGGAGGCGGCACAATCATGGTGGAAGGTGAAAGGCACATCTTACATGGTGGCAGACAAGAAAGAATGAGAGCCAAGCGAAAGGGGAAACCCCTTAAAAATCATCAGATCTTGCGAGACTTACTACCAGGAGAACAGTATGGGGGAAACCACCCCTATGATTCAATTATCTCCCACCAGGTCCCTCCCACAACACATGGGAATTATGGGAGCTACAATTCAGGATGAGATTTGAGTGGGGACACAGCCAAACTGTATCAGGGACTCTCTGGAACCATAAATCTCCCCTAAGCTGCCATAAACACCTGCAGCAACGTCTGGGGCCTGTTTTGGTTATGGCCACTAGGAATTGCTCCAAGACAGATAGATGTTACTGGGTTTAAATGTTTTCTGTTCTCGGTCCAGGGGAAGCTTGGCTTTAATTTCTCCTCCTCCTCTTGGTGGCTCTCAGTGGCAGGACACCCTAGCCTGTACTTGTGCTGACTGCATGGGTCTGTATCTCTGTGGTTTCTGAGAGTTCCAGTTCTTTCTGAATCTCTGGATTTCTTAAATGTTACAAGTGGAAGGTTCATTGCAATCATCTTGTTCAGCCCTTTGCCTTGCACAGCAGAAAATGAAGGCTCAGAAACAGGGAAGGGATATGAGCCCAACAGGTTGTACCCAGATGTCAGTGTCAGTTGCTATTGGGTTATGTAGTCTTGAGTTCATAGCCACTCTGTTTCTCAATGTGGGAGACAGAAAACTCATAAAAGTTGCCTAAAAATCTCCCCTGAATAGTTCTTAAAACTTACCTTTGAGTCAAGTCAGACCAATAGGGAGTGGGTATCCAGACTGCATTGCGTTGGGCCCCAATGAGCTTTTACTGAATTGTGTGTTTAGGTGATGCTATCAATTTATATTGAGAATGATGATGAGAAACAGTCTCATGAAATTGGCCATTCAGCCCCTTGTGCAGATGTTGTTTCATTATGGGATATGGGGTTTCTGTTATGAGTATTCCTGCAGAGAAATTCTTGTCTGATCAAAGCACCTGAAATGGTTGTCATTTCCCTGAGCAATTTGGCTTTTATTATAAAAACACAGAGTGTCCAGTACCTTACCAGGTTTTGCTTTTTTTCTATTGGGTGTCAGAAGCTCAGAGCTATATATGTAACCCCCTTTTAGTAAAGGAACACGTGGAAAATCGCAGCATAGATTTGTGGCTCCCTCCTTCTGTCCTGCTTTTCTTTCTTTTCCTGTCCTCAATTTGATTTTTGTCATCATGCAGTATTTCCTCCTTCTATGTTTAACCTGCTGCTTTGGTTGGACCAGTGACCAGTTAGGCAGCATTCCTTGAAATTCCCTGCTTTGCTGGGAGCCCAAGGGCTCCATGGAAGAATCATGAACTGTGTGTATTGCTGGGATTCAGACATGTATGAGTGATAAAAGTGCAGAACAGGAGCCCATTTCTAGAAACTCTTCTGTAGGAGGGACATTAAGGTCCCCAGAGTGACCTTACGGTCCCCATTTTCTGTCCTGAATGCATAAGTCATCCCATAAGTGATGACAAATCCTGGCAGAGTGGAATAGAATTGACAGTGGGGCCTGAATATTCTGAAGAAATAGTGGCTCAAGATAGAGTGGAAAGCTGCTTTTAAATTCACTCTAAGTGAGTTCTTCTGCAGAGGCAAAGAGAGGACTGTGGTTTGAAAATAAAAATTGGGTCACTGAGGTCCAAGGCCTGCTGCTGTGGAACCCTAGTTTCAAAGAGCAGACTGTAAGAAGGGAAAAGCATTTGCTTACCTGCTGCAGATTGAAGTGACCAACAGAGCTCAGCAGAGGGGAGAAGCAAGGTGGTTCAGTGAGTGCCTGTGAAGAGGAGGTACATCCCTAGTCCTCAGAGGGCCAGGACCTGTCAGCAGTCAGCTCAGTATCAGCTGAGTGTCTACCTACAGTTAAGCAGAGGCAGGGAGGTGAGGGGTGGGCAATGGATCCAACGGACTAGGGGCAAGTGTTAATGTGACCTTGCCTGGGATCTGTAACCTGGGATGCCTAGAGGTATAGCTGTGAGCCTTCTTAAATCTTATCTAGAAGAAGGAAGAGAATTTGGTTAATTAAACCATCAACTAAAATAATAACTTGTTTTTTTTAGCATCAACACATACATAAGAAAGCATATTTTCCATTGCATCTTCAGTGTATATTTGCATGCTTACCTTTCACTCTATTCTGCAAACTTTGTGAGGGTAAGGATCATATCTGTCAATTCTGTGCCATGTCCAGAGCCCATTAAAAAAACTTGTTGAATGTTTCTAGAATAAGTGAAGGAATGGATTTGAATGGAGAGGCCCAACCACCTTGGAAGTTCTTTATCTGCCTGGCCCCTCTTATTACCTTATAAGTGAAAGACCTTATCCTTGGTTTGGGGGAATAATTCTCTCTCTGGTCTATTAGGATGGGCATGGGCTCTACAGCTATGCTGCCATGGATTTAATATTGGCTCCAACACTTTCCTTCCATGTTGCCTGAGCAGGTCATTTATCCCCTCAGTGCATCAATTCTCTTAGATTTAAAGTTGAGATAAAATGTACCTCATGTGGTTTGTGAGGATTACATGACAGCTAATGAGATAGTATATGTAATCGGTGTCGAATATGTTGCCCAACACAGAGCAAATGCTTGGGAGAATATGCTTCTTCTTTCTTTCTTTGGATCACTGTGTTGAGGTATGACACACTTTATATATTAGTCAGGTTGTACAAAGCTCTACGGTGCTAACAGTTAAACCCTAAGATCTCAGTGGCATATGACAAGAAAAGTTTATATTTTGCTCCTGAAAAGTTGAATGCTGATATTCCTGGTCAGGCGAGTCTCTGGGTGGCTTTCCTCTACAGAGTAGAGATACTCAGTGGGGTGCTGTCTTAATCCATTTCGGCTGTTATAACAAAATGCCTTAAACTGGGTTATTTAAAAAATAGAAAGTTATTGCTCATAGTTCTGGGGGTTGGCAAGTTCAAGATCAAGGTGATAGCAGATTTGGTACTTGGTAAAGGTCCCTTCCTTATAGATGGCACCTTCTATGAGTCCGCACATGGCAGAAGGGGTGAACGATTTGCCTAGGGCATCTTTTATAAGGGTGCGATCTCATTTCTGAGAACAGAGCCCTCACAGTCCTTTGGAAGCATCTCCCAAAGGCTCCACCTAATACTATTACATTGGGGATTAGGCTTCAACATATGAATTTAAGGGGAACACGCACATTTGGACCATAGTAGTTGCTGAAGGCCAGCTCTTCTGGGTGTCCATATCCAACAAGAAAGGAAAGTGGAGAAAGCTTTTCTATCACAGGTTTTCTTCCATGGTGTTTGGACTGTATTCTATGTCAGATCTGTCAACAGGATGTCCACCACCACTATCCAGAGGAAATCTCAGGTCTGGGGTGCAGAGAAAGAATTTGGTTCTTTGCAGCTGATGGAGACAATAGTGTGATGTTAATGAGCACATGGCCGGGCTAGTGTGGGATGAACTGAATAAAGCCATGTTTGTTTATTTTCTTAGTCAATTTAGGCTGCCATAACAAAATACCATGACTGAGTGGCTTATAAACAACAGAAATTGATTTCTCACAGTCCTGGGGACTAGGAAGTATAAGATCGAGACATTGGCAGATTCAGCATCTGGTGAGGGCCCAGCTCCTGCTTCTTTGATGGCACCTTCTCCTTGTGTCCTCACATGGTGGAAGGGGCGAGATAGCTCTCTGGGGTCTCTTTATAAGGGCACTGGTCCCAATCCCAGTCCCAATCATGTGGAGTCTGCCTTCATGTCCTAATCACCTCCCAAAGGCCATGTGTCCTAATACTATCACTTTGGGGTTTGAAACTTCAGCATGAATTTTGCAGGCATTCACACATTTAATCTATAGCAGACATTGGTTCTCTGTGGGGTGGGAAACCTGTGAGCGTTTAAAGGAGGAGGATGGTGATGTGATGCACCCTGTGAACATTAAAGAGACAAGAAAGGGACATTGGAAAAGATGGACTGGAGTGTGAAACAGGTCTGGGAGACCAGCCAGGAGGCTGCTGTAGAACTCAGTCCCAGTTCTGCCTCCCTGCATTTGTGCACCCTGCAGGCTCAACTCAGAATGCCATTCCTCCTGCCCTCCGCCCATGGAGATGCTCCCATCCTTCAAAGCCCTGTTCACTTCTCCTCCACTTCTGCTTTCTCCTCCAGAATATAATGGGCTCATTTCTCTGGACAGACCAGTGTTTCCTAGTTGGAGCCTCCATTGTACACCCCACATCTCTCTCAATGTCACCTTGATGGGACTTACAGCTCAGAGCGTATGCTCAGTGAATCCTTGTCAACAGCAAATGAATATAACTTATTGTCAAATGGTGGATGGCTTGACCTTTAAAGTTAAAGGGAGAAGCTTTAAACATGATCAACATTGACTTTATTATCTTCCAGGTGCATGATTGTCTAATTTCTTACCAATTCGATTCTCACTCCATGAAAAATGATTTTTCAGACTGCTTTTTACAGAGAAACAGGTGGGCACTGAGAAAGTATTCTGTGGCAGTTACTTTTCACATGTTATTCCATTTATTCCTCATGGTATTTCTGTGAGGTTGGACATTTCCCTCCGTATCATAGGTGAGGAAACGGAGATGCTCAGGTATGAAGCATCTGGCCTGAGCTCACACAGCCTTGTGAAGGTGATGGCTGTCTAGTTTTGCCAGACTGGGAAGTGAGTGCTCCTTCCGCTGCCTCACAGCATCTCTCCGTGCTGCACAAAGCAATTACAGAGGCATGCCCCTGCATTCATTTTTCCTACTTAGAATGAGACGCTGCTGTTTACTTTCTCAGGAAGGAAGATTGAAATCAATGTAACTAGCCTTATTAACTTTTTTAAATACGGAGGCCTGCAGATGCCAGTGCCTTTCCTGAGAGCACCAAAGCAAATATAAAAATCCAATTTGCTCATCTTTTATATATATATATATATATATGGAAAATCTTCTCCAGAGTTTAAAATTCAAAGCTGTAAATGAAGAGCCGACGAGACAGAGGTAACGAACCAAGCCTCAGACACGGGAATGTATTTACCCATATCTCTTTTGTCTACAGGTGGCTGTTCCTTTGATGAGCACTACAGCAACTGTGGTTATAGTGTGGCTCTAGGGACCAATGGGTTCACCTGGGAGCAGATTAACACATGGGAGAAACCAATGCTGGACCAGGCAGTGCCCACAGGTATGTGATCCATCATGTTTGGGGCTGTAATGGGGATGGCTAGTTTTTACCGTGAATCATGGGGGGAAGAACTTACTTACACATTGAGCTCTCTGAGATGGCAATCGATAGCTCTGTAGGTAGTGAGTTCCCCACACTCAGAGGTGGTCAAACCAAGGCTGAATGAATTCTTCAGGATTTGATACTAGTCACATGTCACCTGGATTCAGCATTTCTTTTAGCGTCGAGATTCTAAGCTTTAGCTACAAGTAGGTATCACTGGGTTTTGCTTGGGAGCCTGATGACAGTGGCGTGTCAGGGAAAGAGCTTCTGAAGAATTTACGGTCGCTGCTTTTCTTCCAGGCCACATGGACATAGGTTGTATATATTTAGGGAAACTTCAACAGTACAGACTATTATAAGGTTATATTAATTATATTATTATATTATTGTTATATATTATCATATTATTATCTATTATTGTGTGTTATATTATTTACATATATTTTATATACTTAGGGAGACTTCTACAGTCAGATTATTATAAGGTTATATATTATATTATACATTATATATGTTACATAGTATATATATTATATAATTTATATATATATTTAGGGATACTTCCACAGATTTTTATAAGGTCATATTATTATATAATATATTATTATTATATATTATTATATTATTATTATATATTGTATTATAAGGTAAACATCCTGACATTCTAAATACCAACCTTTTGTCCTTAACCAGCAGCGCTGAAGGCCTAGTGTGAATTCTTGATGGATACCTGCATGGGGCAGGCCTGTGAGGTACACCTGATATGTTTCAGGGGAAGTACCCAAAGGAGGTCTTCTCAGAGAGAACACTTAGACTCTAAATGTGGGGTATACCTGCGTAAGGTGCATCTTGAAGAGGCTTACCTGGTGATAGAAGCCAGGAAGAGTTGTGACTCTGAGAAAGTGAAGCTCACTTTTCTGAATAATCACATGTCCCTGCTGCAGTTGTAAAGACAACTGCTTGTTGGAGAAGGGAGGCCATTTTCTACAGTTTCTGCTTGACCAAAGGCTCCCTCACTTTAACCCACACCTGTCTTGGTTTTCACCAATCCCCCAGGTGCTCTTTCTCAGTCTCCCCTGTCAGTGCACTCTGGCCATGGAGTATTAAGAGTTCTTCAGGCTTACTGGGTGTTCTTTCTGTGGTTGGCCTCAACCACTCCCATGGCCTCAGATACTGCCTCTGTGCTGGTGATTCTGACATTTATGCCTCCAGCCTAGATGTCTCAGGAATTTTACACCTACACAACCCACTGCCCAGCTGCCATGTCATCTTGGCTACCTCTGGAGAACGGGGTTTTCCAGGATGCTACTAAAGTGGGAGCAAAGAAGATGCTCAGAGATGCCCAGGTGAGGGTGTGGCCTCATTCACTTTGAGTCTGGCTCCAAAACAGGAGGCACTGGATGGTTATGGATAGCTCCTATTAAGGGCATTAATTGTATAAATTTCTCAAAAGTGTTGATACAAGCCTTAGGTGTAATAAAGTTAGGCTGTGGTACAAAATTGAGCATTTCAGATCTGGTGGGACCTTACTTTGAATGAGCAAAGTCATCAACAGGTGTGCATGCCTATTAGCAAGGCAGTGTGGAACAACCTCTGTCTGTTGCCCAATCATGCTGACTTTAAAAAGTACTGCCTGGTTTACATGATAGAATCACCCATCCCATTAGGGACCCCAAGAATCCAAGACACCTCTGCTTAAACATAGCACATCTGCTCTACTCTTCATGGCCCTCCTTGATAGTGGCCCAATAAATCTGGATCTTATAGTGTGTATACGTGTGTGTATGCGTGTGTGTGTGTGTATGGGGGTGTATGGGTGTGGTGTGTGTGCATGCCTGTGTACTGGTATGTGTGTGTGTGTGTGTGTATGGGGGTGTATTGGTGTATGTGTGTATGCATGTCTATGGGGGTGTGTGTCTATGTGTATGGGGGTGTGTGTGTGTGCATATGGGGGTGTAAGGGTTGTGTGTGTATGGGTGTGCGTTTATGGAGGGTGTGTGTGCATGTGTATGGGTATGTGTGAGAGTGTATGGGGGTGTATGGGTGTGTGTGTATGGGGGTGTATGGGAGGTGTGTGTGTGTGTCCGTGTGTTTGTATGGGTGTGTGTATATGGCGGTGTGTGCATATGCATGTGTATGGGTGTGTGTGTATTCACATATGCTCTTTCTGCTCATCTTTAGTCCACTTAAAGCCCTGTAGCATGTTGTAGGCTCTCCAAGCTCAACATCTCCAAAACTGAACTCTTGATTTACCCATTTCCCCTTCCCTGTCTACTCACTTTCCACTGTTCCTCGTCTCCAGAAAGCTCACTTCACCCTACTGGTACTGATTCAGAAACCGGGGGGCCATGTTTCTCTTTTTTCTCTCTCTTACCCACTTTTCCAATCAATCACTTTGTTCTGCCATTTTACTTCCTAAGTATAGTTTGGGTCTGCCCAAGCCTCTCCATCTCTGCCACCACTGCCCTGGTGAACACAACCATTGTCTGTTTCCTGGGTAAGTGGAAAACTTTCTAACAGACTCCTTGACTTAACTCTTTGGACTTTAATCCATTCTCCAAACAGATGTCGAAGAGATTATTCTAGAATATAAGCATGTTCATGTTACTTCTTTTCTTCCTTGTCTCTACCCAGCTTCTGTCTTAAGGCTTTCTGAGGCTTCTCATTGCTCCAGGAAAGACCAAAGCCCTGTTGTGGTCTCCAAAGCTCTGAGTGCTGATCCTCCCTAAACCTCCAAATCATCATCATGCTCCACATCCCACTCTGCTCACTTTACACTGGCTTCTGCCAATTGCCAGAATGTTCTGACTCTCTCCTGCCTCGGGAACTCACATGAGATTGGCATCCTCCACGGAGCCTTTCCCCTACCTACTGTCTTGTGCGTCCTCTTCATATCTCAGTCTGGGTCAGCATTCTTTGTAATGGTTCCCGTTGCACCTTGCACTTGTCCTTAGTAGCACGCATCACAGCAGGTGTTATTCATCCAGTGCATGGTTTACTCCCAGATGAGAAGTTCTATGTGAATGGGGACCATGAGAATCTTGTTCATAACTTTATCTTCAGTGCCTAATGCAGTACATCAGACATCCTATGTACTAAATTAGCAATTTGTTGGATGGATGTGTGGATGGGCAAATAGTCTTTATTAAGTGTTTTTATTAATACAGGAATGAATGAAAAAAGATTAAAGGCCTTTGGGTGCTTTACTAACTGATCATGTATTTTCCTCTTTGCTACTATCCTTCCCATTTTACGGATCAGAAAACCAAGTTCTAAGAAGCTGAGTAAAAGTGTGTCTTTTTACTCATGCTACTCTCTCTCCCCAAAGACATGGCTTTTGCTTCTAATATTAATTTTCTCAGCCCCTCATTATGGCAGGGTGTCATTTCATAAATATTGGATCATGCTAATACAATCTTCTGGGCTTTTCTAAATAGAGGCATTTGATAATGATCACTGAAATTATTCTGTCATGATGCGCCTGTGGATTTCAGCAGCTCTGTGTGCCTCTTAGGCAGAGAGGCATGAAAGCGAATTTGGATTAGGCAAAACTGTTTGTTCTTCTTATGGGCATAGGCTGAAATCTTGCTTTTCTTTCTGTAAAGCCAGCAGTTCTCCTCATCTTGGAAGTCAAGTTTGAGTCTGTTTATTCAGATGTTCCACAGCTTTTTGCCCATCCCCTTTGTATGACGAGCTCCCTGCTATACTTGGTCTGGGTAACTCATTCCATGTCATTTTGGGACTTAATCCTGCTGATGGCCTCCCCTGGCACATAGGATGAAATCTGAAATCCTTGTCATGGCCTATAAGATCCTGCATGATCCAATGTCTTCTTTGGGCCCCTTTTCTTCTCCTCTCTCATACCTGGTGTGTTTTAGTTCCTGAGATGTGTCAGATTCTTTCTTGGCACGGGTCCTTTGCACATATTGTTCCTTGTTCCTTCTCACCAGAATTTGTTTTCTCAATTCTTCACTTTGTTGATTTCTCTTTCGTTCTTTGGTTGTCTCTCTCTCTCTTTTTTTTTTTTTTTTTTTTTTTTTGAGACAGAGTGTCGCTCTGTTGCCCAGGCTGGAGTGCTGTGGCGTTATCTCAGCTCACTGCAGCCTCCACCTCCCAGGTTCAAGTGATTCTCATGCCTCAGACTCCCAAGTAGCTGAGACTACAGGCGCACATCGCCATGCCTGGCTAACTTTTGTATTTTTAGTAGAGATGGAGTTTTGCCACGTTGACCAGGCTGGTCTCGACCTCCTGACCTCAGTTGATCCTTCCGCCTCGGCCTCCCAAAGTGCTGGGATTACAGGCATGAGCCACTGCATCTGGCGCTTTGCTGATTTCTTCATGTCTCAGCTCACAGGACTCCTCAAGGCAATCTTCCCTTATCCGTCTGTCTAAAGATGGACTTCCTCCTTATTCTCACTCATAACATCCTGTTCTTTGCTTTCAAAATCGTTATCATAGACATGTTTGCAAGTCAGTGTATTCCAATCTTACACAACAGCTGAGTGACCCTAGGGTCTCAACTCCCAGTTTCCACATCTTTATCTTGGGGACCAGTGTGAGAGTTAAATGGAGGATGTCTGCATGAGTGTGAACTGTCTGCCTGGAGTAGGGGTTAGTCAATGCTGGTTTTTCTAAATGTTTTCTGGTTCTTGCAATCTCTGGGGCTGGAAGTCCAAGTCCACCTGAGACCTTGCCCCCACTTCTAGCTCACTGATGCTGCTTTACAAAGGCGAGCTGCTCAGCAGGTGTTCTACTGTGGGTCCTGACAGGCCAGAGAGGCTTTTCAAGTCCAGGATGCATTGCTGCATCGAGGGCTTAGACATTTCCTCCACCCCACCTCTGTGAATTGAATGTTACACACACCTACTGTTATTTGCCATTGAAAGTAATGGCAAAAACCACAACTACTTTTGTGTCAACCTAAATACAGACTTTTCCTCATCTCTGTCCATGGGAGAAGCTCTTGCACTAGCATTCCAGGCTTCAGACCTGGTTTCACTACCTTATCGTTATTGAGGCTGTCACAGAGGAGCAGGGGTTAGTACACTCACTCACAAACCCTCTCTCTAGCTGTCTATCCTGCCTATGGAACTAACTACAGCTACCACCAGTTCCTAGCCCTGCCTTCCCCATCTTTGGCATGGGTTTCCACAAGTCATCCCTGAGGTACAGCCCTGAATTACAGCCCAGGGCCCAGCAGGAGGGCATCCTGGGGGCTGAAGGAAGATGTGAGTGCTGGAGGTATCCTTCGGAAAGGGCTGAAGCCAGAGGTAGTGGGGCTTGGGTGGCTTGCTTCTATATCCTTTGAATACTTGTAGGACATTCTTTTAAACATAAGGTATGGATTAGGGTTGAATATCAGGTTGCAAAATCAGGTACATAAGAAATACTCACTTATTTCTCTTCTTTACATAAACCTGAATCTGACCCTCAGTCCCCAGGGAGCTGAGACTATATTTTAGGCACTGTTGGAGCTCCCTCTTCCCTAGGGTTCTATGAGTTTCCTGGGGTTTCAGCAGACTGTTGTGATTTTCTCTGGGAATCCCACTGCTGCATTCCCTTTAGGTCTAGTGATTCTGCTGCTGCTTTCTCAGGCTAGGAGCCATTGTCACAGCCCAGCCAGCCCAGGTGCACCACCCACAAACCCCCCCGGGCCTGCCCCTCCTCAGGTACTGCCACGGAGGAGTGTGGCACCAGCAGATCCATACCTCCCACCTTCGTAAAATGGGAGAACCTCTCTCCTCACCATCTTAGCCTTCAAAAGCACACCCTTCTTGGCCCAGTCCTTCCAGACCCCAGCATTCTCTCTTAAGTAAGTTTAGAGTTAGAAAAAACAAAGGAGGAAGGAAGGAAGCCTTGATTTCAAGCAGCTTCTTCTATTTTTCCTACACACATTTCTAGAGCAGAAAAATACAAAAAGCTTAGTGAGTTTCCAGATTGGAAGGAGGAGGAGTTGGGAGAACACACACACAGGTGACACACATGCACATGCACACACACACACGCGCACACACACACACACACACACACATTTCACCCAACTAGCATGTCATGGAAGCAGCACCGTCTCCAGGGTGGTCCTGGCCTGTTCCTTCACACCATGGGGCCTTTCCCTGTGGGTTCCTGCCTTGCTCTAACTGCTCATGTGTCTAAAGGGAGGGTTGAGGTCTGTTTGGGTTGAATGGTGTCTCCTAAAAAGATAAGTTGAAGTCCTAACCCCTGATATCTGTAAATGTCACACTTAATTGAAAATAAGTATTTATAGAAATGATCAAATTAGGATGAGGTCAGGCTGGTCATATTGGGTTCTAACCCAATACGACTCGTGGAGGCAAAGATACATACACACATAGGGAAGGAGGCCACATGCAGATGGCAGTGGAGATTGGGGCAATGCAGCCATAAGGCAAGGAATGCTGAGGATTGTCAACAGAAACCAGAAGTCAGGCAAGGCAAGTTGACGGGTTCTTCTCTAGAGCTTTTGGAGACAACGTGGCCCTGCCAATACCCTGATTTTGGACTTCTAGCTTCCAGAACTGTGAGACAATAGGTTTCTGTTGTCTTAAGCCACCCAGCTCATGGTAATTTTTAATAGCAGTTCTAGGAAACTAAAACCAGGTCAATTACACATCAGTACCCTGACCCCATCACCTACCCAGGTTACCTTTTCCACACGAGCTCTGTAAGTATTGGAAGCTTTGCTTTCTTCTGTTTTTTTGTTTTGTTTTGTTTTTTTGAGATGGAGTCTCGCTCGGTCGCCAGGGCTGGAGTGCTGTAGCACGATCTCGGCTCACTGCAAGCTCCGCCTCCCAGATTCACGCCATTCTCCTGCCTCAGCCTCTCGAGTAGCTGGGACTACAGGCATCCACCACCAGGCCCAGCTAATTTTTCTGTATTTTTAGTAGAGACGGGGTTTCACCATGTTAGCCAGGATGGTCTCAATCTCCTGACCTCATGATCCGCCCACCTCGGCCTCCCAAAGTGCTGGGATTACAGGTGTCAGCCACCACGCCCGGCCAGCGTTGCTTTCTTCTAAGGGAGCTGGCATTTACTACTTGTCCACTCTAACTAAGAAGTGGGTTAGGCATCATCCTGTACAACATTTTGTCTAATGTCCCACCATCCCATGAGTTCGAGATATTGTCACTTGTTTTTGAGAAAACAGAGTCCCAGAGAAGTGAAGCAACTGGTCCAAGGTCATGTGAGTTTTATGTGGCTGAGGAGTCAGGCTTGATGTCCAGGCTAGAGAAATATATATTGCAGACATGGTACTGTTGTCAACTAAGCATCTTTAAAAATTGTTTCTACTTGCAGTCATGATTTATGATGGCAAAAATAATGTGTATTCATTGTTGAGAAAATGCTCAATAGAGATAGCTATAAAGAATGAAATGAAAGTCATATGTTCACACAAACTTGCATAAATATGTATTTTGCTATTTAATACTTTTTTCTTTAGCATTTTCCCATGTCATTAAATGTTCCATAAAACCATGTTTTCTAAAGGTTTCATAGTTTCCCATTGCAATGACTGTTCCACGATTTATTTCATCACCCCATATTGTTGCATATTTAAGTCCTTTCCAGTTACTCCTGAATCATGTTGCGGTGAGTATTCTTGTACATACATCTCTGTGCTCATCTCCAATAGAAGTTATCGAATTTGTTTTCATATGTATATATTTCTGTATTCCCTTATATACCCAAAACAGAATGGTTGTGTATTATCTTTGACATCTGGAGAAGGAATATCATCCACATGGCAAACATGTAGTCCTGGACATTTGCCCATGACTTGATGGTTGGGAAAATGCTTTGCAAATTCTGAAGCACTAAACACAAGCCAGGCACTGTCGATGGTCCCCTGATTGCACCTTGTTCTAGCTCTTAGCTTAGGTACTCCCTGGGCTTTAGCAAGAATAGTGTTGGAAATATTGTCGAATAGAATGGTCCAAGCACTAGTCAATCCAGGTGGATGCTAGCTGTAAAAAGCTGTGTGGGCTCCCTCATGTTTATTGGATGAACTGCAAGCTTGTTCACGGGCCATAAACAGAGCTAGCTTCGGTTCTTGTAGGCAGGAACAACATTGTATTTATATTTGTAACCGCAATGCTGGGGCTTAGTAGGTAGCGGCAAATGTTTGTTAGATGATTTGCTCTTATTAATAATTGAACTTTCTCATGATGCGACCCCAGCATGTATCTTGAGCCTCAGTGCCCCCTCCTGCCCTTTTCTCTTTCATTTCCCCTTCTGTGTAATCACACGAGAGCAGCCTTTGTGTTATTGTTTTGGGAGTCCAGTCTCCAACCCTGTTTCTTGATTTGGGGTATCTCTCATTGTGTTGAGTCTCAGTGGATTGTGTAGCTCGCTGAGAGGTGAAGATGCCAGCTGCTCATCATTTCCTGGCAGCCTGGGTGTGGCTGAATAGGTAACCTGGATGCAGCAGGTGGACCCTGCTGCCCAGGACTTTTCATCTAGGAAGGATGGGCCAGCAGCCAGAGGCTGGAGAATTGGGGTGTGCAGTAGTAGGGGTGGTGTCTGGCCATGGTGTTTGTGCTACAAAGTTGCTGGACTTCTTGCTTGTTGATCTCCCAGAACTCCCTTTTTTTTCTGCTTATTTTTCAGGCCTGATCCTTCAGCTTTCTGTTCATTATGAGCTTCTCAATATTCCAGAAACTTCGTATTTTTTAAAAGATAGTCATAGTTGATATCTCTTGTTTCAACCACAAACCCTACAGGTCACACTGTCGTGCCTTTGTACTTGCTGATCCCTAAGGCTAAGAGCACAGCTCCACTTTTCCTTCCTCCTAAATCAAACCCCGGCACAAATGTCACCTCCTCCAGGAGGCCCTCCCTGACTCCCCTCACAGCGCTTACCTCTCTACTATGCTTCTGTAGCTGAGTTTATCACATGTTGTCTCTGATTCCCTACTAGGCCTGTGAGTGGCTGCAGGGTATGGACTGCCTCTCGTTGCTGAATTCCTTGTATCCTGCATGGGGCCTGGAATAAGGAAGGCGGTTATTTAAAAATAACTGAATTATTGTTAAAGTTATTCGTGTTGGGAAAGTTGGGAGAAAGTGGTTTCAGGAGGACCCTAAAGGGGCTGCCACTTGCTTTGGCATTTTCGTGGCACCTGGGGCATCTGTAGCTTTCATGTCTTGAGCCCGACTCTGAGCTTGACGAGGCTTTGGTCAGGATGGGCCACTTGGTCCCAGGTCCTGATTGGTCTGGGTTCTTCTGCTCTGAAGTTGGTCCCAGGATCCTTCGGGCAAATAAAGAGACACTGGGGATGATCCCTTCCTTCGCTCTGGGGCCTGGCACACTCTCATGAATGTGTGGCACTGCTTGTGACACATGTAACTGGCTCCTCTTGGAAAGATGTAATCTATTCTCAGATTGACCTACTCTTCCTTTAATGTGAGGCTTACAATAAAATCATATGGAAGTATGGGCCTTTAAGTGTCCTTAATCACACCTGATATTATTATTGATTGGTTTAAAGTTGTAAGTTCTTATGTTCCCATTTAGCAATTGTTGAGTCAGTACATTTTTTTCTTTCCTCTTTAATGACAAAATATTATATATTTATTCTTAAAAAATGCTGAGTTTGAACATATAAGTTACCTCTCTCCACCCTGATTACAGTTAGCCTAAATATCACCATTAACATATTGATGTGTTTTGAGAGAGAAAGGGAGAGAGTGAAGGAGGATGGAGAGAGGGAAGGAGGAAGACAGAGAGTATCTGTATGTGGTAATAGTAATAGAGACGTACTACCTATGTAGTGCTTACTATGTGTCAGGTACTATCCTAAGTACTTGAAATATAGTAACTTATTTAATCTTTGCAACAGTCCTCTGATGTAGATGCTGTTATCTGCATTTTACAGATCAGGAAACCTAGGCACAGAAAACTTGAATGACTTGCCCAGGTCATCGTTAGCATATGGTGGAGGCAGGACGTGCCCTTGGAAAGGGTCCAGGCTGTGCTCTGGACAGCTGCACTGTGGCCACTTAGGAGTGTAGACAGTGAATAGAATCATAGCTCCCAAACTCTTCTGTCATCCATCTCTTTTTATGCCACTGTATTCAGAGTTAGTTTTCACCTTCCAAGGCTACATGATATTCTCCTGGGTGAATGAACCATGGTTTATTCAACTAACACCTAAGAGATAGAGGTGGGAGAAGAAAGAAATGCCAGAATGCCTTCTGTGTGCCCAAATAAAAGACAAGATCTTTGTCTCCAAACAGCTCTGAGAAAAGTTCTTACAAAACATCTCATATTATAAGATGGTTTTTCGTGTACTTGGAGCTACAAAATTAATTGTAGAAACTACATTAGCCTGCAGTGACCCCAATCAGTGCTAGTTTGGGATGTTTACAGGGATCACAGAATTGATAGAAAAGGCAAGGAAATTGAACGCAGGTTTAGTAATTATTCCGGAGGATATGAGCAAGTAATGACGAGTGTTGGTGATGGTTATGAACAAGTTTCCTAACAATGTCCTAACAATGGCTTTGAAAAGCAACATGATGTCCTTTTGGTGATCAGAATATACAGCTGCCAGATAAATGGGAAAACCTGTCTGTGCTAATATCCACATAGATGCTTGCCTTGACACTCAGTTTTCTGTGACATCATACCTAGATTCAAAAAGTATTATATTCCAAATGGTGTAATGGGAAGTGAAAGTGATGGAGACTGGCATCGTTCAACTAAAAAAGTGCTTCTTCTGATGACAAACACTGCTGCATTTGACGAGTTAGAATAAAGGGGTTGTCTGGGAGGCAGAGGTTGCAGTGAGCTGAGACTGCGCCATTGCCCTCCAGCCTGAGCAACGAAAGCAAAACTTCATCTCAAAAAAGAAAGGAAGAAAGAAAGAAAGAATAAAGAGGTTCTAAAGTCTATGTGAATGGATAATAAACCACTATGTCTTTTAACCTAACATGTGTATACCACTTCCTGGACAGTGTTCTAAGGGCTTTACATGTTTTTACATCGTTTAATACTTCAACAACACTGTGAGCTGGATGTTATTATCACCCTTATTTTAAAGAGGAGGAAACTGAGGCCCAGAATGTCAACTCTCTCAAAAGTGAGTTACAGTAAATGGAGGAGCTGAGATTTGAATTCAGGCCGTCTGGATCCAGAATCTGTGCCCTGAACCACTCTCTATTTTTCAATTAATATTTTATGAAACGTGATTTTAAAATGTATGTGTAATTAAATTGTATATTAGATACCATAAGTGGACTTTTGCCTAATTCAATCATCTGTACACTTAAAATTGTATTTATTAAAGTTGCCCGAAAACTTTTTTTTTGAGGAGAGGATGTCTTCTCACTGGAAAAATGGAAGAAATGCTTTACTTTTAATGGAGGGTTGATCCTGTCAGTTTGTTGAATTGTCTAAGTCTGTCAGTGTCTCTGTAAATGCAGATACAGTGAACCTGCATGTTGTTCGGAGTAAATTCTTTGAAAAGGAAGCATCACAAAAACAGTCGTGTGTCAGCGACACATTTAACAGGACCACAGAGATGACGTTCTTCAAGATTCCTCTGTTTCCTGCTGCTTCAACTTTAGCCACTCCCAGGGCAGCCGGAGAGGAAGACGTTGCTGAGAATCATCCTGATCATGGTGATGCTGGCTGGATGCTGATGCTAGGCGATGTCTTCGTGGACCATTCAACCGATTGGGCTGCTGCAGGGGCTAGAGCTCCTGCAAGTGAACCTTTCATTTTTAAATGTGTGATCTGTCTTTTCCTTAGTAAAGAAACAGGTTTTCATTATGCTTTGGCTATTATAGTAATTTGAATTACAAATATGCATTCTAAGATATTTGGTAAGAAAAGGAAATAGTTTAGTATAAATATAGTCTTTTTTCCCCAGTTTAGTAAAAACAAGATGGCTGAGATGTCTCTAAAAAATAAAGTCCAACAATCTGGAAAATCCAGTAATCCATTGAGGTCCCATTTGCCATATCTAATCTGGTGGTCATTAGCCGCACATGGCTACGGAGTACTGGAAATGTGGCTAGTCCTGTAAGTGTAAACTACACACCAGATTTCAAAAACTTAGTATGAAAAAATCATGTAAAAACATCTTATTAATAATGTTTATGTTGATTACATGTTGAAATGATTATATTTTAGATGTATTGGGTTAGATAAATTATTAAAAGTAACCCATTTCTTTTTTACCTTTTTAAATGTGCCTATTAGAAAATTTAGAATTGCATACGTGGCTCACATTGTGTTTCTATTGGTCAATACTCTCCTAGATTATTAGATTTTTATGACGTCACTTGTATTCCCACCAACAGGGATATCTCTCTTTGAGAATAGTAATAGCTAGCATTTATAAAGCACTCATTCTGTGCCAGGTGCTTTAAAGCCTTGTTTCCTTTATGGTTCACAAAACCCTATGCAGTGTAGGTAACATGTGTTCCCACTTTATAGATGGAAAATTGAGGCACGAAGAGATTAAGCAACTTGCCCTTCATCATAGAGGTTGGAAGTGCTGGGAAGGGGATTTGAACCAAAGCAGCTCAAGTCAGTGGCACCCACTGATGACTCCCAGGCATCCACCTTTTAGCACATGGACATAACACTTCTGTCTCTGCCTTGCTCTGTTGACTTGAACCTCTGGACCTCAGTTTTCCTACCCAGGATTGGGTGGAAACATGTGATTTTAAATATGTAGAACATATTAACAACAGAGCTACCTCAGGCCCCTCTAGCTCTGTTCTTCCTGTGGTTATTATTGTGGTTCTGTGTGGGCTGCAGGCACATGGTGGAATTGGGTAGGCATTATCTCTACTGCCAGGCCTTTGGTTAGCATGGCCTTCTGCCTAGTGGCTAAGGAAGCATCCCTGGGAACTCATCCCAGATCTGTCACTAACCTCAGACTTTGAGCTGCCTTTCTCTGGGCTTCCTACACCCACTTCTGTGAAATGGATCTAAAAATAAGGAGTCCTGGATTCTGTCCTAGCTCTGCCATTAACTTGCTCTGTGACCTTGGGCCACACATCATCCCTCCCTGGACCTTATTGACCATTGTAATATCAGAAGTCAGTTTCTTCTGACTCTAGCATTCTTTGACTTGTAATTTATGAATCAAGAAGAAGGCATTTCTAAACATAGGAATTTAGTGATACATTTATAAAACAAAACATTGGTGAAGACTCCTGTGGTCCTAACCCCTCCATTCGTCTGTCTGTCAAGCAGGGCAACTGCTTCTGCTTCTTTGCAGAGGAATTTGTCTTCATGAGTATATGGAGGTAGGGCACCTGACGTACAATCTATCCCTGAGAGCCCAGACCTTCACAGAAAGATAAATCTCCCAGTTGAGCTTAAGGCACGTACTCTGTTCTCACGCATCCTTGCAGAGCTGCAGTGATCTATCACATGCCCCATTAATTTCACAGGTACAACTCCAGAATTTATTTCCCCACAACTACTAATCAGTGAGACATTTGGTAATTGAGAGAAATTACCCTTTTCTAAAAAGACCTCCTGTTTTCCCTCTTCATCTACCTAGTTTTGACACTGTGCTCTGTGCTGACACGATCATACTTTATGTTTGGAAAGCAACAGATATTTGAGCAAACTGTTTTTAAAACTTTCCTCAAATCTGCCAATATCTTTTAAAATTGCTTCCTTTCCTAGGTGTTGTGTTTCCTTATTAAGAAACCCAAATTGCACTTTCTCAGGATTCAAAGCCTTGTAGTCAATGAAACAACTTGTGAAAGCTATGAACAAGCAAGAATATGTTATGTCTTTTAAGAACTCTGAGAGTGTCTAAGGTTAAAATAAGACCTATAGCTTCCAAGATCCTTCTAAATCATAGCTGCAAACATATATAAGCATGATGTGTCCATCAGTTTGGATTCAGGTAGGAAAACGGAAACCATTCTAGGTATTTCAATCAGGAAGGGGTTTAATACAGGGTATTAGAGGTTTATAAAACCTTTGAAGCTCTCACATACATGGTCAAATAATCTTCACTAAGGGTACCAAGACTACACAATGGAGAGAGAATAATTTCTTCAACAAATGGCATTTAGTAAATTGAATATCCACATGTAGCAGATCCTTAACTTACACCATACACAAAAATTAATTCAAAATGGATTAAAGACCTAAACATGAGAGTGAAAACTGTAAAACCCCTAGAAGAAAATGTAGGTAGAAAGTTTTATGATGTTGGATTTGGCAGCGATTTCTTGGATATAACACCAAAAGTACAGGCGACAAGAGCAAATATAGACAAATGAGACTATATCTAACTTAAAACTAATGTGTTTCAAAGGGAACAGAATTAAAAGACAACCTGTGGAATGGGAGAAAATATTTACAAACCTCTCTTGTAGGGTTACTATCTGGAATACATAAAGAATGCCTACCACTCAACAATAACAAAACAAATAACCTGATTTTTTTTTTTTTTTTAAAAAGGGCTGAAATAGACATTTGTCCAAAGAAGATAAACAAATGGTGAGAAACATGAAAATACGGCCAGGCACGGTGGTTCATGCCTGTAATCCCAGCATTTTGGGAGGCCGAGGTGGGCAGATCACCTGAGGTCAGGAGTTCAAGACCAACCTGGCCAACATGGTGAGAACCCCATCTCTACAAAAAATACAAAAATTAGTCAGGCATGGTGGCGTGTGTCTGTAATCCCAGCTACTCACGAGGCTGAGGCAGGAGAATTACTTGAACCCGGGAGGTGGAGGTTGCAGTGAGCCAAGATTGTGCCACTGCACTCTAGCCTGGGTAACAGAGCAAGCCTCTATCTCAAAAAAAAAAAAAAGAAAAGAAAATATGTTTAGCATCACTAATCATTAGAGAAATACAAATCAAAACCACAATGAGATATCACCTTACACCCATTAGGGTGGCCACTATAAAAAGACAAACAAAAAGAAATAAACGTCAAGCATCTGGAAAAATTGGAACCTTTGTACATTGTTTGTGAGAGTGTAAAAATGGTATAGTCTATATGGAAAACCAAAAATAAAAAATAGAACCACCATATGATCTAGCAATCCCAGTTCTTGAAATAGAATCATGTATCATTTAATGATGGGAATACATTCTGAGAAATGAGTCATTATGCAATTTCATCATTGTGTGAACATCATAGACTGTATTTTTGTAAACCTAGAAGCTATAGCCAACTATCCACCTAGGACCACCTTCATATGTGCAGTCCGTCATTGACGGAAACACCATTATGCTGCACGTGACAGTATATCTAAAATAATTGAAAGCAGAATCTTGAAAATATATTTACACACTCGTTAATTGTAGCATTATTCACAGTAGCCAAGAGATGGAAGCAACCCAAATGTTCATCAACAGATGGACGGATAAAGAAAATGTGGTATACGCATACAATGGAATATTACTCAGCCTTAACAAGGAAGGAAATCCTGGCACATGCTACAACATGGATGAACCTTGAAGACCTTATGTTATGACAGATAAATCAGTCATCAATAACATGTACTGTATGATTGTACTTATGTGATGTATCTAGAGCAGTCAAACTTACAGAAATAAAAAAATAGAATGATGGTTGCCAGGGGCTGGGGAGAGGAGGGAGATAGGGAATTGTTCAGTGGTGTCTTAGACCATTCATGCTACTATAAAAGGTACCACAAAATGGGTAATTTATGAATAATAGAAATCTGTTTCTCACAGTTCTGGAGGTTGACAAGTCCAAGATTAAGGCACCATTATGTTTGGTGTCTGATGAGGACCCCATTTCTATTTCAAAGATGGTGGCTTGAATGCTATGCTGTCACATGGAAGGACAAAAAGGGCCTACCTAGTTCCCTCCAGCTCTTTTATAATGTTGCTATTCCCATTCATGAGGGCTCTGACCGCATTACTTAATCATCTTCTAAAGGCCCCAACTCGTAATACTGTCACTTTAGAGTTTAAGTTCCAACATGTGAATTTTGCAGGTACACCTGCACTTAAGCCACAGCGTTCTCCTCCAGATGCCCCAAAATCCATGTCCTTCTCATATACAAAATACATTCATTCCATCTCAATAGCCCCAGAAGTCTTACTCCTGTATCAGCTTTAAAGTGTAAGTCCAAAGTGTCATCTAAATTAGATATGATTCATCTTGAGGCAAATTGCTCTCCAGCTGTGTGCCTGTGAAATCAAATTGTATACTTCCAAAATACAATGTTGGGACAAACACAGGATAGACATTCCTATTTTAAAAGAGATAAATAGGGAAGAAGAAAAGGTAATAGGTCCCAAGTAAGTATAAAACACAAGAAGACAAACAGCATTAAATCTCGAGGCTTGAGAATGATCTTCTTTGACTCTACGTCCTGCCTTTTGGACACCGTGCAGCAAGGGTGGGCCAAAGACCCAGGCAGCCCCATTCTTCATGGCTTTGCTGGGCGTGCCCCACAAAGCAGCTCTCAGTGGTTGGGGTTGGGTGCCTGTCTCTCTCCCAGGCTTGTGTTGCGTGATGGTGGCTCTACAGGTCTGAGGTCTCAAGGGTTGCCCATCTCCATGGCTCCATGGAACATTGCCCTAATAGGGGTTCTCTGCAGTGGCTGAATTCCCATGTCTCCAGGGAATTGCACTAGTGAGGGTTCTCAGAGCAGCCCCACCCACCCTGGCAGTTCTCTGCCTGGGCACTGAGGCTCTCCAGGGCATCTTTTGAAATCTGGGTGGAGGTAGCCATGCCCCCACAGCTTATGCACTCTGCACACCTGCAGGGTCAACACCATGTGGATGCCACCAAGGTTGACTGTTTATGCCCTCTGGAGGGGAAGCCTGAGCCACACTTGGGCTCACTTGAGTCACATCTGGGGCATCTAAGGAGCACTACACCAGAATTCAGTAAGCAGAGACTTGAGGTGGCACAGAGCAGCGAGTGCTGAGGTCTCATGGGTGCCCAAGATCCCTTTTTTCATACAGTTTTGTCCCCCAGGCCATGGCATTCTGGGCCTGTGATGAGAGTGACAACTTTAGAGATCTTTGAAATGCCTTCGGAGTCATTCTTTCATTGTCTTGATAAATAGCATCTGGCTTCCTTACACCCATACTAATAACCCTATCAGGCATCTTAATATTTTTATCAAACATTGACTCAGCCACACTGTTGGTATTCTCTCCATAATATACCTTTATGTCCTGGCCAGGCTGGGAATTTTCAAAATCTTTAAGCTCTGCTTCCCTTTTACTTATAAATTCATCTTTAATTGATTTCTTATCTCACTTTTACTATAAACAGTCAAGAGAAGCCATGTAGCACCCTCAACACTTTGCTTAGATACTTCTTTCACCAGATATCCTAGTTTATCACCTGCAAGTTCTCCCTTTCAGAAAGCATTGAGACATGGGCATGATTCAGCCAAGTTCTTGGCTATCTTGAAGACTATGAGTTTTCCTCCAGTTTCCAATATCTTATTTCTTGTTTCTGTCAGAGACCTCATCAGAATTGCCTTTACCATCCATATTTCTACCATCATTCTGTTTGTGACTATACTTATAATATCTAAGAAGATTGAGCCTTTCTCTCCAGCTTTCTTCTTTTGAACCTTTGCCAGAAACACCCTTAATACTCTGTTCACAATAATCTAGACTCTTTGCAGCATGAATCTCTAAAGTCTTCCAGCTTCTACTCATTACCCATTTCTAAAGCCACTTCCACATTTTATGTATTTGTTACAACACTCTACTTCTCGGTATTAATTTCCGTCTTGTCCATTCATATTGCTGTAACAAAATGCCACAAAATGTGTGATACATAGGCTGGGTGCAGTGGCTCATGCCTGTAATCTCAGCACTTTGGGAGGCCAAGGCGGGCAGATCACCTGAGGTCAGGAGTTTGAGACCAGCCTGGTCAACATGGTGAAAACTCGTCTCTACTGAAAATACAAAAATTAGCCAGATATGGTGGCAGGCACCTGTAATCCCAGCTTCTTGGGAGGCTGATGCAGGAGAATCGCTTAAACCTGGGAGGTGGAGGTTGTGGTGAGCCGACATAGTGCCTCTGGACTCCAGCCTGGGTGACAGAGTGACTCTGTCACAAAAAAAAAAAAAAAAAAGGCCATATGTAAATTTTTAAATTTATGTCTCATAGTTCTGGATGCTGGGAATTCCAAGTTTAAGATCAAGGTGCCAGCAGGCTCAGTGTCTGGTGAGGGCCCAGTCTTTGCCTCTGTCATTGGTGAAGACTGAGCTGGAACCCTGCCAGAAAGTAAGATGTAGTTTCTAGGCTTCCAGCCCCAGTGATATGTGGGTGAGCTTAGGAGGGTAGGAATGATACAAGATACCATGACACAATTCTCAGTACAGTGTACTCTAAGTGAGTAAAAAAAAAAAAAAAAAAAAAAAAAAATCTGTGTTCTTTTCACATAGAAGAAATGAACAGAAGTGTGAACATTGAAATCAGGCTGATATTAGTTGGAATGCCAATTCTACTAGTGACTAGCATTCTGATATGGAGCTGGTTTGGTAACCTGTCTGAGCCTCATGCTCGTCTCTAAAATGAGGATAAGGGACAAGAGCCTCATAAGACTTATGTGGGGAATTAACTAAAATTTCACATACAAAGCACCTTGTACAACAATGGATATTTTATGGCCACCCTACCTTGCAGTCACTTTAGAATTTTGATGAGGAGTTTCCAGCACCAAGAGGTGTCTACTTCCAGTGAGATACCTCAAAGTATGTGGTATGTTCAGAGAATAACAAGTAGTCCTTACATGGTAGGATGACAGTGATGACATTAGTATCAGGTAGCATTTTGGAGCATCTGTTTTCATGGCACTGTGCTGAGCACTTTATACTTGTCATCTTTCTTTTATTAAGTCTTTACAACAGCCTTTTGAAGGAGCTAGTGGTAACAGCCCATTTTACAGTTCAGAAAAATGAGGCACACAAAGATTAAGTAATTTATTTAAAATCACACAGAAGTGGCAGTGTGATTTTATCTAAAATCACACGTAAGTGGCAGAGGCAAATACTCAAACCAATACTCTTGAATAATGTAGTATTCTAGGAAGGGATACCATGGTCATGTGGCATAGGATGAGATGTGATGAGAAGGGAGGTTGGGGCCACAACTTGAAGGATGTTGCATGATAAGAGTGAGGATTCATCAGAGATTAAGTCAGGGAATGTTTGATCAGATTTATCTTTTAGGATAACCACTTGTTGGCCAGTGTGAAAGGCAACTTGGAGCAGCAGGGAGCCTGTGGTGGGAAGGAAGGCAGTGGACCAGGAGGGAACTGATCAGGCATGAATGGGGATGTTAGCTGTAAAAATGGGGAGGAGGAAAAGGGGGTTGGAGGTATCGGTGAGCTCAAGAAAACTTGGTGAAAGAGATGAACAAAGATACTGGATTTGGGTGTGGAGTCAGGTGCCTATTCTTTGAAGTTCTGTGACTCTAGCCAAGCCACGTGGGTTCCATTTCCTCATCTGTATATTACACACATACCTATAGAGGTGTGCTAAAAATGGCCAGGATGCTCATGCAGAGACCCTACCTCTGTGCCCACAATACTGGGTTCTTAGCAAGTGAAAGTGTTGGCCCAGTGTTTGATGCTTACCAGACCTTGGGTCTCAGTGAGCAGGTAGACTGAACATCTGCATCAGAATCACCGAGGGTATTTTTAAAAAGCAGATTCCTGGGTCCTATCCCAACATGTGGCACTGGGATGGGGCCCAGGAAACAGCAGGCAATTTTAGTACATTGATCTTGAGAACCACTGGGTGTTTGGGAAGCTAGGAAAGGGGTCAAGGCCAGGGTCAAGATTTCACAGGAGAAAGGGAAGAGCAGAGGGGAGAGAGCAGAACTCTGCACATTGCCACAATCTAGGGTGTGGGTAGAGGAATGGGAGCCTGAGAAGGAGACGGAGGGAGTGCATTCCTAGAGGAAGACAGGAATAAGCCGGCATTCCACCAGGAGCACCCAGCTCCTTCCCTTCTTCTTTCCCCTGCGGAGAATTGGCACCCTGGGACACCTCTTTGTTGGAGCTGTTGCTTGCATCCCTGTAGTTTCTTCCTCTACCTGCTGTACTTTGCCATCCCCTTGTCATCACTGCCATGTTCTTTCCTTTGCCTTGGAGACCACTGGGTCTCAGAATCCCATTGTTCTTCCAGCCCCTGTCCCAGGTCAGGCAGTGCGGGAGCTCAATACAGAGGAGCTCTGTGTAATTTTGCATTTAACACCCATCTTCCTCAATGAACTATAAGCTCCATCAGAGCAGGAAGCAACTTTTCCATTCACAGCTATGTGTCCTCAGCTCCTAAAACTGGCACCAGAATGCCCTCAATGAATATTGAATAAGTGAGTTAGGGGATGAGTGAAGTGTTCAGCTATTTGGAAACAGATTTAAAGGAAACAGAAAATCTGAGGTGGCTGAAACATACACTTGTGGTTCAGAGCATGGTGCTCAGTGGGTCTCAGGAGATCCGGGTCTGCTGTGCTGCTGACCTGCTGTGTGGCCTGAAGCAAGTTGCTTAGTCTCTCTGGGCTCCAGTGGCCTTAACCTATACAAGGAAGAGCCCTGATTAGGTAATACTCCCAGTTTTCTAACTCTAATACCACACAGGTTCTATAAAGCAGTTCTGCTGTGGCATACTTTGTTCATTACTGCAACCAGGGACCACATGAAAAGACTTCACAATACAGGAATGAAGAGAGTCTTGACTGCACGTGGAGGTGGTAGCAGCATGGAGCAGATGGGGCCTGGCAGGCCAGAGAGCCACCTGGAGTATAGTTCCAACCTCTGGAAAATAAATCTTATTTTTCTTTTCTGGGTGATGGCAACAAGTAGAAGAAAGCCTGAATTTAACACTCCATGCTGATTGAAAAAATTATCTGATTTTGACCATTTCAAACAAAATGTCACCTTTACAAGCCTGATTTTTAGATTTGTGCTAAGTTTTTAGACTTTGCAATATGGAAAATAATAACAGAAAGGTTATTGCCTGAATTGAAAGACTACTTTCCTGTGTTTGAAATAAAACTTTGATAACCTTGGTCTTTGATTCTCTGTACAGTTGAATTTCAGAAAAGAGATTCCAGAGGCATATACACGTTCAAGGTTCAGGGACACTATAGCCAGAGGGACTAGTGTGGGGGACCTTGAGCAAAGCTATTGAGCAAAGTTTCTCTATGGCTCAAGGTTTTCTCTTACTTATAAAATGAAGGTCATGCAATTGGGACACATAGGGATTGAATGACAAACATTTGAGAACACACAGAACAAAATGTTTGGTGCGTGGACCCATGTTGGGTCTCCTCCATCACCATCAAGCAGCTTCTTCTTGTCCTGTCTCAGAGCTGGGACTCAGCATGGAGGTGCCTTGGTAACCTGTGTACTGATGGAAAACCCTGAGGACTTGTTAGGCCTGCCATCCCTCTCCTCTCTCCCCTCTCCCCTCCTCTCTCTGTGTGTGTGATTACATGTGTTTAACACTAGGTGGGCTGTAATGTTCATCATCGCCTACTGGCCTTCTTTGAAGACCTGAGGCCCCTTATATTGAGTGGCTGCTGGAGGTTCTTTGTCCAGTGTGTGCTTACTGAGACTCAGCAGAAGGCCCTGGAGTGGCCAGACCTTGTCATTTTAGTCCTGGCCTGGGGCAGAAACGCCCACACAGGGTCTCACTTGCCAATGTCAGGAGTGGATAGAGGAGAGCCATCACTTGATTGAGAGAGGGGACCTCAGTTTGCAGAAAAGGGACAGGAACAGGGCTGAAGGGTCCTTTGCAGACTACAGCATCCTGGCCAGGTAGCTGGAGCGACTTCCTGAACACCTGTCAGCTCCTGACTCTTCAGACTTTACAGGGACCCCTGGTATCTCTTTCCTGCCTTGGAGAAAGCTGCAGAGGTGGGGCTGGACCCCAGGGTCATCTCCTCTTGAAAGAGATGTCACATCATATGGTAGCAATATCCTCTGACTGAGATCTGGGGCTTTTCATGGTCTGCCCACTTTCCTCAGATCCTTTACAGCAAGACCAGCTTTCAAGTCCACCCTTTTCAAGATCCGTGTGTTGTAATTAGGGGGCAGGGAGTCAGGTTAGGGGATGGAGTTTACATCCCTCTAAAACCCAGGAAGAAGAAATGAGGAGCTCACGACCACTGACATGTCCACTACTTTAATCTTACTTAGGAAATGATTTTAATGAATCCATAAGTTTTTAGGGTTGGATCTTGTTCATCAGTTACTACTCATGAATTCGTGAGCATTTGTGATCTAAAGTCTGAACATCACTATGGCTTGACTCTTGTTCTAAAGAGGAAGAAAACATCTGCATTGAATGATCTCCAAATACAAGGCTAGACCATCCTTCCCTGCTCTCATTTCTAGATAGTCACAAACAGAGTAGCACCTGGATGGACCTCAGGCAGGGATGTAGTCTCCTGTCCTGATTCTCTGCTGGAAGTTAGCATTCTGTGGTGTAGATGCAAGAAAATAGGTGTCCTTCGTGGTCACAGCTGCTGTAGGCACTTCATTCACATTTACAAAATTTTAAGATCATGTCCTCTTCTTTTCTACCAATATAACTACAAGACCTCACGCTTTGCTAGAGCTCAGGCACTGCCAGGTGTCATCATGAGGAGAGCACGGGATTTCCTATCACATGAATCTAGGTTTGAACCCTGGCTCTGCTGTTCACCAACCTGTTACCATCTACTACAGAGGACTTCTCTGAATCTCAGTCTCTTTCTCTGGCAAGTGTGAATGGGAGTACAAGTCTGCCTTACCCCATTAGTGTAAGAAGCCATCAAGATAGTAGAAGTGCATATGCTTTGACAGCTCAGTGTCTCTGTATGGGTTAGTTTTTGCCACTATTATTGTAACCTTGAAGAACAGCTGGGCCCAAGCTTCCTGTTATAAAGAAATACAGTGCTCTCAGCTAAAAAGACCACCCCCTGCTTACCCACCCAGTCCCTAAGAGGGTGGATTATAACTGTTGTGGCTGTAAACCCAGCCGATATGGGCTGTAATGTAGTAAATTATCACTTGTTTTGCAGTCTTGACGAGAAAAATAAATGCAATTACACTCATGAATGTTGAAAAATGAAGCAAAGCAATGCAGATCGGCACATTCGAGGTGCTTTTCCAAACGAAAAGCTGTGTACAATGAATGCTAATGGGCTCCCTCCCTCCCACTCTCTGGCATATGGTGTGATGTGATCTTTCTGAATTAAGAAAGCAGCTTTGCCAAGCACCCTGGCTATGGGAGAGGTGGTCATGAACAGCCCCCACAGTGGGAGACTCAGCAGGTGGACCCCAACTTCCTCTCTTGCTTGAGGACACACAATAGACCCAATTTCCTGGAGCAGGCACCAGAGTGATCCTGGTGCAGCCTCTCTGCTTCAGGAACTTGCCATCTATTTTGCAGTTCTTCTGCCATCCTGTGTGGCAAACATTTGCTGAACACCTACCATGTGCCAGGCATGATGCTGGGAGCTATAGAGATGAGTCTCAGATATCTTGCCCCTCTCAACCAAGGGAGGCCTTGTGAGCCAGGCCTGATGTGCACCATGTAGCCTTGAGTGGTTCAATACAGTGGCCTCCAGCACTTGAAATGTGGCCAGTTCAAACTGAGATGTACTCTAAATGCAAAATACACCAGATCTTCAAGTCTTTGTACCAAAAAAAAGGGTAAAATGTTGTGTTAATTTTTATATTGTTTATATGTTGAAAAGATAGTGTCTTGTGTGTGTGTGTGTGCGTGTGTATAACCTTTTGCAATATGGCAGGTAGAAAATTTAAAAGTATAAATGTGGCCTGCATTGTATTTCTGTTGGACAGTGCTGATCTAGCAGCTGCCTATCTCTTTATTCACATCCTCTGCCACATTCCCCCTTGCTGGTGATACCCTGGTCTGTTTTTTTTTGGTTTTTTGTTTTTTTTTAACCACACCAGGCTCTCTCCTGTCTCAAGGCTTTTCACTTGCCGAAGGCTCTTCTCAGCAAGAGCTTGCATGTCAACTCAACTCAAATGTCACCTTCTGTGAGCAGTATTCTCTGACTAGCCTTTTTGAATATGTACTCCCTGTTTTTTGTTTTGTTTTGTTTTGTTTTGTTTTATCCAGACACTCTTTCTAGTCCTTATCATAATATTTGGCATTTTATTCATCTACATGTTTGTGTAACTGTTTTCCCTAAGAGAACATAAGGGCAGAAGGCTTATCTGTTTTGTTTTATTTAGTTTTTTTTAATGTGTTCTGATCTCAGTGTCTAGCACAACAAGCAACACATAGTAGGTACTCAGAATTTTTTTTCTTAAATGAATGAATGAATAAGTGTCACGTTAATTTCACAAAAGAAAAAAATATTTTGATTATTTTGAGATGTTGAAAAATACATTTGAAAATACTTCCCACTGGGTCTTAATTTATCAATCAGTTAGGGAATGTCTAGGCAAGAAGCATGTGAGAGATGAATGATTTAAATGGGGTTTAATGAAATAGAGATTGGATCAGAATCAAGGGAATTAACAAGGGATAGTGAAGCACCCAGGGACTGGCAACTTTGGGAAGCCATTACCACCCTGGGTCTGAAGGGCAATGGTAGGAAATAGAAATGGTGCTAAAGTGTTAAGGGATTGCTTGACAGGCTATAGAGGAACACAGCCACCCCCTGGTCTTCTGTCCATGGCCAAACTCTGCCATTGGTTAAACTCAGCTAGAAGCAGAGAGTAAGGAAGCCTGGGAGATACAGACTACAGACCACTATGTCTAGGTTGGTGGGTGAAAGTGGTGATGGAGGAACAGAGAATAATCGTCATCCTTAAAAGACCTAGAAAGCTATTTCCTTAATGTGACGGAGCCTGTCTATTCCAAACTAACAACTGATATCCTAAAAATATAAGGATGCTCAGGACCACTAAAATTATTTAACATTTATTCAGGGATTTCTAGTAACAGAATGGGAAATATAATTATGGCATAAAGTTATTATTTGCAGAGGATTTTATTATCTACCAAAACCCCAAGAGAAATAATGAAAAACTATTAGAGCCCAATAAAAGAGTCTAATAAGGTGACTAGTTAGGGAATAAATATACAAAAATGAAAAATTTTCTAAATACCAATCACCAGTTAGGAAACATAATATAAAAGGATTCATTCTGTAAAAGCAACAAATATAAAAGCCTGAGGAATTGGCTTAAGAGACAATTTGCAGGAACTGTAGAAGGAATCTATAAAGCAAAACTGGGAAAACAAATAAGTAAACGGAGGTATTTCATTTCTGGATGGGAAGGCTTGGTATTTTAAAGCTGTCAATTTAAAATATTGAATGCATATTGCAATAGAAATGTATAAGCAATGTTATAAAATGATTTTAAGGTTTATCTGGAAAAATAAATGGGCACAGATCATCAAGCAAATGTTGAAAAGAGAATGATGGAGAAAGACTTCTACTTCCAAGTTTTAGAAATATATCCTGAAACTAAAATAGTTCAAATAGCTTATACCAATCTTAGAAGAGACAGATAGATTAACAGAATAAAGTATGTCCTTAAAACAGAGGGGTGTGTGTGTGTTTGTGTGTGTGTGAATGCATGCATGTGTACATGTTATAGACAAACTTCACATTTCTAATTAATGAGACAGGTCAAGATGAAATGATAATCCACCAGGGGAGGATGTGGGTTCTTCATACTATGTACCAAAATATATTCTGGATAAATGCAGTGCATTTCAGTTAAATGTAAAATTTGGAAAACATAGATGACATTTAAAGAATAAATAAATATTTAATTTTGGGGAGCAGGACAGTTTTCTGATGATACCATTGAAGGTACAGCCATAAAGAAAAATATTATATCTTTGTCCCTAAGAACCTAAACATCATGAAAATATCCATATCAAACTGGCTGGGCACGGTGGCTCATGCCTGTAATCCCAGCACTTTAGGAGGCCCAGGCGGGTGGATCACGAGGTCAGGAGATAGAGACGATTCTGGCTAACACAGTGAAACCCCGTCTCTACTAAAAAAATACAAAAAAAAAAAAATTAGCCGGCCATGGTGCCAGGTGCCTGTAGTCCCAGCTGCTCGGGAGGCTGAGGCAGGAGAATGGTGTGAACCTGGGAGGCGGAGCTTGCAGTGAGCCAAGATCGTGCCACTGCACTCCAGCCTGGGTGACAGAGCGAGACTCCATCTCAAAAAAAAAAAAAAATTAAAAAAAAAAATAAACAAACTGAGCTCAGATATGTGCATTATATGTGCAAAAAATGATTGATATAATTAACATGTAAAGAGGTTTTAAAAATCAGTAAAAGGAAAAATAATCCGGCAGACACACATCAGTGTTGGTGAGACCTCTGGCAACCAGGTGGCCATACACTGTTGGTATAAGTACAAGTTGGTACAATATTTAGGGACAACAACTTAAAAAGTTTCTGAGCAGATAAATGTACACTTTATGTCTTCATGACTTCATGAAATTCTGGGTGTGTGACCTATGACATGGTGCTTGACCTCCCAGAGTGTCAGTTATTCCGTTCATAACATGAGAAGATAAATCAACTTGCTTCACAAAGTGGCTGTGAGGGTCATTTGGGATGATTGGCCCAGGAAATCATTGGAGTTATGAAACCCTGAGAAAATGGTGTACCTTCTTGATTAATGTGGGGTTGTCACATTTTGCTTCTCTTCCCCACCCCCAGCCACTTGAACGCTATCTACTGGAGTCCCTTCTCCTGACGCTGCAGCTCATTGAGGCACAAAGGAGAGAGTAAGAGCCCTAAACCTTTGTCAGGGTAAGCAGGGCTGCACTGAGGGTGGGTGCTCAGCTGGGCTCAGTAAGTATTTAGTACCAACCACTTGTGCTAGGTGCTGGGGTGACAAAGACTCTCCCCTTGACCAAATTTTAGTCATGCTCCTCTGAATTCCCTTCTCAACTAGGCTTTGATTTTGGCTATCTTGTCTGTGGCCTGTCTAGCCCAGTTTTAGCAAGAACTCTGCTAGGTTAGCCTACTGAGGATCCCCCAACCCCTTGACATCTGTCAGTCCAGTTGGGCTTCTATAAAAAAGTACCATAAACTAATTCTTAGCAACAGAAATTTATTGCTCACAGTTGTAGAGGCTGGGAAGTTGAAGATCAAGGTGCTAGAAGATTCCATATCTCGTGAGATCTCTCTTCATTAAAAAATGACACCTTCTAGTTGTGTCCTCATGTGATGGAAGAGGCAAGGCAGCTCTCTGGGGTCCCTTTTATAAGGACACTAATCCCATTCCTTCATGACCTAATTCATCTCCCCAAAGTCCTCATCGCTTAATACCATCACCTTGGCGGTTAGCGTTTCAACATACGAGTTTTGGCCTCCACAAACATTCGGATGATAGCACTATCTGATCATCCTGGCCTGCCTTCGGTAAGAACCCTGGTAAGTTGTTTTAGCAAGAATCTCCCTACCCTTGTCTCCTCTTGGTAATTTTTCATCCACTCACTCTGTTCCTTGGCTCTAAATCCCCAGCTGTCTTTGTTATATTTGCCTAATTTCTCTCCTCCATTGCAATAATCTTGAATAATGTCTTCCTTACCATTTTAACAAGTGTCAGAGTAATTTTATTTTTAACAAGTGTTACCATGGCAGGTAAATCTCAGTCTGCCCCAAAGTAGCTTTGGGTCTAATAGGTAGACAGGTAGGCAGATCCATGATTGACTCTATGGAAGAGGAACACGTATTCATGAATTCAACAAACATGTACTGAGGGCCTGTAATATGCCAGGCACTGAGGATACAGCTTTGGACAAGATACTCCAGCTCCTTGCTCTCATGAATCTCACAGTCTGATGAGAGAGATAGATGATAAACATAAACAGAAACAGAAAAAGTAAAAAGGGGGCAGGTGTCATTCCTGGGATTGTAGAGGGAATAGGGGTCCCGCATAAACAGGAGACACCTTCTGCAGGAGAAGACATATGAGTTGAATCTCCAGTGAATTTAACTCTTGCTTGTGGGCTACAAGATTCGACAGGTTCAGAGCTCATCTAAGCATGTTTGTGAATAAGTACGATGTTGGATGACTCAGGAGCCAGCCTATGATTTGCCGATTGTGAGTAGGAAGACAGCTGAGGTTTCTAGAGGCAGCCCAGCTGAGAGGAGACACAGACAGGGAGATTATCCTAATAGGATTTCACAAAGACCACTTAGCAGTCGCTGAGCTCCAGGGAAAAACAGTTATGAGCTGAGGGTGGGGAAATAGTCAAGAATCTGGCAACTCCGCAGAAGCTCGGAGAGAAAAGCTGACAGCCGACAGACAGAACAAGATGATGCTTGCAAAAAGGTTAAAAGAATAGACAAGAGAGAAAAAATGTACGCTGAGAGATATGGATGGAAATGGAAGTGCATTAATATAACTTGGGGATATGGATTAAGATAATTCTAGCTCTAAGGAGCAGAGCTAGGACTTACTCATTACAGTACTTCACACTGTCAGGAAACTCTTGGAAACAGATGTGGGCAGTGGAAGGTCAGGATTTGGATGGAAAGAAAGAATGTGTGAATAGGCAGAAACAGGATAGCTAGTTCTAACCCCTACTCTTTAGAGAAAAAGAAAGTGAGGTTCAGATAAATAAAATGACTTTTTCAGAGTCATGCAACATAGTGAGTGCTAGAGCTAAGAGATTAGAACCTTGTACATTGCCGATGGGAATGCCAAATGGTGCAGCTAATGTGGAAAACAGTTGGCAATTTCTCAAAATTTAAACATCAAGTGACTATGTGACCCAACAATTCTGTTTGTTGGGCATGTAGCCCCAGAAATTGAAGGCATGTACTCAGATTTGATTCATGGTAGGTTTTCTGGCTAGTCCAGTGCCCCTTTTTACTGCACCCCAGCTGTTGCTTCCATCTTCCATTTTCTCTCCCTTTTTTCTCCTCCTTTTTCCCTCCCAACATCCTATCTTCATCCCTCTTCTTTCCTCTTTATACATGTAGGGTCAGGTTGGGGTCTAAGCTATAGCTTTGCCACTTAATAAATACGTGAACTTGGTTTTTATTGTCCTGTCATTGACGATGACTAGATGAGGGTCCTCCAGCCCTAATAGTATATGCATTTTTACATACTGTGCCGTCACATGTTCAGGAACTGCAGCGGATCTAGTATTGATGAGAGGACAGTACCTGGGAGGTTGCCCAGAAGACAACCCTGGGGGAACCTGGGGGTGTTGTCGAGAAGCTGATACACTCCCGGTCTTGAACAACTGTCATGTTTTCTCACCCTTTAATTGCTTGTTTCGTAGAGCTTAAATTCTCTTTAATTTTCCTGGGATTACAAAGCAGTGATCTATTTATGTTTCCTGGAGCATCTCTTCTTCCAGGGTGAGTTTTAAAAAAAAATCTTTGCGTGTGAAACCTACTGTGGGGGACACACAATCTTCCTTTAAGTCTTGTACTTTTCCCCCTCTACTTGACCACTATATCAGTGGGGGCAGTTACCTGATGGTGTTATTTGATCCAAATTGGTAATGCTGAATTTGCCTTTGCTATTTTCCCAATTTACTTGGTTACAGTTTGACTGCTCTCTTATGGGAGAGGAAATTGCTGAGGACTTGCAAAAAGCCTCTGGGGGCTTTGTCTCTAATCTGTCTCTAAATTTATTGAAATTCTGACACTAGATTTAGGTCTATTGAATTGTCAGTTGATCCTCTTCCTGGGGTGGGTGGTCCCCTAAAGCTTCAGTTTGCTCACCTGTTTCAAAATGAGTCAGCTGCTTTAATGAGAGGTCCTTCTGTTTCATGGACTTTTGTCGTTTGTTTTTCTAAACCCATTCATTTTCTTGTCTTTGCCCATTTGAGTCCTCATATGAGATAACTGGTTTCTGCCTGATAATTCCCAGAATGGCTCTGGGAAGGGATTTAGGGAAGGAGTCAATCCAAAATGGGAAAAACGAGCTCCAAGTGGAATATTCACACCTTTCCAATTTGTTCTCTTCAAATTAGGAGCTATATCATTCAGCTTTTCTGTCCATTACACATTTTTTTTTTCCTTGCCAACAGTACTTTTCCATCTTGAAAGGGAGGATGGGCTGGGTTCGATGGCTCATGCCTGTAATACCAGCACTTTGGGAGGCTGAGGTGGTCAGATTGCTTGAGGTCAAGAGTTCTAGACAAGCCTGGCCAACATGGCGAAACCATGTCTCTACTAAAAATACAAAAATCAGCTGGGTGTGGTGGCGCACTCCTGTGATCCCAGCTACTTGGGAGGCTGAGGCATGAGAATCCCTTGAACCCAGGAGGTGGAGGTTGCAGTGAGCCGAGATTGTACCACAGCACTCCAGCCTGGGTGGAGTGAGACTCTGTCTCCAAAAAAAAAAAAAAAAAAAAAAGCATGAACATAGATTACTCTTCTTTCATTTTGGCCCAGGTGGCACTTAAAACCTATAGCATGAGGTTGGGGCAGTTTCTGAGTTTCAGAATTAATAATATTTTTGTTGTTCATTTTAATTCATTTTGTTCATTTCAGTCAACTTTGAAGATGGAGGTTCTGTGAAATGGTGTGCAAACCACCATATTTTCTGGAATACCTGGCATTCTTTCCACTATACCATGCTGTGTGATTATAAATACACTCTTTCATAGCCAGTATGACATGCTCTTATTGGAAAAGGTTTCCAATGACTGTATTCACTGAAATGGCCTATTTATATATCAAGTGTGTGATTGGATATGTGCTTCCCTAAGACTAAAACAACAACAAACAAAAGGCCCAGATCCTGGGTTACCCAACGATGCTGCCAGGTCTCCCCTAGTTCCCTGCTCCCAAATGTTCATGTAAAGTTGCCACAGGAGGTCTCAGTAGTGAGCGCCTTCAAACTGGGCAATGGGATTAGGTTTTTAGAAGATGATTTCCTTGTTTTCATTTCGAGATCTTAATTTTATTGAAGATGCTTCTGCTGTTGGTGGTGCTGGTATAACTGATCTAATTTAATTTAATTTGCTTCTTTGCAAAGAAGGCAATCCCTTGCCCAGCTGCTGCTCTGGGCAGAGAGGAAGCAAGCAGGCTTGGAGATAAGCCATGAACTTTATCAGACCTCTCCAAGCTTTATGCTAATGAGCAATGCTTAGAGATTTCAGAATTTTTTCCCCCAGTGATTGCTTTAGCTACTGTACTGTTTCCTAGGCAGTAAGACATCATCATGAGTCTCTATAGGTGAGGGAGATGTGATCATCTGACTGGTCTGTTACTCTGCTTCAAGGTACCATGCCTGTGGTGGGTGCAAGGCACATGTCAGGTGGTGTTAGGAAGAGTTTCCCCCACCCATTCTGTCACAGTGTGCCTAGGGAAGCTTCCTGTGAGAATTCTGAGTGATAGCAGGTGTGGTAAGTTAAACAGTCCTTGATTAAACTCTGGTTGTACCTCCCTAGTTTCTTTCCTTTGTCAAGGTGTTCAAACTTGCTATGTCTTGGCCTCCTTAAACCATGCGTGAATAGGATGTGTGCTTCAAGGATAGAGTTCCTTATTCCTGTCTCTATTTTCAGTACCTAGTAAGGTGCCTGCCAGACAGTAGGCTTGGTAAGTATTTGCCAAATGAACGAATGAATGAACAAATAAAAGGAAACAAATGGGTACGTATGGAAAGGAAGATGGAATGTCACCATTACATCCTACTCTCCAGACAGAAACACTCTGGGTATAAGGAGATCCAGAGTCATGTTGTGACGAGGTATTGTGAGCCGTAATGGTACTGCAGGTCTCCCCAGTTCTACTCCAATGATTTGATTTGGTGGGTTGGAAAGGATTTGTTGACACAGATCTAGACATATATGTGATTTGATAATGGGTGGTACAGAATTAGCCCATTTTCCATCTGGTCCTGCCCAGATTTGCTCAGCCACGGGGTTAGTCTATTCAGATCCAGCTCAACTTTGCTGTATTTTAGGAGCCCATCTCTCAAGATAGTAGTGATTAAAGTCAGCCTGCTGGCGCAATCCTGGCATGCAGTCATTCTGAGGAAAACGTATACAAGGTTGTGATGGTTAATTCTGAGTGTTAAATTGATTGGTCTAAGGGATGCTCAGATATCTGGTAAAACATTAATTTTGGGTGTGCCTGTGAGGGTGTTTCTAGATGAGATTAGCATTTGAATCAGAAGACTTAGTAAAGAAGTCTACCAATGTGGGCAAGCTTAATCCAATCGTTCGAGCACCAGAATAGAACAAAAGGGCAGAGGAGTTCATTTTTTCTCTCTTTTCTTGAGCTAGGACTCTTCTCCTATGCATGGGCATTGGAGCTTCTGGTTGTTGGGCTATCAGACTTCCAGACTTACACCTTCTCATCCTGGGTTCTCAGGACTTTGGCCTCAGACTGAGAGTTATACCATCAGCCATCACCTCTTCTAGTTCTCAGGCTTTAGGACTTGAACTAAATTATACCACTGGCTTTCCTGATTCTCCAGCTTGCAGACAGCATACTGGGGGACTTCCTGGCCTCCATAATTGCATGAGCCAATTTCCATAAGTCTCCTCTTATATATCTTTATATATTCTGTCGGTTCTATTTCTCTGGAGAACCTTAACTAATACAAAGTTCTTCATATGAGGCTTCTGCTTAGTTTTCTTGATTAAGATGGTGATTCCTGAATGAGACCAAAATACTCAGGGCCAAGCCACATGAGCTAAAAGGCACTGACAATGCTGAGTTAATGTAGATATATCAGACCAAAGGGTGCCTGAGATTTAGCTTCTTTGCTCTTATCCTGAAATGCAGCAAAGCTGTTGCTTCATCATCTAGCTTCTGACTCTCAGCATCCCCATCTCCTGATGCCTTCACTTGAACATCTTTGCTGGGCAGCTCCACCACCATCTTTGACTCCTCAAGTATGCTAGCAACCTGGGTGGAACCTGCATTTGTCATATTCTCTTGGCCACTCTGAGTGAACTTGTGTTCACTCTCTAGGGAGGTCTAGGTTTCCCAGTGGGTTTCTGCAGCCCCACCTACCTCTCAGTCTGTTCTCTTCTGCACCCAAGCACTGTAAAATTAGTACAAGCCTCACTAACTAGAAGGCATGTTGATAGGTCAGATGAGAGGGTTTGTGAAATAGAGGAGGTATCTAGGCTGGGCTTGGTGGGGAACAGAATCCATGAATGAAGGCTGTATCTCTAGGATGAGCCAGTGGAGAAAAATCCTCAAACTGATGGAAAAGAAAAAATACTCTGGCTCTGAAAATCAAAGGACATAGCCCTCTGAACAAGTGTGATTAGTATTCTAAAAAAATATATGAAGGAGGCATCAAAGAAGAACCCATTGGCATTAGCAAGAGGTTTTAGGGACCAGATACGAAATAAATTTCTAAAAAAAAATTAGCAGGTTTTTTCTATGTGCAGTTTTTAAATTGTAATATATAGAGCAAAGAAAAACCCAATCATAACAGGACAGAATATCTTTTAAAGCTTGGGATGAAGATAAAAAAAATGCAGGAACAACATGAAAACTTTAACACAGAGGCACATAAAAGAAGACTTGAATACTTGGAAAAATATCATGTTTCTGAATGGAAACGTGTATTCATATAAATATGTCAATTCTCCCCCAAAGTGATTACATATTTATGTTTTTAAAACTTGACAAAAATGATTGTAAAGTTTGGATAGAAGATGAAATGCATAAGAATGGCAAAAGGGACATTTTGTCCCTTAATAGAAGGGAGATTTGCACAGCAAAAAGTTACAGAGAGTTATAAAATAACTTAATACTATAAGCAATTTAGTGGCTAGTGAAATAAAATGTAATTGAAACAGAATACAAAATAAGATAATGAAAATGATTTGTGTCTATGTAAATACTTACTATGTGATAATGGTAGACTTAAATCGTTTTGGGAAATAATAGATTATATAATTAATGCTGTTAGGAAAATCAGCTTTTTAGAGGGAAAGGCAGATCATTATCTCAGTCCGTACATAAGCATAGATTGCAAACTATGGTGTACAGGCCAAATCTGGTTTGCTGCTTGTTTTGTAAATTAAATGTATTGAAACATAGCCACACCCATTCATTTACGTATTGCTTGCGGCTGCTGTTGCACCACCATGGCAGAACTGAGTAGTTGCAAAAGAGACGATATGGTTGCAAAGCCAAAAGTATTTACTATCTAGCTCTTTACGAAAAATATTTGCTGACCCCTGCTTTGACACATGGAGAGCAGGAACTTGAGCTGAAGCAATAGCAAATAAACAGGAAACATCTTATTCTCTATGGTTGGGGTGACATATTTATTTTTGTTTCAATAGGGACATTTTTGAGAGTAAAAGGAATACCCCAGGTAGGCAGGGAGGTATTATAATTATAGATGCCTATAATGGATCAAGAATTGGATTGGAAAGGGAGAAATGCAAGACAGTGATGATTAGAGTTGAGTAAGATTAGAGTTAATAAAGTTAAGAATAATAGAAATCAGCGTTGTTAAAAGCACAGTCTTTTAACAGCAGAAAGGAGCCTTGTGAGTCTTCATGGATCTTTAGATACTTTTGATAGAAAGTAGTAACTCAGTTATTCTCAGTGTCACACCAGGCAGAATGCTATTTATTATGCAACATAAAAGCAGAGGCAAAAACTCAAGTACTTCTTGAGCTGTGCAGGGAACAGAATAGATGTAAGACAAGAACAAAATGTTCAACTCTAATGAGAGGATAAGAACATTAGAAGACTAGTATCTTGGATGTTTGAAACAGTGGAGAATGGCCAACAGGAAGGAACAGCTGTAATTAAGTGCAGATCTAAAGAAGTGGCAGAAAAACTGTGCCTTGCAAGTTTGACTTAGCAACGAGCCAGCTACCAAGAGCCCTAATGAGGACCAAAGATGGAAGATGTCTGTGGGGAGTGAGACCCGGGTAATCAGCTTGTTTTTTCCCATCTGTGAGTTTTCCATCTGATGAGAAGAAAGGGCGTCAGGAGGTAGACTGGTCCAAGGGCTGCTCTTTGAAGACACCTGATCTCAAATCACTACCATGGTCAGGAGGGGATGCTCCAAAGTGAGCTCCAGGAAAATAGCTTTGCAGATAAGCCCATGGGCCTCTAAGCACCTTCCCTGTTGCTTGGAGAAAAAGGACCAGGCCTGGCCATGGGTTAAACCAGCAGCTGGCCTCACAAAGGAATGTGTAAGTGCCACTGCCTTTGGGGTTGACACTGCAGTGCAGTGGGTGTATAGCAACTGAACAAAAAGGACTGACTGCCTACCACTGGGGGATGCCAAAAGACTCGCCTGTAGAAGGCACATTCACAACACTGGTTAATGGCCCAGTCTCCTAACATAAATAAAATGCCTCCATCCTTACATATCCAGCCCTTGCCATAATGAGCCACAGTCCATCTCATGTTAACAAATGCCTTTTCAGGTTGGGCCTGATTTTCCTTAGTTATTCCGGTTCGGACGTTAAAATGACAGAGTTAGTAATTGGAGGGCTTCAGAAGAATCAATTAGTCCAGTGCTTTTCAACTTGAGGACCTGGGAATCTGGGAAGGAGAAGTGGTAGTGCTTGAAGCGCTTTTAGTATTTCAAGATGCCTGTGCCTACACTATACAGGTTCAAAGAAATCTCAAGTTCTTTGGGTTAGGTTTCAAATTCAACCCGGTGAACAAAGCTGTGATCTCATGCTGCTCAGAAACCTGAAGGGGGGAACTTGCTTTGATTAGGAGAAAATGGAGGAAGAGGTAGTCCTTCACAAATTCAGTTTATGCAGTGGACAAGCCTTTCATAACATGCAGCCCAGGGAGAAATGTAGTCATAGGGAAAGTTGAGAACCCCTTGGCTTATCCATTGTGTAATCTGTGTCCTTCCATTTAATAGGTGATGAAACCTGGACCCAGAAGGAAATGGGACAAGGTAGCACAGCCCAAGTTGTAGGAAACAGAAACAGCAGGATTAACTTCCTCTAAGTCTGAGATTTAAAGGGGTAGACATAGGCATCTGGAGACCTGGAGTTCTTGTAGGGGTGAAGAGCTAACATTTATTGAGGACTTACTGTGTGTTGGGTGCTGTTCTAGAAAATTCACACACATCGTCTCATGTAATCCCTAGAGTGATCGTGTGAGTTAGAGATTATTCTCTGAAAGATTCAGAGGAGGAAAACAAGGTTCATGGAGTCTAAGTGACTTTTCCCCAAGATGATGTAATAATAATGGAGCTGGGTTCTAACAGAGTGTGTTGTGGCCCCCAGGGCTGATGCTCTGCCCACTGTACCACCCTATCTTGGAGAATGAACCTCTATGGGTTTTGGCTACCCTAGGGGCATGTGAGGAGGGAGTTTCAAAATTGTCCTCTTGGGAAAAAGAAACCACTGGACAGTGCCTGCATCTGATCTGTTTCCACTTTCCCCAGAAGCAGTACATGCCTGACTTTCTGTAAATGTTGGATTAATTGATTTAATTTAGTTGATTGTCACTCCAAGGAGTTCTGTGAAAGAACAATGGAACTCTGAATTCAGGCCTAGAGCAAGTGGGAAAGACTTAGGAGGAGGCTGGTTGTCATTTAAGAGAAAGTGGGACTTCCTAAAATGGACCTCTTTCACTTAGCAAATTCCACTTACCCCTTGGCTGTCAGAAAGACCCCTGTTTCCTCAGCATGGGTACTGGTATAAAAACAGGCACATAGACCAGTGGAACAGAATAGAGAACTCAGAAATAAGCCCAAATACTTACAGCCTGATCTTCAACAAAGCAAACAAAAACATAAAGTGGGGAAAGGACACCCTATTCAACAAATGGTGCTGGGATAACTGGCAAGCCACATGTAGGAGAATGAAACTGGATCCTCATCTCTCACCTTATACAAAAATCAACTCACAATGGAACAAGGACTTAAATCTAACATCAGAAACCATAAAAATTCTAGAAGATAACATCGGAAAAAACCCTTCTAGACATTGGCTTAAGCAAAGACTTCATGACCAAGAACCCAAAAGCAAATTCGACAAAAACAAAGATAAATAGATGGGACTTAATTAAACTGAAAAGCTTCCGAACAGCCAAAGAAACAATCAGCAGAATAAACAGACAGTCCACAAAATGGGAGAGAAATTTTGCCATCTATACATCCAACAAAGGACCAATATCCAGAATCTACGAGGAACTCAAATTAGAAAAAAAAATCCCAACAAAAAGTGGGCTAAGAACATGAATAGACAATTCTCAAAAGAAGATATACAAATGGCCAACAAACATATGAAAAAATGCTCAACATCACTAATGATAAGGGAAATGCAAATCAAAACCACAGTGTGTTACCACTTTACTCCTCCTGCAAGAATGGCCATAATCAGAAAATCAAAAAATAATAGATGTTGGTGGGGATGTGGTGAAAAGGGAACACTTTACACTGCTGGTGGGAATGTAAACTAGTACAACCACTATACAAAACAGTGTGGAGGTTCCTTAAAGAGCTAAAAGAACAACCATTTGATCCAGCAATCCCACTACTGGGTATCTACCCAAAGGAAAAGAAGTGATTATACAAAAAAGATACTTGCACACACATGCAGCACAATTTGTAATTCCAAAAATAGGAAACCAGCCCTAAACTCCATCAATCAACAAGTGGATGAAGAAATTATGGCATGTATATGCCATGGAATATTACCCAGCCATAAAAAGGAACAAAATAATGGCATTTGCAGTGACCTAGATGGAATTGGAGACCATTATCCTAAGTGAAGGAACTCAGGAGTGGAAAACCAAACATCATATATTCTCCCTCATAAGTGGGAGCTAAGCTCTGAGGATGCAAAGGCATAAGAATGACACAATGACTTTGGGGACTCGGGGAAAGGGTGGGAGGGGGGTGAGGGATAAAATACTACAAATTGGGTACGGTGTATACTGCTAGGGTGATGGGTACACCAAACTCTCAGAAATCACCACTATATAACTTAGTCATGTACCCAAATACCACCTGTTTTCCAAAAACCTATGGAAAAAATTTTTTAAAGACCTCTGTTTTCTAACAGGATGGAAACATCACTGCCTCTTGCCCTGTCATTGATGCAAAGTCTAAACAGTCTCAAGGTGAACATGGTAGGCCCAGGGAAGTCCTGGGAGTGTCACCTGTGGGTGGCCTTCCCTTCAGCCAGCAGATCACTCAACTGTGGCAGCTACAGGTCTGTGAGAGACATTGATGGCTGTGGCATGTGACTCTAAAGCCCCATTTAGTGTCCCAGTGATGAGGGCTGAACATGTATATCCAAGTTGATGCCCATGGATGGAGCAACATCTCGTGCCTTGAGTGCTTACTTCCTGGGCAGATTGAGAGCTGTGCTAGTGGTGTTCACGCGACCCTTTCAATCCATCTTTACCCACCTCCACCCTGCTCACTGCCCTGAAAGGCTGGCCTGTATAGGCTCTGCCAATGCCCTTGGTCTTCTGTATGGCCAGAAATCAGAGGGGGGCGGGGAGTAAGAGTGTTCTGTGTACTTATTCCCTGGGCCTTCCCTGTGTGGTTGCTATGGGCCAGCCGTGTGTCTTGACTGAAGGTTGCTGTTCCTCTCAAGGGGATCTTCTCGCCCCTGTTCTCTCCTGCTGGCTTCTGTTAACGACTTCCTCCCCTAATCCCTTCCATCCCCGTGGGTGCTCTGCTACACTTACCCTTGTCCTTGCCCGCTTTGTACCTTTGTAAATATTCCCTTTGTTAACTTGCCTTGGATTCTCCTCATTCGAACATGCCCAGGGTGACCCTGATTGATTCTCTAGGCATTAACTAATTTGATCTTCATAAAAACTGGAGGACAAGGAGACTGTTATTATCACCACCCTCATTTTTAAAATGAGAAAACACAGGCATAGAATGGCCCCATTGTTTTCTCCAGAGTCTCATTGTTTGTAAGGAGTAGAGACAGAGTTTGCATCTGGCTTGTTCCTGCACATTTTCTACCACAGCACTAGGGTACCTACTTCCATTGATTCTTTTCGAGGGAGACCTAAGACACAGGAAAACAAAGGAAAAAATCAGGCTCTGTAGCCTTCTTGGAACCTCTGTCCCCAGGCCCAGTCCTTATCTCAACTTTCCAGAGCTCCCCACTTCAGAAGGTAGGAGCCAACTAGCCACATGGGAAACCAGAGCTCCTGAGGGGCAGCGAAGAGAACCCTAAAGAGGTCATTCCCCAGACAGCTGGGCTTGCAACTCATTCACTTAAATTAAAACTTTATCCCCTATGGTGTTTGAGGCTCACCAAATGCCTGTAGCCATTGTCCCAAGCTTTGTATTAAGCAAGAGTGCCTCTTCTTGCAGCCCCTAGAAGCCAAGAATGTGAGATCATTACTGTGGTAGTTTGCTTATGAAGGGTGAGGAGCCCCAGCACCACAGCCATGGCGAACATCTGGTACAGATGGGGCCAGTCTCAGTCCTTCCATGTATGGCTTTAGTGCTTTGGAAGCTTTTGCCTTAAGCCTGACATCTGCTTCTGTGATGCATTTTGCTGAGCTCTCCTCAGAGGGGGCGGTCACCACAAGGTGTTCCATTAGGTGTCTTAATAAGCCTTGTAACTGCAGCCCGGCATGCCTCTCCCCTGCAGAGCTGCTTTCTGCATGAGGATGGGAAGGGTGGATAGTTCAGACATAATTTGCAATGGCAGCAGGAATATTATTTTTGCGTTATAAAGCATGGCGAGTGACCTTATCAAAGTAGGAGAAGTGAGCAGGCAGCAAGTGAGGGCATCCATGGTTCTGGGTGACACACGGAGGCTGGTGGGTGGTGGGCGTGATGGTGGTAAGGTTTTGAGGCCCTCAGCTGCCTTGTAGCGTCCCTGGGGGCTGCAGGATGCTCAGCTTCCCTTGCAGACCCCTGCAAGTTCTGTCTTTAATAGACCTATGCTGGGCCAAGTAGGTGTGGCTGTCTCATGACTGAGAACAAGGATTTTGTCTGTTCTTTGAGGGCACCCCTGGGTTTAACCCTGAGCCCTGGACCAGCTGGAGGTCTGATTCTTTACCTGCCCAGTTCTTCTCTGCCATCATTTCTCAGAAGCTTGTGCTATCTCTGATTTCCTGAGGTGTTCTGGGATAATCTCGCTTGCCCTTAACCAAGTGCTCCATACATGTCCCATTTCTCCAGACCAGATCACAGAGCTCTGTTCATGCCTGTCTTGGACTCCTGCATCCAGCTCATACCCAGGGAGTTCTCTGCCATGCCCTTCCTCCATTGCTTGTGCAGCAGGTGGGCTGTGTGACCCACGTGGGTATAGCAGGTGTGTGCCCTCTCAACAAGGAGAGTCCAGGATTCCAGACTTTTTTAAGTACTCTCTGGAGCATTCGTAGAAAACTCAGAGTCAGATTTTTCTCAGACCACACACTCTGTCACACACATGTGCACACACAGAAACACATGCACGCCCTTCAATTTATGATTATAATTATGATTTAGGATGAGAAACAGGTTTATATAAAATCATAAACCTGCATATATGGAAAAGATGACCTTGGATCACCAACCAATATAACACTCCCATTTTACAGAGAAGGCAGTTGAGATCCAGGAGAAGTGACTTGGCCATTACCACACAAGACAGCCCTTTAGCTTTCCCCAGTCTGGACCTCTGAGGGGCAAGAACACCCGAAACAGAAACAACAGTGGACATCGAGCAAGGCACTGGTCTGACTGCTCCGAGGATCCTGAGTACATTCACACACTCAGGCAAGGGAGGGGTGGGCTGCTTGCTTACCAATGTCTAGACACTTTGGTCTTAGGCAGCCCCCTTCTCCCACAGGGGCATCTTCATCCTTACCTTCATAGTAACAAGGGATGAGAGCTGAATCTGATGGTCCCCGTCAAGCAAAGCACTAGCCACTCCCAGAGGGCTGGTTCTTGGAGACCGCAAACTCTATTGTCACATTGGCAGAAGGTGCTGGGAGAATGAACCTGAACAGGTGGGTGGGATAGAGAGTCATGGAATGGCAGGCAGGGACCATGGGTTTCCTCCAGACTAGGCAGCTTGCCAAATCCCCGTACGCCCATCTCCTAGCATGGGGTCTGACCCAAAACAGGGGCTCGAACTGATGAATGAACAAACGCCAGAGCAGTGTGAAGCTGATTCTAGATATGTTGAAGGTACCCAAGGACTTTGTATTTTTGGTGAGTCAGGAGAGGGGAGAGGGGTCAGAAGGGAAGCATGAGAGCCCCACTTAGCCCATTGTCATGTGGGGGAAGTCATGGGGAGTGGTCAGCATGGATTCCCTCTGAGAGCCCCAGCCAGGGGCCTTCTGTCACTGTGAGTAACCAAATTGTTTTTTTGACCAAGACTTTCTGGACCATGAAGAAAAAAAAATCCATTGTCATTTCTGAAATCCTGGTCCTGGAAACCAATGAAATCACCTGAGCAAGGACTATGACTCTCATAGAAAGGACCCCTTAATTCTGATGGTAATGTGGATGCTATGGCGGTGGGAGCTTTGGCATCAGGCTCATATCTAAAGATGAGTTTATAGGAGTTCTCATTTTTCTCTTCATGCCTTTTGAATTTGGTAGGCTTGCCTCCCTGAACCCGGGGTATGTTTTCATCACAAAAAGATTTGAAAAACACTATGATTTCTAATTACTGGTGCTTTCCTATTATTACTGTGACTGCAATGACCGCCAATGCTACTTCATATGTATTTTATGGGAGTGAAGTGAAATAATGAATGGAAAGTGCCTAGCACAGTGCCTGGCACATAGTTGGCATTCAAAAAACAGGCCTTTCCTTCTCTGATGCTCACCTGCGTAAATGTTGTTCCCATGTCCTCAATACATACACTTAACTACTTTATTTTGAAGTTTTGTGTTTTTTCTCATTATCTTCTATTGTTACGATGAATTTTACTCAGGTTCTTGATCTTTCAGTTTTCTTGGCCAAGTTTCTGAGATTTTCCATGCAACACACTCGCATGCATTATTTTTTCCTGGCTGGTTCTACTAATAGAATTTTACTCCTAAGGAAGGTGATGTGCTTTTTAAGGTCACTGTAAAGAGATGACATGAGGTCAAGTCTTACCCCTTAATTCCCTCTCATTAGAATGTGGCACCCAGAATTCAGCCAGAGATGGCTTTAGTCCAATTTGGAAGCCCTCCATGCTTACTTTCCTCCTTGGAGCCAAAGCTACAACCATGGGCATGGCCCCTGTTCTTTGTATACCTGAGGGAGTGCTCTGCCCCAAATCTTTCTGCTCCCCTCAATAGCAACCTATTACACCTGCCATATTCTTACTATTGCTCAACTCTAAATTCAGGCCACCAGAGGTTATCACCCTTGCCAGGTTTCTTTGGAGAAATGACAATTTGAGATGCTACCATCTGCCACATTTACCTGAATTACCTCAAATTCTGGAGACTCTGTTTCCCAAAAGAAGTCATTGCTTGGGTTGATTTCTGACAGGTTCCTGCCTAGTAGCAGCTGCCCAGCAGAGGCCGTGGTGGGAGCAGTCAGTCCCTGGCTTTGAGAAACAAAATTCCCCAAGGGAACTGCAGAACCACACTGTACCTGAATCCATCAGCATACGAAGGCCGGGTGTGGCATGAGATGTGCACTGTGTAATTGCTTCTTTACCTCCTGCCTGAAATTGTCTATCGGAAGCTATTAATAGCTATAGTTTATTTTCCAAATCTCTTTAGGGAACCAACATTTATCTCAGACAGGCAGAAATCTTAATTGTGGAGTTTTTAAGCCAGAAGTTCCTTGGAAGGGAATATAATCCACATGCTTATTTAGCAGGTGAAGATTTAGGGATCCCGGAAGTGAATTAGCTTATCCAAGGTCATACTAGGCCTGACTAGATGGGTTCTGTGGTCTAGGTGTTCGTATCTCCCTCTTCCAAATTCGTATGTTGCCACCGAATCCCCAATGTGATAATTTTAAGAAGCGGGGCTTTTAGGAGGTGATTAAGTCATGAGGGTGGAGCCCTTGTGAATGGGATTTGTGTCCTTATAAAAGAGGCTTGAGGGACCCCCTCTGTTCCTGCTGCTACGTGAGGGCACATAGAAGCTGCCATGCATGAAGAAGAGGCCTTCATCAGACATGGAACCTGCCACCACCTTGATCTTTGACTTTTCAGCCTCAAGAACTATGATCAATAAATTTAGGCCAGGCTCAGTGGCTCATGCCTGTAATACCAGCACTTTTAGAGGCGAAAGTGGGCAGATTACTTGAGGTCAGGAGTTCAAGACCATACTAGCCAACATGGTGAAACCCCATCTCTACTAAAAATACAAAAATTTGTTGGGCATGGTGGTGCACTTCTGTAATCCCAGCTACTCGGGGGGCGGAGGCAGGAGAATTGCTTGAATCTGGGGGGCAGAGGTTGCAGTGAGCTGAGATTGTGCCAATGCTCTATAGCCTGAGTGACAGAGCAAGACTGTCTCAAAAAACATAATAAAAATAAAAATAAATAAACAGTCTAAGGCATTTTGTTATAGCAGTCTGAAGTGAAGAAGACAATGGATTTTCCAACCCTGGCCTGACAGAGTGTAGCTACTCAGCTCCCTTGTAGCACTGGCTGCTGATTTGTAGACACTGCACTCTTCTTCGTTTTGCATGTCTCCTGGAGCTTTGGGGATGTTCGCAGTGCAGCCACCATAAAAACCACTTCCAACCTGAGGAGGAAGACCTGTGAACCTGAGTCTGGCTGCATTCCATGAAACCAGGCTGCTGTTGGAGAATACAGGAGTTTTCTGATTCTAAAGATCTTTCTAAGAGAAGGTCTTCTTGTAACAATGATTTATGCCAAAACTTAAGAGATGTGGAATGGAGCTGGAATTTTTTTTAAAAATTACTGTGATGATTAGAATGAACGTGGTTCCTGTCACATGCTGAGACCTCAGTTTGGGACTGATGATGAAGTGGGGAGCAGGGCAAAGCTGGGGACATTTTACCACTTATAATGCACAAGTCACAGGCCTTCTGGCCAAATTGCAGTGTTTTAAGGAGAGTGGCAAACTTTGGCTTCAGCTAGATTGAAGCTTTTTTCCTTTTCCAGATTCACAAATACTTAATTACTTCAAACTAGCTATTCTGCAAGATACCCACATGTGTGATATATCTCTTGTAATAGTTACCACAAACTTGTGAACTAGACTTAGGTTGACATTCTCGTACATATAGTCCAGAAATTCAAGAAGTTATGAAAATGGAGAGAGAGATTATGTGTGTGTGTGTGTGTGTGTGTGTGTGTGTGTGTGTGTGTGTGTGTGTATTTAACACTAAATTCATTTGGCTGTCAAACCTGACGCAAACTGTTATGAAGCTATCTGTAGCCTTTGTCTCCCATGGTATGAATTTTGATATGCCTCACTGTGGAAATATTTGTGTGTCTGAGCCCAGAATGTTGCCCCAGATCTCACTAGGACTGTTTTATGGGCCCATATTACTTGTCTAAAAACCCAAACTGTTCTGAATTCTGAGCTGTGTTTGTCCTGAGTGTTGTGATCAGAAATGAGGGCATGGATTATCATCTGTGTTTTAAAGGTGGGGAAACAGAGCTTCAGAGAGGTTAAGTGATTTGCCCAAGGATGTTCAGCTGTGTAATAGCACAGCAAGGTCCAGACAAATGCAGATTTTAAAGGAGCTTTGACTCATTAGTGGGCCTTGTTCCTGGTGAGTGGAATGTCGGAGCTCTGATGCTACCTAAGAGGAGGCAAGTACCAAACCTGCAGCTGGATGGGGTGGGATATCTGCTTTGTGGCTGAGCCCCAGCTAGCAGTGGGGTTTTGAGGGGACAGGGTGTAGCATACCTCTCATGGCAAGGGTGCTTGGGAAATTTAGCAGGCTGTCAGTAGCCTTGCCAAGGAGCCTGGTGTTGAAGACTCAGAAGCCAAAGGCCAAGTGAGCCAAGGCAAAAGGCTTTGAGTCAAGTAGCACGAAGGACTCCATGAACAATAAGGAGAAAGGTAGAGGCTTCTTGAGCAGGAAGGCCACTAGGGATCTCCCAAATATGTGGGGATGCTGGGCTCCAAGTAGCAACTCATGCTGTGAGTATGGCATTCAGGCAATGGGCAGGCAGAGTCCACAGGTCAAAGCTGAGGGGTTGCAGGAACAGGCATTTATACCCATTGTTGTGAGTTGAATTGTGTCTCTCTAAAAAAGATGTGATGGCTGGACATGGTGGCTCGTGCCTGTAATCCCAGCACTTTGGGAGGCCAAGATGGGCAGATCACTTGAGGTCAAGAGTTTGAGACCAGCCTGGCCAACATGGTGAAACCCCGTCTCTACTAAAATTACAAAAATTAGCTGAGCTTGGTGGTGCATGCCTGTAATCCCAGCTACTAGGGAGGCTGACGCAGGAGAATTGCTTGAACCCAGGAGGCGGAGGTTGCAGTGAGCCAAGATCGCACCATTGCACTCCAGCCTGGACAACAGAGTGAGACTCAGTGTCACACACCAAAAAAATGAAAATAAAAATAAAAAAACAAAAAAGATGTGTTGAAGCCTTAAATACCAATACCTCAGATTGTGACCTTATTTGGAAATACCGTCATTGCAGATGTAATTAGTTAAGTCATACTGGAGTAGGTTGGCCCCAATCAGTATCTTTGCAAGAAGGTGACCCTGAGATGACACAGACACACATGGAGAAAAACGTGACAACGCAGGCAGAGATGGGGGTCACGCAGCTGTAAACCAAGTAATGCCAGGGATTACCAGCAAACCACGAGAAGTTAGGAGGAGGCAAGGAAAGATTCTTCCCTATAGGTTTCAGAGGGAACATGGTCCTGCCAACACCATGCTTTCAGGTTTCTGGCCCCCAATAGTATGAAACAATAAATTTCTGCATTAAGTCACCCAGTTTGTGGTACTGTGTTACGGCAGCTGAGGAAACCAATATACTAGTAAACAACATTAGGCCAGGGTATACAACCTCCACTGGCGTTGGGATCTCCTGGGGTTTGTCTAAAAAGTCTCATTGTCCTGGCTACACCCCAGTCTAACTTCATTAGGATCTCAGCGGGTAAACCCCAGCTATTAGAATTTTTAAAGCTCTTCAGGTGATTTAAAAACAAATTTGCAAACCACAACCTAGAGTACCACTTATTAAAGATCTTAAACAAGGGATCCAGTTCCCAGTAGTAACAGCACCAGTTGGCTTTCACGACCCTCCAGACTATGCCATACCTTGGGATGTCCTTGGTCATTTTTCTCCACCCATGTTTTTCTCTTCACTCTTCTCAGCTTTTGGCCAGCAGGATTCAAGGGAATCGCTGCTTTCCCTTATTTGTAAAGCATGTAGGAATATCTGGCACACAGTGAGTGCTTTCTAAGAGTTTGCTGCCATTATTTCTCCAACTGCCCTTAAATAAAACCCTGGCTTTCTTAATCCTCACTTTCTGGAGGGCAACCCCAGAGTGGTAGGATTTTATCATGCTGGCTCAAAAAGCCATTTCTTATTATGCATGAAAACTGTGCCTTACTTTCCTTTAATTAAGGCTTTTTCTTTTCTTTTTTTCCAATTTGCCTGAGAGCTAGATCATGTGAAGGGCGCTTTAAAAAAAAAAAAAAAACAGAGTGAACACAGAGTAAGTGTGCCCGAGCTTCAGAGTGACATTGAGAGAGCTTTTTGCTCTGAGACTAAAGAAAGCCATGGATCAGAATCCTGCCCAAGGTGGGAAAGGCTGATGGGCAACCAGGGAGGCCGTGTGAGATGGAAGTCCCTACGAGGTATGCAAGAAGAGCCTACCTCCAGCACCTGTGCCCTTCTTCTGCCCAACAGATCCCTCCTGCAGAGCCCAGAAAGGGATCATATTGAGCCCTGGCCTCTAGGAGGTCATAGTCCAGCAGGGGAGATAGATACTTAAAGTAGCCAATGGCAAGCAGTGATAGGAGATACATGAGTCCTGTTTCCTGGACCAACCCTGGGGACCAAAGGTGTAGGAGCCTCAAGTCTCATCATCCCAAGCCCAAGCACAGGTTCCTATATAAAGGGGGCAAGGACTCCCCAGAGGTTCCCCTAGGAAGGATGAGCGGGGGACACGGCTGGGCGGGCAGCCAATGATGGCCACTACACTAGACATTGGTGAAAAAATGGGAAAGGGAGATTGTCACCAATTTGTATTGGAATTTGGATTCCCTGCCATGAGGGAGATACCCTCCACAGAGAAGTGGGCACCCATATCAGGTTTAAAATCAGGGAAGGGATGTGATTTGTTTTTATATCCCAACCCTTCTGATCCTCTCCTCTGTCCAGCGGCCCATTGGTTACAGCCCAGATATCCCAAGATAATGGTGGGATCACAGAGCAAGGTCATGGTGTAGACCCTTTGGTCAGAAGCCCATACAATACAGGGATCCCCAACTGGTCCTCCAATGTCCAGTGTTTCATTGATCTCAGGAAAGAAATCTCCAGCTTCCCAGATCCCCGTTCCAGCCTGGCTAGCTCAGTCTGGAGCCTCTGATTAAAAGGGTACCCAGAGGGGCAAGGGCTCATAATATGGTTTGTCCTTAGGCAACAGACTGGCTTTTTATCTGTGGTTTCATTTTATCAACAGTTTTTGGGCTGAGCGCAGTGACTCACATCTGTAATCCCAACACTTTGGGAGGCTGAGGCGGATGGATCACATGAGTTCAAGACAAGCCTGGCCAACATGGCGAAACCCTGTCTCTACTAAAAATACAAAAACAGCAGGGCGTGGTGGTGGGCACTTGTAATCCCAGCTACTCGGGAGGCTGAGGCAGGAGAATCGCTTGAACCCAGGAGGCAGAAGTTGCAGTGAGCCAAGATCATGCTACTGCACTCCAACCTGTTCAACAAGAGCGAAACTCCGTCTCAACAAACAAACAAACAAAACAGTTTACGTGAGGGCCTGGTACTCCAAAGCTGCCACCCAGTTTGGAAAAAGTGTTCCTTTTTCCCTCTTACTTCTCCGAAAGGACAGATGGATATCTGTCTAGGGTGCAAATGTGAACACCAAGAGCCACCTTTGACCCCTCTTTCCCTCAGTCCCCAATCCTATCCCGTTTTCCTCCTAAATGTCTGCTGAAATTATTCTATTTTCTCCTTTGCCACCAGGATACCATCATCTCTTTCCTGGCAGTCACTCTTCACTGGACTTTTGTTTCCCTTTGGCCTCTGTACTCTGTTCTGCGTGTAGCAACTGGACTCTTCGTTGCTAAGCACTGGAATAGGCTCTGAGGACCCAGCAATGGATAACTCAGATATGGTCCCTGAATAAATACATACTGTTAATGTAGTGAGTGTTAAATGCTACCAAGGAAACAAATCACTTGCCTTGGTAGGCATGAGCTGTTTGAGCAGACTGGACTGCAGCAGACCTGGCTGGATCCAGGGGCCCGAGATTGGTCCTTCCCTCCACTTTGATGGCAGGGCATGGGTGGTGCTCTTGGTCACCATGGTGGAGGAAAAGATGAGCTCTCAAGAGGTGTGGACTAGGGCAGGTGTCACAATAGGATGATAGCCTGGTAAGTGTGCTGAGGGGTGGCGGAGGCCAGATACCTGCTTTCCCAGCAGAAGACCATGCCCACATCAGAACAAGGTGAGGGGACCTGTGAGTGTCAGGGGTTGTGGGTTGTCTGAGGCAGCAAGGTGCTGGGCCCACTCACAGTGGGGATCCAAGGGTCCTCCGGATGGGCCTCTGTGGGCTCCAGTGGCTGCTGGCATGAGGAAAGAACTGGAGCTGAATCCAGGGCCCACCCCCAGCTCCTGTATGACTGTGGGACGCCCACGTCCCTGCTTTGGGCCTTGTTCTCCCATCTATAATATGGGCAGGAAGAAGGAGACAGGGCTGGTTACTGTCCACCCTCAAGAAGTGCCTGTCATTAGGGAAACCATGCGGTGCGGCAGTTAAGTCTGGCCTCAGACTGCTGGGGTTCAAATCCCAACTCTGGTGCTTCCTTGCTGAGCCACACTGGACACATTAATCTTTCTGTACCTCAATTTCCTTATTTTTGATATGGGGATGGTAGCACGTAATAGTTAATTTCTGAGGATTAAATGAACAGTGAACATAAAATACTTAGCACAGTGCCGTTACATAGCAAGTGCCCAGTAAACACGACTTATTGTCATCTAATTATTTGCTAATTATTTTAGATAGAAAGTAGGCCTTGTTGTTCCAGTTTTATGGATGAGAAATCTGCCAAAACGTGTCTCAGCCAGTGCCAGGAATTCAGTGGCCGATTAAGGATTCAAACCCAGGGCTGTTTGGTTCCAAAGCTCGGCTCATCCCCTTGTGTTTTGTTGCCATTTCTGACTTGCAGCTCTAGAAACCAGGTGTTGGCCTGCGTCCAGGTCTTAGAGTTCAGAGACTTGAATTTCAAGACAGACCTGGCCTTTCTTTTCATATTCAAATACTCTGCTTGGTTCCGCATTGCCAAGCTTGTAAGGAGTCATGAGGATCAGCTTCTAATCTGGGAGGGCTTTGCAGGAAATAGAAATGTCCAAGGGTTGCCATTTATTCAACAGCTGGAAGTACACAGACCAGGTGGTGGCACTGAAGTCTCAGCAGCCATTTATACCTGGTTTCAGGGACTTGTCTCTTGGGAGGTGGGCAGTTGAGAGAACAAAGAAACTCCCAGGAATGTATTGCAGTGGATGGAGGGTCTGGGGTGGGAACATGCCTGGCCCTATGTGGGAGGCGGGGAGAGGAGGGGCTCCTGGCACCTAGGCCTGGGCAGCAGGAGGCTAGGGTAACCTGTTCCTGGCAGGTTCCTTGATTACAGGCATCTGAGGTGGATACAGATTCTTGGAGTCAAATTCTAGAGCTAGGGAGAGGTGGCTGACCCCAAGCCCTCATCTTACCAATGGAAAAATTAGACCAGGGGCAAACAGAGGGGTTTGCATCATCCAAACTCCTCCTTCATGCCAGGCACTGAGCTAGTCTCCTTCCCAACGTGCTATCTCGTAGAAACCTTTACTCTGTGCCCTGAAATCCCCACTTTCTAAATGCAGACTGTCTTCATAATAAGACATGGATATCTATTATGCTTTGCCTGATTAAAGAGAAGGGAGAAGTATTTTCTGCTCTTAATAACTCTCTGTGTCTGTATCTCTCTCATTCTGCTCCCTGTTGATTATTAAGATAGAAAATTGAGGAAATATAGGAAATTGTAAAGAATAAAATGAAAATTATCTATAAACCCAGTAATAACCAAAAATAATCGTTGTTAATAATTTGGTATCATTCATTCTCTTTTTTCTTATTTTTTGATGAAAAAAAGTTCTTGTCTAGAACAGTTTTAAAAGTAATGTATGCTACAAAGCCTTGAGTGAACAGCAGTAGCCCTTCCCCTCTCATTCTCTGCCCCCCTGAGGCAACCAGACTCAGCTCCTTTTGCTGCTGTTTCCCCCTGCGTTTAATACTACATTTCCAAATAAAATAGGCATTCTGCTAGTCCTTTTCTATTTCATTTGGATATCATCTATCTACTGAGTTCTCTGGAAGCTTCCTTGTACGTCCTCACTTACAAACCTTCCCAAGTTTCCTTTTGAAGTCCCCTCATATTGTGATTACATCTCTTTCCTCATTTCCCCAGTCATAGAGATAATACCTGCCTTGCTTTATTATTTTGTTTTCCTTAAAGTGTTTCCAACTCCCCCTCAAAAGTGTTAATCTCATCTCCTTGTGTCTGAATTCTTCAGAATATCTATTGGTTTCATTGTTTTCTCTCCTTGAATTTACATGCCTAGAAGCCTCCAGCTTCCTAGTTTAATATCGCCTGTGTTCTCTTTAGATCCCAGACACATCACTTGTTTTGGAATTTCCTGCTACCTCTCTCCTTTTTCTAGGTCCCATGAGTTCTTTTTTTGTGTGGGGTTTACTTTCTCATTCTATTAGAGCATGGTATATAGGAGCTTCCTGAGAAAAGTTATATTTGAAGGTAAAAAATAATTTAAATATCTTGCCTAGCAGATAATCATTTTATGTTATCCTTACATTTGATTGACAGTTTGGCTGGATATAAAGTTCTGGTAGGCTATAATTTTTTCTCAGAATTATTTTTTTAATTGACATGGAGTAACTTTCCCTCCTTTTGGTACACATATATAGTTTTATGGGTTTAGACAAATGTGTAGAATCATATATCCATTACTCTAGTACATACAGAAGAGATTCAGCCCTCCAAAGAAATTAACATCTGGGAAAAGGAAAAAGGGTGGTGGGGTACGGTGAATTAAAGAATAAAAGATTGATCAGATTATTGGAAGAGAAACCCCATCATATCCCACAACCTGAATAACATTTGCATTGTTTCGGATTTTTGGTGATTATGAATAAATCCACTGTAAATGTCAGCATACCGGTTTTTGTCTCAATGCAAGTTTTTATTTCTTTTCAGTAAATACTAAGATTTCTGAGCTGTACGATAAATGTATATTTGACTTCATAAGGAACTGTCAATCTGTTTTTCAAAATGGTTGTACCATTTTGCATACTCATGAGCAATAGGTGAGGATTCAATTTGTTCCACGTCCTCACCTGCAGTTAGCATTTTTTTTCCTTTTTCCCCTTTGTTTTAAATTTTAGCTCCCCTAACAAAATGTGCAGTTGTGTCTTATTGTGATTTTAATTTGGATTCCCCTAATGAGTAATGATGTTGAACATCTTTTCATATTCTTATTTGCTTTCTGTACATCTTCTTTAGTAATGTGTTTGCTCAAATTTTTTGCCCGTTTAAAAAATTGAGCTGTTATTAAGCTTTGAGAGTTCTTTATATATCCAAATATAAGCATTTTGTCAGATCTGGGATTTTTAATTTTTTTTTCCCAGCCTATGGCTTGTCTTTTTATTCTCTTACCAGTATCTTTTACAGAGCAAAATATTTTAATTTCGATGAAGTCTAACATCAGTTTTTTACTTTTATGGATGATGACACTAAGACGTGTCTTATTTAACAATTTTTAGCCTAGTCCAAGGCCACAAAGATTTTTTCCTGTTTTTGATTTTATATTTTACATTTAGGTTTATGTTCCATTTTGAGTAAACTTTTACATATAGTGAGAGGTATAGGTCAAGGGTCCTCCTTTCTTCCCCCCGCTCCGTGTGAATGTCTAATTGTTCTGGTACTATTTGTTGAAAAGCCTGTCCTTTCTCCACTGAATTATCTTTCTAACTTTGTCAATCCCTCAGAATTTCACAGATGTTGGCTGTGTTGTCTTCTGATTTCCCTTCACAATATTGAGAAGTCCAGTGCCATTCTGATTCCTTATCTTTTATATGAGACATATGTCTGCTTTTATCTTGTAAATGTTTAGTCTTTTTTTCCTTAAATGAGATGGGGCCTCGCTTTGTCATCTAGTGTGGAGTGCAGAGATGTGATCATAGCTCACTGCATCCTTGAGCTCCTGGGCTCAATCAATCCATCCTCCTGCCTCAGCCTTCTGAGTAGCTGAGACTATAGGCACATGCCCCACTTTATTTATTTTATTTATTTATTTATTTTTTCAGAGATGGGGGGTCTCGCTATGTTATCCAGGCTGCTCTCAAATTCTTGGGCTCAGGCGATCCTCTTGTCTCAGCCTCTCATAGTGTTGGCATTTACAAGCATGAACCTTCATGCTTGGCCAAGTTTTTTTTTTTTTCTTTTAATTTCAGTGTTTTGAGGTTTCATAATGACTTTAGGTTTTTTTTTAAGTTATACTGCATGACTATTTGGTTACTATTTCAATTTACAACTTTGTTATCATCAGTTCTAGAAATTATTCTTAAATCATTTCTTTGATAACATATTCTCAGTTTTCTCTCGTATATTTTTTTCTTTCTTTGGCACGGGGTCTCACTGTGTTGTCCAGGTTGGAGTGTAGTGGTGCAGCCAAGGCTGACTGCAACCTCTGCCTCCTGTGTTCAAGCAATCCTCCCACCTCAGCCTCCTGAGTAGCTGGGACTACATACACATGGCTACATTTTTAATATTTTTGTAGAGACACAGTTTTTTATTGCCCAGGCTGATCTCAAACTCCTCGGCTCAAACAATCCTCCCACCTCTGTCTCCCGAAGTACTGAGATTACATGTGTGAGGCACCAAGCCTGGCCTTTTTTTTTTTTTTTTTTTTAACAAATCCTATTAGTTGGCTTTTGGATTACATAAGCCAAAACTCAATTTTCTTGTTTTTTTTTCTTTGCTTTTCCTTCTTCTTCTTCTTTTTTTTTTTTTCTTTCTGTATTCTGGACAATATCCTCAACTTCATCTTCTAAGCCATCTATTGCAATTTTTATTTATACTTGTATAGTTTTAACATCTGATAGTTATCTTGGTTCTTGGAATGATCCTTTTTTACAGCATCTTTTTCTTGGATAAAATCTCTTCTCTCTACATTAAAAAATGCTCTTCAAAATGTCTTTTTTTTTAGCTTTTAGTTTCAGGAGTATGTGTGCAGGTTTGTTATATAGGAAGATTCGTGTTGTGGGGTTTGATTATTTTGTTACCCAGGTCCTAAGCTCAGTACCCAATAGTTAATTTTTTCTGATCCCCTCCCTCCTCTCCCTCTCCACCCTCAAGTAAGCCACAGGGCCTGTTGTTCCCCTCTTTGTGTCCATGTGTTCTCATCATTTAGCTCCCACTTATAAGTGAGAACATGTGGTGTTTGGTTTTCTGTTTCTGCATTAGTTTGCTTAGAATACAGCTCCATCCATATTCCTGCAAGACATGATCTCATTCATTTTTATGGCTACATTGTATTCCATGGTGTATATGTACCACATTTTCTTCATCCAATCTAGGGCACTTAGGTTGATTTCATGTCTTTGCTATTGTGAATAGTGCTGCCATGAACATTCATGTGCATGTGTCTTTATGGTAGAATGATTTATATTCCTTTGGGTGTATACCCAGTAATGGGACTGCTGGGTCGAATGATAGTTCTCTTTTTAGCTCTTTGAGGAATCACCACATTGTTTTCCAAAATGGCTGAACTAATTTACACTCTCACCGACGGTGTGCAAGCATTCCCTTTTCTCTGCAACCTTGCCAGCATCTGTTATTTTTTTGACTTTTAATAATAGCCATTCTTACTGGTGTGAGATGGTATCTCATTGTGGTTTTTATTTGCATCATTTCTCTAATGATCAGTGATAATGAGTTTTTCTTCATGTGCTTGTTGGATGCATGTATGTCTTCTTTTGAAGTGTCTGTTCATGTCCTTTGCCCACTTTCTAATGGGATTGTTTTTCTCTCATAAATGTGTTTAAGTTCCTTATAGATGCTGGATATTATACTGTTGTCAGATGCATAGTTTGCCAACATTTTCTCGCATTATGTAGGTTGTCTGTTTACTCTGTTGATAGTTTATTTTGCTGTGCAGAAGCTGTTAAGTTTAATTAGATCCCATTTCTCCATTTTTGCTTTTATTGCAATCACTTTTGGTATCTTTGTCATGAAATCTTTGCTGTTCCTATGTACAGAATGTCCCTATGCCTAGGTTGTCTTCTAGGGTTTTTATAGTTTGGGGCTTTACATTTAAGTCTTTAATTCATCTTGAGTTGATTTTTGTATAGGGTATAAGGAAATGGTCCAGTTTCAATCTTCTATATATGGCTAGCCAGTTATCCCAGTACCATTTATTGAACAGGGAGTCCTTTCCCCATTGCTTGTTTTTATCAGCCTTGTCAAAATCAGATGGTTGTAGGTGTGGGGCCTTACTTCTGGGCTTTCTATTACGTTTCATTGGTCTATAGATCTGTTTTGGTACCTATACCGTGCTGTTTTATTTACTGTAGCCCTGTAGTATGGTTTGAAGGCAGCTAATATGATACCTCCAGCTTTGTTGTTTTTGCTTAGAATTGCCTTCGCTATTCAGGCCCTTTTGGTTCCATATGAATATTAAAATAGATTTTTCTAGTTCTGTGAAGAACATCACTGGTAGTTTGGTAGATTCTGTAGGTTGCTTTGGGCAGTGTGGCCATTTTAATGATTTAATTCTTCCTATCATGAGCATGGAGTGTTTTTCCATTTGTTTGTTTCATCTCTGATTTATTCGAGCAGTGTTTCATAATTCTCATTGTAGAGATCTTTCACCTCCCTGGTTAGCTGTATTCCTAGGTATTTTATTCTTTTTGTGGCAATTGTGAATGGTATTGTGCTTCTGATTTGGCACTCAGCTTGGCTGTTGTTGGTGTATAGAAATGCTAGTGATTTTCATACACTGATTTTGTATCCTGATTTATATAGATATAAAATCATGTTGTATGCAAACAGGGGGAGTTTGACTTCCTATCTTACTATTTGGATGCCCTTTATTTCTTCCTCTTGGCTTATTGCTTTGGCCAGGGCTTCCAATGCTATGTTGAATAGGAGTGGTGAGAGAGAGCATCCCTGTTGTGTACTGGTTTTAATGGGAATGCTTCCAGCTTTTCCCCATTCCATATGATGTTGGCTGTGTGTTTGTCATAGATGGCTCTTACTATTTTGAGATATGTTCTTTGAATACGTAGTGTATTGAAAGTTTTTAACATGAAGCGATATTGAATTTTATTGAAAGCCTCGTCTGCATCTATAGAGATAATCATGTGGCTTTTGTCTTTAGTTCTGTTTGTGTGATGAATCACGTTTATTGATTTGCACATGTTGAACCAACCACTTGCATCCTTGCAATGAAGCCAACTTGATCATGGTAGATTAGTTTGTGATGTTTTGCTGGATTTGGTTTGCAAGTATTTTGCTGAGAATTTTTGCATTAATGTTCTTCAAGGATATTGGCCTGAAGTTTCTTTTTTTGTTGTGTCTCTGCCAGGTTTTTGTATCAGGATGATGTTGGCCTCATGGAATGAGTTGGGGAGGAGTCTATCCTCCTCAATTTTTTGGAATAGTTTCGGTAGGAAGGGTACCAGATCTTCATTGTACATCTGGTAGTATTCAGCTGTGAATCCTTCTGGTCCTGGGCTTGTTTTGATTGGTAGACTATTTATTACCAATTCAATTTCAGAGCTCATTATTGGTCTGTTCGGGAATAAACTTCTTCCTGGTTCAGTCTTTGGAAGGTGTATATGTCCACAAATGTGTTCAGCTCTTCTAGGTTTTCTAGTTTGTGGGCATAGAGGTGTTCATGGTAGTTTCTAAGGATAATTTTTATTTCTGTGGAGTCAATGGTAATATCCCCTCTGTCATTTCTAATTGGATTTATTTGGATCTACTCTCTCTTCTTGTTTATTTATTAGTCTATTTTATTAACTTTTTCAAAAAACCAACTCCTGGATTCATTGATCTTTTGAATGTTTTTCATGCCTCCATTTCCTTCAGTTCAGCTCTGATTACAGGCATGTGCCACCCACAACCAGCTAATTTTGTATTTTTAGTAGAGATGGGGTTTCACCATGTTGGTCAGGCTGGTTTTGAACTCCTGACCTCAGGTGATCCACCCACCTTGGCCTCTCAAAGTGCTGGGATTGCTGGTGTGAGCCACTGCGCCTGGCCAATCATGGCCTTCTAACAGTCCCCCAAAGTCTTATCTCATTCCAGCATTAACTCAATAGTCCAAGTCCAGAGTTTTGTCTGAGATGAGGTGAGTCCCTTCCACCTATGAGCCTGTAAAATCAAAAGTAAATTAGTTACTTCCCAGATACAGTGGAGGTACGGGCATTGGGTAAATACACCCATTCCAAATGGGAGATGTTGGCCAAAACAAAGGGGCTACAGGCCCCATGCAAATCTAGAATCAGGCAGTAATTAAATCTTAAAGCTCCAAAATAATCTACTTTGACTCCGTGTCTCACATACAGGTCATGCTGATGGAAGAGATGGGTGCCCATGGCCTTGGGCAGCTTGGTCCCTATGGCTTTGCATGGTATAGCCCCCCTTCTGGATGCTTTCATGGGCTTGTGTGGAGTGCCTGTGATTTTTCCAGGCACATGGTGCAAGCTGTCAGTGGATCTAACATTCTGGGGTCTGGAGGACTGTGGCCCTCTTCTCACAGCTCCACTAGGTAGTGCCCCAGTGGAGATTCTGTATGGAGACTCTAACCCCACATTTCCCTTCTGCACTGTCCTAGCAGAGGTTCTCTATGAGGGCTCCACTACTGCAGCAAACTTCTACCTGGACATCCAGGTGTTTCCATATATCCTTTGAAATCTAGGTGGAGGTTTCCAAGCCTCAATTCTTAACTTATGTGCACCCTCAGGCTCAACACCACATGGAAGCTGCTAGGGCACAGGACTTGCACCCTCTTAAGCCATAGCCTGAGCTGTACCTTGGCCCATTTTAGCCATGACTGGAGTGGCTGGGATTCAGGACACGAAGTTCCTAGGCTGCCCACAGCAGGGGTCCCTGGGCCTGGCCCACAAAGCCATTTTTCTTCCTAGTCCTCTGGGGGAGGGGCTACTGTGAAGGTCTTTCACGTGCCCTGGAGACATTTTCCCCCTTGTCTTGGTGATTAACATTCGGCTCCTCATTACTAATGCAAATTTCTGCAGCAGGCTTGGATTTCTCCCCAGAAAATGGGTTTTTCTTTTCTATTGCATTGTCAGCTGCAAATTTTAGAAATTTTTATTTTCTGCTTCCTCTTGAATGCTTTGCCACTTAGAAATTTTTTCTACCGGATACCCTAAATTATCTCTCTCAGTTTCAAAGTTCCATACATCTCTAGGGCAGGGGCAAAATGCCACCAGTCTCTTTGCTAAAGCATAACAAAAGTCACGTTTGCTCCACTTCCCAACAAGTTCCTCATCTCCATCTGAGACCATCTCAACCTGGACTTCATTGTTCACATGACTATCAGCATTCTGGTCAAAGTAATTCAACAAGTCTCTAGGATATTCTGCACTTTCCCAGATTTTCCTGTCATCTTCTAAATCCTCCAAACTGTTCCAATCTCTGCCTGTTACCCAGTTCCAAAGTAGCTTCCACATTTTTGGACATCCTTATAGCAGCACCCTACTCTACTGGTATCAAATTACTGTATTAGTCCATTCTCACACTGCTGATAAGGACATACAAGAGACTGGGTAATTTATAAAGCAAAGATGTTTAGTTGACTCACCGTTCAGCATGGCTGGGGATGCCTCAGGAAACTTATAATAATGGCGGAAGGGGAAGCAAACATGTCCTTTTTCAAATGGTGACATTAAGGAGAAGTGCCAAGAAAAAGGGGGCCATCTCCTTTAAAACCATCAGATCTCTTGAGAACTCACACACTATTATGAGAATGGCAGCATATAGGTAACCACCACCATGATTTAATTACCTCCCACCAGGTCCCTCCCATGACATGTGGGGATTATGAGAACTACAATTCACAATGAGATTTGGGTGGGGACACAGCCAAACCACATAAGGGCATTTATAGTGCTATAGATTTCCCTCTTAACACTGCCTTAGCTGTATCCCAGAGATTCTGGTATGTTGTATCTTTGTTCTCATTAGTTTCAAACAACTTCTTGATGTCTGCCTTAATTTCTTTTTTTTATCCAAAACTTATTCAGGGGCATATTGTTTAATTTTCATAAAATTGCATGGTTTTGAGCAATGTTTTTAGTGTTGACTTCTATTTTTATTGCACTGTGATCTAAGAGTGTGTTTGGAATGATTGTGGTTCTTTTGCATTTTCTGAGGATTGTTTTATGTCATATTGTGTTCACTTTTAAAGTATGTGCCATGTGGTGATGAGAAGAATGTATATTCTGTTGTTTTGGGGTAGAGAGTTCTGTAGAGGTCTATCAGATCCATCTGGTCCAATGTTGAGTTAAAGTCCTAGATAATTTTGTTAATTTTCTACCTCAATGATCTGTCTGATACTCTCAGTGGGGAGTCTCCCACTATTATTGTGTGGAACTTGAAATCTCCTTGTAGGTCTCTAAGAACTTAGTTCATGAATCTAGGTGCTCCTGTGTTGGGTGTGTATATATTTAGGGTTAGGTTAGGTCTTCTTTTTGAATTGAATCCTTTACAATTATGTAATGGCCTTCCTTGTCTTTTTTGATCTTTGGCTGGATAAAGTCTGTGTTGTCTGAAATGAGGGTTGCAACCCCTGCTTTTTCTAATTTCTATTTGCTTGGTAGATTTTCCTCATCCCTTTATTTTGAGCTTTTGTGTGCCATTCATTGCATGTGAGATGGGTCTCTTGAAGATTGCATACCATTTGGTCTTGCTTTTTTATCCAGCTTGCTACCCTGTGCCTTTTAAGTGGAACATTTAGCCCATTTACATTCAAAGTTAATACTGATATGTGTGAATTTGATCTTGCCATTTTGTTGTTAGTTGGTTATCATGCCAGCTTGTTTGTGTGGTTGCTTTATCGTGTCACTGCTCTGCATATGAAACTGATAAGAAGAGATACTACATTTGATCTTAGCCAAAAGGCTGAGAAGCACTTATCTTTTGTTTTCTACCTGCACTTTTCCCCTCCCTGTTTGTTTTGGTCTCTTCTGTTCATGTTAGAGATTTAACTCAAATAGTCATCATCATTGGCTATCCATTCATATTTAAGAGATTGGCACTAAAATTTTGAGTCTATGTATTGCATGGGAGGGGCTTTGTTCACTGACAGGTTTGACTATATGGAAATAAGACAGTAAACTGGATTTTTATGGATGAACATTGGAATGTTCACGGCTAAGGCCTTTTCCTCTCCATCTGGTAAATTTTTCCAAAGATAAGCCTTCTGCACTCATGAAGGCATGGGAAGTATGTGTAACCTGGCTGTGGGTACTCAGAGCTAATTGGGGGATGCTGTCTTCACTCAGTATGTTGGTTTCAGTGGATCACCCGTGGTTTTGCCTGGTGACTTACCCCCTCTCAGCTGGCCACAGAATCCTTGAAGCTATATCCTCTCTGCTTGATATGTTGTAGTAACTACATTTTCAGTCTTATGTAGGTATTGAGAAGGGACTGGCATCTGGTCGCATGGCAGATGTCAAAGGGGGTTTTGTGGGTGGTTGTCTTAACATTTCTTATACAGATTTTCAGGTAATTTTGTTTTCAGCCCTAGGTGTTCCTGCCGTTAGAATAATCTGGTTGCCCCATTTCTGGGTCCTTTTGGTACTCCATGGGTTAAATTGGTTGTATTCTGCTTTCTTACCTGATGGACATACGGGCTTCAGTTTTCACTGCTCTGCTTAATCAGTTACCATTTGTCCAACCATTTTTCTTCCTCCAAAATGTTTGCATCTCTCAATTGCTGTCACTTTTTTCCCCATTCTCTTGGTATATATGGGTTTGTTTATGTCTTTTTAATTCCTACACTGTCATTTTGGTGCATTTGGAAGAAAATGGAGGTTAATGCATGTGTTTACTTTGTGATGTTTAATTGAAAGTTGAACTCTTCTCAAGTCGTTTTTCTATATGTAGATTACTATTTATATACACACATGTGTATGCATATGCTCATACGTTTGCTAAATGTATATATATATTTTACAAAATTAGGTGCAAGCTATAAGTCCTGTTACATGGCTTTTTTTTCTCATTTAGAATTCTATCATTAACATTTTTATGTCATTAAATATTCTTGAATGCTTGGACTTTTACATCAATTAAATTATATCATATTGCCGTATTATTACTTATTTAATTACGTCCTTACACTTGGGTGTTGAAATTGCTTTCAGTCTTTCAGTACAGTAATACTGTCGTGAGATTTTTCACCTAAATATTTGTTATGATTTCTCATTATGTCTTCTAGATTGGGATTATTCAATTGGTGGTGTGGGCATTTTAATGTGATATGTGATTCATATTGTGTTATATGATTCACAACTTGATAATGTGATACGTATTATCAAATTGCTCCTCAGAAAATCATTGAGACAACTGGTAGTCCAAGCATCAGGTAATTACTCATTTACTATTTGCTAATATTAGGAATTATCACTGTTTCAAAATCTTAGCTTATTTGATAAGAAATGACACTGCATCCTATTGACCTGGTTTTTCCTTATTATATAGCCAAATATATTTTATGTTTTGTCCTCTGTGAATTATCTGTTCATAAACATTTTTATATTTTCCATATATGTATATTATAAGCTTTTTTATGGAGAAAGGATATTATTCTTTACCTGGTACTTACATTTTTTCAGTTTTTATTTGCTTTCAGAATTTTTGATGTCTCTGATGAATAGTTTTAATTTTTATGTTGTCCATTATAGAAAACTTTATATCTTCTTTTGCTTTTGAACTTCAAAAGTTATTTCCCTATTCCCAAATGAGATAAATATTCTCTTGTATTTTTCTAGATTTTAATGATTTGATTTTTTATTCTTCTTCATGTTCAACTCTTTATAGTTATGAATTAATTAATTAGCTAGTTAATTAATTTTTCATTCACCATGTGAATAGAATCTAAGTCCATTGTTTTTTCAAATACTATAGTTAATCAGTATTCCAGAACCATGAATTAATAGTTTAGCCTTTCTCCCCTCATTAAAAGTGGGGCTGTTCTCATCAAATGCATTCTCATATATGGTCTATTGATGTTCTTTCTTCTTCTTGTCATTAGCCTGTCTGTTTTTATGTCAGTACAACACTCTTTTAATTATTGTGGCTTTACTAGGTATTTAATTCTTAATAGGACATTCTCTTCTAGTTACACTTTATGAAAAAAAACAAAACAAAACAAAAGAGAGAGAGACTCTTTGTGTCTCCTTTCAAATGATCTTTAGAATTATTTTGCCAAGTTCCAGAAAACTCCTCTTGGGTTTTATTCGAATTGAAAATATTGCTCAAATTATTTTTGTGATAATTTCCATCTTGACTTTATTGAGTCTTCAGACTCAGAATCGTTACCTGTATCTTCACATTTTCAAGGATTCTTTTATTTCCCTCAGTAAAGTTTTGTGGGTTTCTTCATCTGGACCTCTCATATCTCTGTTTAAGTTGATTCCTAGTTATTTGCTACCATGGGATTTAATTTATTTCTTGTCAGAGCTTCCAAGTGGTTATTGATGCTATATAAGAAAGCTGTTGTGTTTTATCTATTTGTTTTTTAACCACTCATCTTACTGAACTTTTTTTTTTAATCAGTACTGCAAGTTTTTGAGTTGATGCTTGTGTTTTTTTTAGGTATTCAATCATATCATCAGGAAAATAATGGTAATTTTATCTCTTGCTTTTCTATTATTATAAAAAATTTCTTTCTTTCTAACTTCTTCCTTCTCTTTCTTCCCTTTTAATTTTATTGCTTAGAGTTTGCAAATCAATATTGAATAATGTAAGTATAACCTTGTTTCATTCCTGAATTTAATAGAAGTGGCTTCAGTGTTTGACTCTTATATATGATGTTGTCTTTGGCTTCAGATGGGCGCTGTTATTCTAATAGAGTATTCTTCTACATCTAAAATACTGACTTTTTTTGAGGAGGATGTGAGTAATAAACTTTTTTTTTAATTTCATTTTTACATTTTGTTTATTCTAAAAAAAGGAAGAAATGGGATACATGTGCACAATATGCAGGTTTGTTACATGAGTATATGTGTGCCATGGTGGTTTGCTGTGCCTATTGACCCATCCTCTAAGTTCCCTCCCCTCACCCTGCCACCCCTCAACAGGCCCTGGTGTGTGTTATTCCCCTCTGTGTGTCCATGTATTCTCAGTGTTCAACTCCCACTTATAAGTGAGAACATGCGGTGTTTGGTTTTCTGTTCCTCTGTTAGTTTGCTGAGGATGCTGGCTTCCAGCTTCATCCATGTCCCTGCAAAGCACATGATCTCATTCCTTTTTATGGCTGCATAGTATTCCATGGTATATATTTACCACATTTTCTTTATCCGGTCTATCATTGATGGGGATTTGGGTTGGCTCCATGTCTTTGCTATTGTAAATAGTGCTGCACTAAACATACATGTGCATGTGTCTTTATAGTAGAATGATTTGCGTTCCTCTGGGTATATACCCAGTAATGGGATTGCTGGGTCAAATGGTATTTCTGGCTCTAGATCCTTGAGGAATTGCCATACTGTTTTCAACAATGGTTGTTACATTCCTACCAACAGTGTAAAATCATTTACATTTCTCCACAGTCTCACTAGCATCTATTGTTTTCTGACTTTTTAATAATCACCATTCTGACTGGCATGAGATGGTATCTCATTATGGTTTTGATTTGCATTTCTTTGATGATCAGTGATGTTGAGCTTTTTTTCATGTTTGTTGGCTGCGTAAATGTCTTCGTTTGAGAAGTGTCTGTTCATATCCTTTGCCACTTTTTGATGGGTTGTTTTTTTCTTGTAAATATGTTTAAGTTCCTTGTAACTTGTGGATATTAGATTTTTGTCAGATGGGTAGATTGCAAAAATTTTCTCCCATTCTGTAGGTTGCCTGTTCACTCTGATGCTAGTTTCTTTTGCTGTGCAGGAGCTCTTTAGTTTAGTTAGATCTCATTGGTCAATTTTGGCCTTTGTTGCAATTGCTTTTGGCATTTTTGTCATGAAGTCTTTGCCCATGCCTATGTCCTGAATGGTATTGCCTAGGTTTTCTTCTGAGATTTTTATGGTTTTGGGTTTTACATTTAAGTCTTTAATCTATCTTGAGATAATTTTTCTATAAGGTATAAGGAAGTGGTCCACTTTCTGTTTTTGCATTTGGCTAGGCAGTTATCCCAGCACCATTTACTTAATAGGATGTCCTTTCCCCATTGCTTGTTTTTGTCAGGTTTGTTGAAGATCAGATGGTTGTAGATGTGTGGTGTTATTTCTGAGGTCTCTATTCTGTTCCATTGGTCTGTATATCTGTTTTGGTACAGGTACCATGCTGTTTTGGTTGCTGTATCCTTGTAGTATAGTTTAAAGTCAAGTAGTTTGATGCCTCCAGCTTTGTTTTGTTTGCTTAGGATTGTCTTGGGGTCTTCTTTGATTCCATATGAAATTTAAAACTATTTTTTCTAATTCTGTGAGTAATGTCAATGGTAGTTTGATGGGAGCAGTGTTGAATCTGTAAATTACTTTGGGCATTATGGCCATTTTCACAGTATTGATTCTTCCTATCCATGAGGATGGAATGTTTTTCCATTTGTTTGTGTCCTCTTATTTCATTGAGAAGTGGTTTGTAGTTCTCCTTGAAGAGATCTTTCACATCCCTTGTTAGCTGTATTCCTAGGTGTTTTATTATCTTTGTAGCAATTGTGAATGGGAGTTCATTCATGATTTGGCTCTCTGCTTGCCTATTGTCAGTGTAAAGGAATGCTTGTGATATTTGCACATTGCTTTTGTATCCCGAGACTTTGCTGAAGTTGCTTATCAGTTCAAGGAGTTTTGTGGCTGAGATGGTGGGGTTTTCTATACATAAAATCATGTTGTCTGCAAACAGAGACAACTTGACTTCCTGTCTTCCTATTTTAATACCCTTTATTTCTTCCTCTTGCCTGGTAACCCTGGCCAGAACTTCCAATACTGTGTTGAATAGGAGTGGTGAGAGGAGGCATCCTTGTCTGTACCAGTTTTCAAAGGGAATGCTTCCAGCTTTTGCCCGTTCAATAAGATATTGGCTGTGGGTTTGTCATAAATAGCTCTTATCATTTTGAGATATGTTCCATCACTACCAAGGTTATTGAGAGTTTTTAACAAGAAGGGATGTTGAATTTTATCAAAGGCCTTTTCTGTACCTATTGAGATAATCATGTGGTTTTTGTCTTTGGTTCTGTTTATGTGATGGATTACATTTATTGATTTGTGTATGTTGAACCAGCCTTGCATCTCAGGGATGAAGCCAACTTGATCATGGTGGATATGTTTTTTGATGTGCTGCTGGATTTGGTTTGTCAGTATTTTACTGAGGATTTTCACATTGATGTTTATCAGGGATATTGGCCTGAAGTTTTCCTTTTTTGTTGTGTCTTCCTGGTTTTGGTATCAGGATGATGTTGGCTTCATAAAATGAGTTAGGGAGGAGTCCCTCCTTTTCAATTGTTTGGAATAGTTTCAGAAGGAATGGTACCAGCTCCTGTTTGCATTTCAGGTAGAGTTCAGCTGTGAATCTGTCTACTCCTGAGCCTTTTTTGGTTGGTAGCCCATTAATTACTGCCTCAATTTCAGAACTTGTTATTGGTCCATTCAGGGTTTTGACTTTTTCCTGGTTTAGTCTTGGTTGAGTGTATGCGTCCAGGAATTTATCAATTTCTTCTAGATTTTCTAGTTTATTTACGTGAGGTTTTTATAGTATTCTCTGATGGCAGTTTGTATTTCTGTGGGATCAGTGGTAATATCCCCTTTATCATTTTTTATTGTGTTTATTTGATTCTTCTTTCTCCTCTTCTTTATTAGTCTAACTAGTGATATATTTTGTTAATTTTTTCGAAAAACCATCTTCTGCATTGTTGATTATTTGGAGATTTTTTTATGTCTCTATCTCCTTCAATTCTTCTCTGATCTTAGTTATTTGTTGTCTTCTGCTAGCTTTTGGATTAGTTTGCTCTTGCCTCTCTAGGTATTTTAATTGTGATGTTAGGATATCAATTTGATATCTTCCTAGCATTCTGATGTGGGCATTTAGTGCTATAAATTTCCCTCTTAACACTGCTTTAGCTGTGTCCCAGAGATTCTGGCATGCTGTCTCCTTGTTCTCATTGGTTTCAAAGAACTTCTTGATTTCTGCCTTAATTTCATTATTTACCCAGGAGTCATTCAGGAGCAGGTTGTTCAATTTCCATGTAATTGTGTGGTTTTCAGTGAGTTTCTTAATCCTGAGTTCTAATTTGATTGCCCTGTGGTCTGAGAGACTGTTTGTTATCATTTTAGTTCTTTTGCATTTCCTAGGGAGTGTTTTACTTCCAATTATTTGGTTGATTTAGCATAAGTGCCATGTGGCACTGAGAAGAATGCATATTCTGTTGATTTTGGTGTAGAGAATTCTATAGACGTCTACTAGGTCCACTTGATCCAGAGCTGAGTTCAACTCCTGAATATCCTTGTTAATTTTCTGTCTCATTGATCTGTCTAATATTGAGAGTGAGGTATTAAAGTCTCCCAATATTATTGTGTGGGAATCTGAGTCTCTTTGTAGGTCTCTAAGATTGTCTTATGAATCTGGGTGCTCCTGTATTGGGTGCATATATATTTAGAATAGTTAGCTCTTCTTGTTGAATTGTTCCCTTTACCATTATGTAATGCCTTTCTTTGTCTTTTTTGATCTTTGTTTAAAGTCTTTTTTATCAGAGATTAGGATTGCAACCCCTGCTTTTTTATTTTTTTTTATTTTTATTTTTATTTTGCTTTCCATTTGCCTAGATTTTCCTCCGTCTCATTATTTTGAGCCCATGTATGTCTTTGCATGTAAGTTGGGTCTCCTGAATACAGCACACCAATGCCTCTTGACTCCTTATCCATTTTGCCAGTCTGTGTCTTTTAATTGGGGCATTCAGCTCATTTACATTTAAGGTTAGTATTGTTATATGTGAATTTGATCCTGTCATCATGATGCTATTTGGTTATTTTGCACACTAGTTGATGCAGTTCCTCCATAGTTTCATTGGTCTTTATATTTTAGTATGTTTTTGCAGTGGCTAGTACCTGTTTTTCCATTCCACATTCAGTGCTTCTTTCAGGATCTCTTGGATGGCAGGCCTGGTGGTAACAAAATCCCTCAGCATTTGCTTGTCTGGGAAGGATTTTATATCTCCTTTACTTATCACGATTAGTTTGGCTGCATATGAAATTCTGAGTTGAAAATTCTTTTCTTTAAGAATATTGAATATTGGCCCCCAATCTCTTCTGGCCTCTGGAGTTTCTGCCCAGAGGTCCACTGTTAGTCTGATGGGCTTCCCTTTGTAGGTGACCTGGCCTTTCTCTCTGTCTGCCCTTAATAGTTTTTCCTTCATTTTGACCTTGGAGAATCTGATGACTGTGTGTCTTGGAGTTGATCTTGTTGGAGAGTATCTTAATGGTTTCTTTGCATTTCCTGAATTTGTATGTTGGCCTGCCTTGCTAGGTTGGGGCAGTTCTCCTGGATAATATCCTGAAGTGTGTTTTCCAGCTTGTTTCCACTCTCCCCATCTCTTTCTGCTACTTCAGTCAATTGTAGGTTCAGTCTTTTTATGAAGCCCTGTATTTCTTGGAGGCTTTGTTCATTCCTTTTCCTTCTTTTCTCCTCTATTCTTGTCTGCATATCTTATTTTAGTAAGGTGATCTTCAAACTCTGATATCCTTTCTTCCGCGTGGTCAGTTTGGCTGTTGATGCTTGTGTATGCTTCACAAAGTTCTCGTGCTGTGTTTTTCAGCTCCATCAGGTAATTTATGTTCCTCAGCTCCATCAGGTAATTTATGTTCCTCTCTAAACTGGTTATTCTAGTTAGCAATTCCTGTAACCTTTTATCAAGGTTCTTAGCTTATTTGCATTGGGTTAGAACTTAGTTTTTCATTACCCATCTTCTGAGGCCTACTTCTGTCAATTCATCTGTCTGATCCTCCATCCAGTTTTATGCTTGTGATGGAACGACGTTGCAGTCGTTTGGAGGAGGAAAGGCACTCTGGCCTTTTGTGTTTTCAGCATTTTTTTGTTGATTCTTTCTCATATTCGTGAGTTTGTTTAGTTTTCGTTTTTGAGGCTGCTGACCCTTGAATGGGTTTTTTTTTTGGGTCTTTTTGTTGTTGTTGTTGTTGATGCTGTTGTTGTCACTTTCTGCTTCTTTATTTTTATTTCAATAGTCAGGTCCCTCTTCATTAGGGCTTCTGCAGTTTGCTGGGGGTTCACTTTAGGACCTAGTCATCTGATTTGCTCCTGTGCCTGGAGATGTCACTCAAGGAGGCTGGGGAGCAGCAAAGATGGGTGCCTGCTCGTTCTTCTGGGGCCTCTGACCTCGAGGGGCACCAGACTGATGCCAGTAGGGTTGCTCCTGTATAGGGTATCTGACAACCCCTGTTGGAGGGGCTCACCCAGTTGGGTGGCACGGGGATCAGGACCCATTTAATGAAACACTTTGTCACTTGGTGGAGAGGGTGTGCTTTGCTGGGGGGAAACCTACTTGTCTGGGCTGCCTGGATTCCTCAGAGCTACCAGGAAGAGAGACTAAGTCTGCTGGTCCCTAGAAACTGTGGCTGCCCCTCCCGCCGGGGCTCAGGTCCAGGGGGATCCGAATTCTGTCCTTGAGCCTCTAGCTGGAGTTATTGGAGTTTCTGCAGGGAAGCCCTGCCCAATGAGGAAGGATAGGTCAGGGTTAGGCCTGAAGAGGCACGCTGGCCTCAGACTGCCACAGCCAGTGTGTTGGGCTGTGGGGACAAATCTTGGGATCAAGCCCTCCAGCCTCCCTGGCTCCAGCATAAAATACTGACTTTCTTAAAGCCAAAAATATTGAAAAGATTTTACCAAAAGCCTCTTCCGCAACAATGGATTAGAGATTGTTTTTCTCACCTCATCCTGCTGAAATCATAACAAAAGGCATTTTATATTTTCAAACAGTCTTTCCTTTCCTAGAATAAGCATACTGTCCCTGAATATACATATATTTCTTTTTCATATCACAATTTAATTTAATTCAGGGAGTATTATTGTGTACACATTGATAGGTGAGATTGTTCTATAGTTTTATGTTTAATTTCATTTTCAAAGATCTGTTAAACCAAAAAAAAAAAAAAAACCAAACATGATTAAGATGTCAAATAACTCAGAAGGGTTCATGTTTAAAAACCACCATATGCTGTTTGGCTTCTCTGCCTTTCAGATCCCGCCCTCACAGGTCATCCATTTCTATTTTTGCTTCTTTGGTGGTTATTTCTACATGTGTAAGTAGTTTACTTAAAGTGCTTTTCTTGACTTATTAACTTAATATGTTGTCTACTGGCTTTCTGCTAAGAAAAATGAGGAATTGCCCTTTTAAATCACTTTCTAGCTTCTGTTATAGTAAATGTTTACTTTTTATGTCTACCACTGGTAATCTTTGCAAATTCAGATGCTATAGTTTACTTCAGCCTCTGCTTCTTGTTCTAGGAACCATCAGGGTCTTCTGGGTAAGGTGAGGAAGACATTGTTGATCTCCCCTTCTCCCAATCACCTCTGTCTTTGACATTGTCATCCTTGTTTTTACGCTTTCATGGCCAAGGTTGGTAATTTTTAGGCTTTTCTCCATAACGATTCTTGCCTTTCATGATTGGTTAGTGTATTAGCTCATTTTCACACTGCTGTAAAGAACTTCCCTGAGGCTAGGTAGTTACAAAGGAAAGAGGTTTAATTGACTCAAGTTCCACAGGCTTAACAGGAAGCATGGCTTGGAGGCCTCAGGAAACTTACAATCATGGCAGAAGGCGAGGGGGAAGCAGGCACCTTCTTACCAGGGCAGCATGAGGGAGTGTGACTGTGCAAGAAAAAACTGCCACTTTTAAAACCATCACATCTCATGAGAATTCACTCACTATCATGAGAACAGCATGGGGGAAACCTCCCTCTGATCCAGTCACCTCCCTTCCTCGACATGTGGGGATTACAGGTCCCTCCTTCTACATGTAGGGATTGCAATTCAAGATGAGATTTGGGTGGGGATACAGAGCCAAACCATATCAGTCAGTTTAATGATTCTAAAAGTTGAAAGTGGATACATAGCTCTTCCATTATTCTTACTGTGTAAATTGTTTCATTGCAAAACCAAACCGTGTGCTAGGATTATATTTCCTTTTCTGCTGGACTCGAGCATATCTTCTCTACCTCTCAAAGGAGAATGCTCCTACCTTTAAGGTTGAAGGGATTCTCTCTTTTACTTACACCCCACTACTTACTTTTATCATAGCATCTGAGCTATCAACTTCTCTTATTTCATGAGAGATCTTACTCACTTCCAGAGCCACCTGTCCTACTGTTCCAATCTTCACTGAATATTAATCATGGCTGTCGTCTGAGATGAGGTGGCTTTTCACAGTTAGTATTACTGGCTTCAGCCCAAGAAAGAAGACTTTTGTGTGTGTGCCAGCTCCCAGCCTGAAAGTTTCCTCCAGACTCATTTTTGTAGATGTTCATAACCCTGATATTAAAATGAAATGAAAAAAAGAGAAAAAAAAAGTTTTCTGTTCAAACAGGACTACATTCTCATATAATTTCCCAAGAAAGAGTAAGTAGTCTTGTGTGGCTCAAAATGTCTGGGTCTAATTTATTTGATAGTTTTGCTGGGTATACAATTTTTGACTAAAGATCACTCTTAAAAATTTGAAGTTATGGTGACATTTCTCCCCAGGATCCAAAGTGGTTGATGAGAAGCCCTGTCAACTCAGCCTCTCTCTTGCCCTGATTGTTTTTGTGAGCCTAAACACTTTTAAAAATCCACTTATGATCATTTCAGAGAGGCCCTAGAAGACAAATATCAGTGATCATTTTGCTTTTTTTGACTGAAAATATTTATTTTTGTACCTTTTTAATTTTATCTTAATATCAGGCTTGGATGAACCTCCTAAGGTGCGTTAGGAAGCAGATGACAACTTCTAAGTTTGACCTGGCAGAAAAAATGTTTCCTTGTTGTGCTGAAGCAAATGTTGTAAACTTACTTTGCTACTGGTTTCCTTTGCCATGTATCAGAACCTCTGATTTTCACCATGGTTTGAGCTTTGCCTCCATCCTTGGTGTTGGCAATCCCTTTAGCTTTAAACTCATCTCTTCAGTCAGTCATCTGACAAACGCTAAGCTCCTTCAGCTCAGCCCTCTACCACACTCTATCCCCCCTACCCCAGTGCTGTGTTTGAACATAAGAGGACACAATTGACCAACATAAATAATTCAGTAGATCCCATACTCTTTAGCTTCTGCAAATGAACGTGCTATGTCTGCTTGGTCTTTACTAAGATCTAAATGAATTCAGGACTAAGCCTTTCAAAAACCTACTACAAAAACATCAGTGAATAGTATAAACTTTAATAAATATTCCTTGTGTGAGATGGAGAAAGTATACCTTTCAGAGGAAACAACTGAAAATTAATATCAGACCATCTTTTTTTCAATGTTCATTCTCACCTGTACCCCCATTGCTTTTACTTAACTCTTCATTTTTCTTACTCAGCATTTGGTCTAGCTTGTTCTATCTCTTTTCTCTCTTCTGTTGTACTTTTTTCCCCTCTGTTATGGAAGGCAATTAGGTTTTGCTTCTGGGTTCTTCCCACAAGCTTGCGTGTTTAAACTAATGTTGGTGTTCAGCAAAATAGGGGCCTTCTGATTGAAAAAACCTTCCTTCTGAGAAGTGAATAAAAATATTTCTTCTAACACATGAAGTTTATTTGCAAGGAGAATTCTTATGAATGACATGCTTGCCATCAATTATAACCACAGAATTCTTGTGTCACCCACCTCCTGATGAAACATGGCACTAAAGATGGCAGTCATGACATTTGCTTCCTTTATAAAATAAATGGAATGTGCTACGTGATTCCTAGGACTGATTTAAGTGCTAACATTTTATAATCCTATAAATTAGATAACTAAGTTCATTACTGCAGAGTAATAACAGCTCATTCATTCATAACTACATTTATTGAAAACATATTCTTCATATAAAATTTGAGAGCTTGCAAAGCAATTTACATATATTATCTAACTTAGTACTTCTAAAAAAATTCATGAGTTCAGTATTATAATTATTATCCCAACTTACTTATGGAAAGTGTGACTCAGATATTTGCGTTAAGATCACTGACAGAAACTGAATTACAGAATTCCTCTTGACAAATACGTAATAGATTGAGCAAACAAGAATACAAGAAAAGAAAAATAAATAAAATTCACCACAACACCAAAACAAGGGAAAGAAAACTATCAAATGCAAGTTTTAAACACTGGTAAGTATGGAAAGAAACAGGAGACACAGAGTGATGTGGAGAGGTATAGCTAGGCTTCTAAATCTTTTTCCCCACCCACCAAAAAGCATATTAGTAACATAGTTTGGGGATTCCTCAATACCAAACATCTAGAGAAAATCAAGTTTACTGGGTATCATTATCCTTTCTCTCATATGATTAAGTAATAAGAAAAAATGGCTTGGGGCCGGGATGGGGGTATAAACAAAGCAAAGGAAGGGGGTTATGGAGGAGGTTAACTTTCTCTAATGGTAGCAAAATCTTCAGGACTGTCTTCTAAATTGAGTAAGATAAATGAAAATAGGGACTACCTTCTCATCAGAAAAGTAAATACCTGCAAGTAGATGTAGTGAATCTGAGTATGGGATATTCACAAAATCTAAAAAGAAGAAACAGATGCCCAGTAATCTAAGAATGACCAAATATCACCTTAGATGAGCTCTCTCCTTCCTTCTCACTGTTTCATTAGGCTCAGAAATCAGACAGAATAAAGAATACTCAATCTTCAAACTTCAAGGGGAAAACAAACTTCCCTGATATGGTAGGAAGAAAGTCAGGTGTCACATATGCTATATATCATAGCAAATGGCATGTCAGGATGGAGCCACCCGAGTGGAGTCACCTAGGCAGAACAAGAAGGTAAGAAATGTCATGGCAACATTAAAGCATACCACAAATACTAATTTTGAAAAAAATAAAGGGAGGAAGAGAAAAGAAACAAGGAAGGAAAGAAGGAAAAGAGGGAGGGAGGAAGAGAGGAAGGGAGGGGGCAAGGAAGGAAGGAAGAAAAAGGAAGGAAGGGATGCAAGCAAGCAGGGGGCTGTAATATACAAGGGCAAGGATTCTAACCTAAAAAAATAACATTTCAGAAACAGAGGTAAATTATTCACAATTGCTTCATTCTATAGAACAATTTGATATGAACACCAGGTCAATAAAGCGAGGGTTCAGGATAATGGAATAAATGGACAGCATGAGATTAATAGGGACAAAAGGAAACAAATTGAGGCCCAAAATAGCATTAATAGGATTAAAGAGCCCATAAATAATGACAGCAAAAAGTGAAACAATACAAAAACAAAATAGAATATACATTGCTGGAAAAAACAGTGTAGAGGGAAGTCTTAACAAGCACATGAATACAGATGAAATAGAGTGGTGAAAGTAGTCAACTGAATATGAACATAAAGAAAGCTAAAGGAGAAAGCAATTTATTCTACAATAGATACAGACATAAAGATATATACTCTAAAGGTATAAACATATAACCTTTTATTTATTCAAATATAACAAAATATAGCTTAGTATAACAACAATAACAAATTATTTTGGCGTTGATTATGCATGAAACATTTATTTAGAGGTTTACATGAATTAATTTTTCACAACAATTTGAGGTTAATACAATTAGTATTCCCAATTTATAGATGAGGAAATTAAGATATAGTTACGTAACTTGCCCAAGGCAACATGTCTAGTATATATAACAGAATTGGGATTCAAAAGAGTAGAATGATGCTATTTTGCCTCTGGATAAAAAAAAAATCCTGAAGCGAATAAATAACTGAATGTGCAAATCAAAAGAGAATGTGTTACAAGCAGCTGAACCATTTTACCTACTCACCAGCAGTGTATAAGGATTCCAGTTGCTCCATATCCTCCCAAAAATTGTTACTGTTCATTTTTGGACTACAGGATTCCATTTATAAGTAATATCTAGAGTACGCAAATTCATAGAGATAGAAAGTAGATTAGAGGTTACCAGACTGGGGCAGGAGAGAATGAAGAGTTATTACTTAATGGTTACAAAATTTCTCTTTGGGGTGATGAAAAAGTTTTAGAAATAAATAATGGTGATGGTTCCAAAATATTGTGAGAGTAATTAATGCTGCCGAATTGTACACTTAAAATAATTAAAATGCTAAATTTTATGTTACATATTGTAGTAAAATAATAATAAAGAGACAATGTATTCCAGGAAAATTTGGTACAGAATGCTAGATACCAAGACATACCCTAGTTAAACTATTAAAACTTAGGATAAATACAGAATTACCCAGTATTCTAGACACAAGAATATCCTCCACAAGGAGAAAAAAAAAGTCAAGTTGTCCTCAGACTTCTCTACAGCAGGATTCAATGTCAAAGATGAAAGAATGGTTATCTAAAAGATTTGAGGGAAAGAAAGCATAGTTCAAGAATATAATAGAATATAAAGCTCACAAGTCATGGTTGTCAAGAGTAAATGTACTCAGGCAGTGTAATATCCATAAGATCTTGACAAAAATACTTAATTACAAAATACAACTAATTAAAAGCAAACAAAAATAAAAGATTCATGAATGCAGACCTCATAACATAAGGATTGATGATAAGTAATGAAACCATATAAATATAGGACTCACAGTAAGCAACTTAGACAATTACAGTTATAGATCAGGGTATGAAGGTTAAAACCTGGGCAGTGTAACAACAGCGGCCACCAACAATTAAAACTGAGAAATTGAGAGAGGGAGGAGAAGTTGAGGGGAAGTGTGATAGTTCTAATACCATATTTGACAGCATGGAGTCATTAGATAAGCTTAACATCAAAATAAATAGTTAAAATATAGTATAATTACTTCAAGCTCTTAATGCTTTCTTCACAATCTGTGTTCTTAAAGAGATCTTTGGGTAAGTATCTCTTGGTAAAGAAGTATTTGAAAGGCTAGTTTTCTTTCAATTTTGTTTTAATTTCTTTTTCTTCTGCTACATACAAGTAAAGACAAATACAGTGTTAAAAAAAAACTTAAAGTGACATATATTTTATCCCACATTTCATAGTATTTATTTCCACCTATTCTTCCGTCCATCCGCCCATCCTCATCCATCCATCCGTCTGTCCTTTTGTCTCTGTGTATATCATAAGATATTTAAAATGATGTTTGCCATATGTTAATGACAGTTATTTCTGGGTAGTGAAACTTAAGATTTTTTTTAAACTTCAATCTTTGTATTTTGCATTTCTTGAATTCCTCAAAATGAATATGTATCATTTCCCAATAACAATAAAGTAATCTTTCTTCTTTAAAAATAAAAAGGGAAAGCAAATATGTTAAGATGTTCACAGTGGTTGAAGCTAGATGGCAGAGTTATGGGTATTTATAATTTTATTCTTTGTAGCTTTCTCAATTTTCTGCCACTTTTAATTTATTAAAATTTAAAGAGCATAAAAGGAAAACAAATGAAGTACAAAGGGGCTTGTTCTAAGTTATATAGTCAGAAAGTGATTGTGCAATGATTTAAACCTAAATAGAAGGACAGGAATTAAGACCTGGGGCGGGTTGGACGGGCAAAGGGGAGAGGCAGCGTCGAAAGACTTCTATGGTGGAAGTAATCTAGTTTTTCCACCATGTGGAAGTGATCTGATTTTCCCCTTTTGGGTGGGAACAGTGTTTCAGTTGCTGGGAAAGTTACTTGCAGTGAATCTGATGCCCACAGTATTGTAGGAATCCTAAATCCACAGGAATCTGGAAATCCTTCCATCCAACCTGTACTTGAACAGATGAAGGACTATAGACACCAGGTATTATTTTATACAATGGTAAGCTTCAGAACTGCGTACTGCTTTTAAGGCAATCTAGTGCAATCCTAAATGCAAACTGAGCTTTGTGTTACGCTGCATGAACTAGGAGTCTCCAGGTCCTGACCAGACCAGTCCCATAGCCGTGGGGTGAGAGCTGATTCAGATTCAATAGATATTTAATTCAGGCTTCCCTTGTGTGTATAAGTGGGCCGGGGCTTTGACTTGTTCTGTCTTATGTAATCACCCCAACATCCAGGTAGGTCATCTTCTCCTCGCACTCTCTTATTTTATTTTATTTTATTTTTTGGTTGATGGAGCCTCACTCTGTCAGCCAGACTGGAGTGTGGAGTGCAGTGGCATGATCTCTGCTCACTGCAACCTCTGCCTCCTGGGTTCAAGCGATTCTTCTGCCTCAGCCTCCAGAGTAGCTGGGACTACAGGTGCACGCTGCCACGCCCAGTTAATTTTTTTGTATTTTAGTAGCGATGGGGTTTCACTGTGTTGCCCAGGCTGGTTTTGAACTCCAGAGCTCAGGCAATCCACCCACTTCGGCCTCCCAAAGTGCTAGGATTACAGGCCTGAGCCACCGCGCCCGGCCCCTACTCTATTTTATTAGTACAAATTTAAGTCTAAGCATGAGGGTAAGTGACATTTACAGAGTCACCCAGTGTAGTTGTAGTGGGGTTGAATCACGGCCCCCCAGCATTGTGCAAGGTGTAATTCCTGGAACTTGTGACTGTGACCTTATGTAGAAAAAAGATCTTTGCAGATGCAGTTGAGTTAAGGATCTCAAGAGGAGGTTATCCTGGATTTAGGGTGGATCCTAAATCCAATGATAGCTGCAAAAGTGAGAGCAAAGCAGAGGGAGATTTGAAATGCGAGGCATGAGGAGAAGACCATGTGAAAACAGAGGCAGAGACGACCTCAGGGAGCACCAGACACCACCACGGGCTGCAAGAGGCAAAGAGGAATTATCCCCTAGAGACTTCCCCCACGGCCCTGCCGACCCACCTTGATTTCAGACTTCTGGCCTCCAGAACTGTGAGAGAATGAATCTCTGTTATCCTAAACCGCCAAGTTTGTGGTAATTTGTTCCGGCAGCCCTAGAAAAGTCATACATCCAATTAGGAAATGGCTGGAAAGGGCTCCAAGCCAGGGTTTCTGTCTTCTGGATTGGTTATCCCTGCTCCATCTCAGTGCCCTTCTCACCCAAATGCCAGTGAGTGAAGAGCAGCCATCCTGATCCGGGAGCCACACCTGGCAGGAGTCACACCTGGCACCTGGAGTCACACCTGGCGGGACAGGGCTGTGTGTCCCTTGCGTTTGTTTCCGGCAGCCCTTTCTCCTGTCCTCAGTCTGGCTCACTTTCCCTGCCAAGCCTCAGAGCAGGTTTGGAGGCCTTGGAGAGGAAGGAGAATTGGGCAGTGACGTGATGATGGCACCAACATCTCGTGCTTGGGCTTTTGATTCAACCCCCTAACTAATCTCCTTGCTGCAGCCACATCCTCTGTGACCCAAGTCACATATTGCTTGTTGATGCACAGCTCCCTAAGTGCTCTCCTATACCAAAGGGTCATGAAGCCCAGAAGCCACGTTTCCCAGATTCCTTCACCTGCAGGGTCCCAGTGAGATCCCACTGATGAGAGATCTGAAAGGTCAAAGAACCAGAGAACAGTGAGCCTCCCTCCGGCAGCTGAGAGCCCCTGCAGGGGTGCGGGCAGTCAGCAGACTTTGAGGTGTGCCCATGTTTGTTGAGCATCTACCCAACAGTCACCCAAGTAGCCAAAACTACAGACTCGACTTTTCCTGTGGTCCTTATACTTAGGGATTTCCTGAGGACTACCTTCCCCACTGACATTCCCCAGCCTCCCAGTAGTGGATAAAGGTCTGAGTCTTTGTATGAAAACTATCTACTTGACGCATCCAGATTAGCTCCTGTTTTTTAGAGGGAACCTTGACAAAGACAACTCATCTCGGTGAAATGAATATTTTATTACGTCCCATTTCTTCTGATAAACACCCATGGGCTCCTGGTGCATGGTCAGCTCCTTAGCTTGACTATCAAGGACTTGCTTTGGTCCTCTTCCTGGGCCTCCACATCCCCTCTCACCAGTCAGGCCAGGACACCAAATGCCTCTGTGCTGTCATAGTCCTGGACTTTCTCGTCCTGTTCCCTCTGCCTGAAATGATCGTTCCTTCTCTACCTGGAATATTCCTGTGTGTTTTTAAAGAACCAACGCAAATGTCCCCTCAAAAATGCCCAGACAGAGCAACTTGCTTCCCCAGACCCATTGTCACTGTTGGATTCTCTGGGATTCAGAATCAGAGATGGAGATGAGTGTTTATTAGGATGTTTATTGGAAATTGCCCCCTGGACTAGCAGCTATGGAAGGGAAGGAAGGGATGAGCAGCAGGCTGCGGGAGGAAGTGAGTTGACGCAGACCTCAGGACATCATTAGCCAACTCCACGGGGAGCTAAAATGGCCCGTCCGAGTCTGCAACGGGCAGGACTGGCTGAGGCTTTCAACCCTAGCCTCCATCAGTTGCTGGATGTGCAGCTCTCAGAAAGGCAGACCTTGGGAGTACACTCTGCAGCTGACACAGTCCCTGGAGGGGCTACTGCTAAAGACTGTGTGCCTAAGTGCCCTGGCAGCTGGGGAGACAAGTTTCTTTAAAGAGAGACCTGGGCAGGGCATCACCAGATGCACCATACCCATTTAGAGCAAGATGTCTTCAAGAATAAAATATTTATTCTGTGTCTCTGCATGCTTGGTACCAAGTACATAAAGCTTGCTCAGTGAATGTTTAGCGGGCACATAATTAGTAAAAGAATGAATGAATGAGTGAACAAATGAATGGATATAAGGGAGTGGAAGAGATTGAAGCCCGATTAAGCAGGAATTTCTTCAAATAATTTCTATACAAGTAGAGAATTTTCGCCCACACCTGTTGTCTATGCTTTTGGCCCTGGGTCGTAGTATATCAATTTTGGTCAGGACAAGGGAAAAGTGGGGCATGGCTTAACCCTTGGTGTAGGTGGTAAAAAAAATAACCAGAAAATCCCAAGAAGTAGATAAAGCATTGGATTTATGTGTTTGAAATGAGACAGTGCCACAGAGAGCACAGGGCTCGGGAACTCTTTCCACCATACACAGAGTCCATGGTGGAAATAACCTTAAGAGACTTTGGGAATCCCAACCTCTTGCAGTTTCCCTTAAAAATTCCCATGAGAACAGCACAAAAGCATCAGATCATAGCAACACTGGAAAGTGAGACAGGTGAACTTTTGACAGAATCTGGGAGAGTTTTCCCTCAACTCCAAGGCTAATAGGAATGGTCGGAAAAACAGAGCTCAGCCACCTATGCCGTGCCACTAACAAAAGGAAGATGTGCATCCATCCTTCTCTGTCCCTCTAGTAGAAGATAAAGGTCTGTACCAATCTAAATGGGACAGACATCCCTTTACAGCATGAAGAGGACTTTCTGAAGCACTTAATGTTCTATTGTTTTCCTCCCACCTTTCTTTTCACATCCTGCTCAAGGCTGAAACTCACAAATACAACAGGGCAAAAATTATCAGAGACATTGTGGCAGCGCATTGCATCTTGGAAGGTGTCGTTTTCACAAGTGCAGTGCTATAGGTGGGCTGGAAGGAATACTTCTGTGGATGGTGGTTTTTCATGTACACCATCTGTTCATAGTGTCAGAGAACCAGGCAGTGAGTGACAGAGAGGATCCAACCCCTGTCCTTCTGAATCTCATCATAGTTAATAATAATGGCTAACATTGATTGAGAATTTAGTATTTGCCTGGTACTAAGTCAGAGGTCAGCAAACTACAGCCTATGCATGGACCCCTCAGCTGCCTGTTTTTGTAAAGCTTTGTTGGAACACAGCCTCATCCATCCATCCATTTATCCATTGTCTCTGCAGTTGTCACACCCCAACAGTAGAATTGAGTAGTTGTTAACAAAAACTTTTCGGCCTGCTAAGCCTAAAATATTGACTCTCTGGCCCTTTATGGAAAAAGTTTGTCAGCCTTTCTACTATTACCTGTATTAATTCAGTTAATCCTCAAGCTTAACTGAGGATCCTGTAAGGTTTGGGTTTTTTTTTTTTTTTTTTTTGAGACAGAGTCTTGCTCTGTCGCCAGGCTGGAGTACAGTGGCTCAATCTTGGCTCACTGCAACCTCCGCCTCCTGGGTTCAAGTGATTCTCCTGCCTCAGCCTCCCAGGCAGCTGAGATTACAATCGTGCGCCACCATGCACAGCTAATTTTTATATTTTTAGTAGAGATGGGGTTTCACCACGTTGGCCAGGATAGTCTTGATCTCCTGACCTCATGATCCACCTGCCTTGGACTCCCAAAGTGCTGGGATTACAGGGGTGAGCTACCGCACCTGGCCAGGTTTGTCTTTTTATTATCTCCATTTTACAGATTGGGAAACAAAGACAGAGAAAAATCTATGTAATTTGCCCAGGGATGCACTTTAGGAAATGAGAGGGCTGGGTTTTGACTGCAGGGGTGTGGCTCCAGAGCCTGCATCTTCATTGCTGTGCTGTGCTCCTAAGAACAAGGCTGTAAGATTAAAAAAAAAAAAAAAAATCTTCCCTATATTAGGAATTAGGGTGTGAGATATACCTATCTACCTGCCTTCCAAGTGTATATTCAAAAAGAGGATTTGACAGATGAGGGACAAACATGCTATCCTTGTTCTTTTGGCAAAAGATGAGAAGCACCGGTCCACAGTATTTAGAAGGGAATAGGTCGAGACTCAATAAATTGCATATGGGCACGTGATCTATACTATAAAAGTGATGCAGCATCAGAAATGCACAGGCTCAGAAAATACACCATTCATAGATCCTTCCTGGGGAAATAATCGTTGCAAAGGTACTTCAGAGCCTCGAAAGATGAGCTAAAAATCAAGAATTTTAAAAGGGGTAATCATGGCATGAAAAACTGGCATGCATTCCCTGGGGGGCGTCTACAGGAGCCCTATTCAACTTGTTTCAAAGCTCTTGAGGAGCATTTTCATCTCCGCAAACTGTCTCTGATGAAGTATCTTCACTGTTTTGTTCACAGCTGTACTCCCGGGGCCTACAACAGTGCCTGGTGTGGAGCAGGCACTCAATATACATTTGTTGTGAAACTAACCTGCAACATCAGTGAACAGGCAGCCCTGTTGAAGGGGTGCTTGCTCCTTTCCCATTGGAATTTGGATATAGCTTCAATGCAGACAAGGCCACTATAAACTGTTATCCCCCATTAAGCCTCTTCTTCAGGAAAAATTTACTAACCACAGTCACAAACCCAAGTAAATGCCATAACTCCTTGGAAAGCACTAACCTATGCCAGCAAATGAGACTGTAAGGAAATACCTCAAGACATGTGTGGCTGTCTTTCCGTGAGGACTTGTCACTCCTCCTTTCTACTTTTCTGTTTGTTTCCCCATGTATTGTTTTATAGTTAAAAAGAATATTTTCCCATGCTCCCTCTAAATATGATATTCCGTCATCTCTACAGAAACCCTCCTAGGACTGCCTTAGATAACTCTTTGGGTGATGAACACAGTAGGGCTCTAGAAAGCTTATTAGGAGTTAAATTCTGTTCCCACCAAATTCATATGTTGATGTCTTCACTCCCAGTATCTCAAAATGTGACCTTATTTGGAAGTAGTCATTCTAGATGTAATTAGCTAAGATAAAGCCATATTGGAGTAGGGTGTGCTCTGAATTCGATGTGACTGGTGTTTTTTCCTTAACAAATGGAGACAGATGCACACAGGGATAAACCATGTGAATCTGAAGGCAGAGATAAGGAGGAGGGGTACATCTACAACCCAAGGAATGCCAAAGATCGCCAGCAAACCACCAGAAGCTAGGGGAGGGCATGGAACAGATTCTCCCTCACTGGCCTCAGAAAGAACCAACCCTGCTGACACCTTGATCTCAGGCTTTCAGCCTCCAGGACTGTGAGACGATCAACTTCTGTTGTTTCAGCCACTCACTTTGTGGTCTTTGTTATGGCGGCTTCAGGGAACCCATTCAGCTCATTGCTTCCCTGGCAGTTGTCAGCACTAGAGCTGCCTCTACTTCCTGATTTTGTCTTGTTCTCTTTCCATCTGGGTCTAGGTTCTACTGCAGGGCTTGGTGGAACTGACAGAGACAGTATCTTTGGTGGTCTAGAGTGCAGAGACCACTTGACTGGATGAGGTGGACAGCAGCAAGAGGAAGGGGAACCCAAGAGATGGTTGGGGTCTGCATTGTGGTCAAGGGGGATAGTCCAAAGTGCATTTTGGTACAAAAAGTGGGACAGGGGAGGAGGGCTAGGGATGGGGAATGGGAGAAAGGTAAGACTGAAATAGGAAACTAGCTTTGCAGCTGAGAGGATGGGGGCAGGTGGAGGAGTGAGGGATGAAAGGGGAAGAGTGGGTTCAGGATGAAAACCGTAGAAAATCTAGGGGTTCAGGTGCTTGATTTCAAGAGGCCTCAGTTGATGGACATATCCTAGTGGCTTCAAGGACTCAGAGGGTCTGGGAGATGCCTTCTGTGTCATTTCTGTGAGTCGTCATTATCTCCTGGTGTCCATTTCCTACCTCCTGGCACACCAGGGCAACTATGGTGCCTCAGCAATAAGGACCGCACTCCCAGCTGGCCCTCACTGGGGTAGGGATTGGAGTCCTTTCCAGAAGTGCATGTGGGAAGGCAGTTTCAAGAGAGACAATGTAGGGCAGTGGTCAAGAACACAGGCTAGGCCAGGCGCGGTGGTTCACGCCTGTAATCCCAGCACTTTGGGAGGCTGAGGCGGGCAGATTGCCTGAGGTCAGGAGTTCTAGACCAACCTGGCCAACATGGTGAAATGCTGTCTCTACTAAAAATACAAAAATTAGCTGGGTATGATGGCACATGCCTGTAATTCCAGTTACTTGGGAGGCTTAGGCAGGAGAATTGTTTGAACCCTGGAGGCGAAGGTTGCAGTGAGCCGAGATCATGCCACTGTACTCCATCCTGGGCAACAGAGCGAGACTCCTTCTCAAAAAATAAATAAATAATAAATAATTAAAAAAGCACAGGCTCTGGACCCATGCTACAGTGCTGTGGAATCTGGTAACCTGTCCTGTCCCTTCTTGGGAAAAGCAGGGAACATCCAGTGGACAGGAACTGGCATGATCGCCAGGTTATTGTGGTCTACCCTGATAGGCTGAGGCTCAGGCAACCTGTCTGGGGAAAAAAAGTGGTTCTCAAACTTGAGTGGGTGTCAGCATCCCCTGGGGGACCCAGATGACTGACCCCACTCAGAGTTTCTGGTCTAGTCAGTCTAGCTTGGGGCCCAAGGATTTACTTTTTGAGGGGTTCCCCATGACGTTGATGTATCTGGCTCAGGGCCACACTTGGAGAACCACTGGCAAAGAGAGATGTTCCTTGTTGTCAACAGCATGGAGATGTTCCATGGCTTCCTGGTGCCTTCTAGGCCCGCTGCCTCTGTGGACAGTGAGACTGGGACCTGCCTTACCCTGCTGAATTCCAGGGTCAGTTATCTCACTGTTGTAGTCGAAGATCTGCATGAGGGCTCAGAAATGCCGCTTCTGCCACTGATGATCATGGTAGCTAATTCTCAACATGTCAGGTACTATTCTAAGCGTGTAACATACAGACACATTTAATTCACGTAACAAGCCTAGGAAGCATGTACAACTTTTGCCATCATCACCTCCATTTTTCAGATGGAGAAACTGAGGCTTATAGATGTTAAGTATGTTGCCCAAGGCCACACAGCTGAGAGCTGACAGAGCTGGGATTTGATCTGGCAGTTTGAGTCAACAGTCCATGCCCTTATCTTTCATTGTTCCACTGATCATGCAGGAGAAGGGAGGCAAGAAATGACCCTTGTAATGTTGGACAAGTTATCTGGCCTCTCTTTGCCCTCATTCTTACTTCAAAAAAGGAAATAGCTTTTCCAATCTTAGAAGAAAAAAATACCTTTACGTTAAAAAAATAAGCTGTCAGGATTAATTGGATAACAGCTGTCAAAGTCTTGTAGCTCCTTAGAGGATGGTAAAATAGGAGGAATAATTATTGTGCTATTTTCTTTGCAGACCTTAGTACATTTGGGGGAGTCAATAAGTGTCTAATTATATTCTTGGTAATTAGCAGTGATGGAAAGAAAATGGCTCAGGCTGTTGGAGTTGGGCAGAGGGAGAGTCTTCATGTTTAATGGCCAGTGGCCAAGACCTCCTGCCCCTGAGAGAGGTAGGCAGGGCGTGGCCCAGGGTAGGAGGTAGTTTAACAAGTTAGCACCCCTGTGGTAGCACCATTTGTTGATTCGCCCAAATTTTTGGGCCCCTGCCCTATCAGGGCTGGGGAATTAGAGACCAGCTAGTCCAGTGGTTATCAAAGTGTGGTCCACAGATCAGTCCCATCAGCATCACTTAGAAACTTGTTAGAAGTGCAGATTCTTGGACTCCACCCCAAATCTACTGGGTATGGGACCCGGCACAGTTTAACAAGCTTTCCAAGTAATTCTGATGCACACTGCGATTTGGGAACCGCTGTTTCAGAGGGAAATGATACTGATCTTGGAGTCAGATACACCTCAATTTGAATGCTGGCTCTATCACCCTTTGGCTGTGAGACTCTGGGCAAATCAGGGCACCTCTCTGAATATCAAGTTCCTTATATATAAACTGAAGGGTGAGAGGTTAGAGAGGTGGTCTCTAAGGCACTTGCATTCTGTCTGCAATTTCTTTTAGCCCCCCCACAAGGCAGAAACTGTCTTGTTCCTTGGCTTTGAAACAGGCTATTTCATCTGCATGGAACATTCTTTCTGTTCCCTTTTCCCCTGTCTGACACCTACATAACTTAGACCTCAGCCTACAGTTTATTTGCTCCAGAAAGTTGTAGGTGTTTTCTTTTTATACTTCTTCCCCCAAATCAAGTCTGGGTTCTTGCCTTGTCATAGAACTTTCCACATTCCTGTAATGGCTCTTTAGAAGTCTGTAATCTCTAAGAGGATAAAAACTCTTCCATGCTGACTGCTGTTCCCCTAGTGTCAGACACATAGTAGGTGCACAAATAATACTTGTGGTTAGAACAAATTTTATTAACTTGATGAAATGCTTGGCTTTGGTGGATTTCATAAGGAGACTGGTGGAGGGGTTAGCCTTCATGAATGGAACCACCTTGGGGAAACTGAGGCATAGAGGTACCAGTGGAGTTAGGGATGCAGTGGCAGAGAGAAGCCAGGGGAGAAAGCCAGCTCCAGTAGTTGAGGATTTGAGGGGCGGGTGCTGTGGAACTGGGGGCGATCTTTAGCAGACCTCCATGGGACCCCTTCCACCTGGTATCCGCGTTAGATGGTGTGATACACGCACCTTCAGTGCTTGCAGCATGGGCTACTAGTGAAGAGCAAAATAATGTGATGGCATCTGGGCAGCACACACGGTAATAAGTCACTCCTAGTATCCCCAGGGCAGGCATTTTGCAAAGCTCAGAGTAACTCTTAGCTTCTGTTTATTATTTATTTATATATTTATCTTGGACAGGGTTATGGAGCTCTTTGAGAAATAGATGGATGCTCTCCCCAGGAAGAAAAAAAGAGCACAAAGACACAAACATTCCCCACTGTCGACCTTGCCACTCACTGGGTATGTGAGGAGGTTGCTTTCAGACCCAGTCGTGGTAAGGGAGATAAAAGCCTCAGGTGAGGGGAAGGGTAGACTTAAATACTTGATGTCTCTCCCAGCCCTGGCATTTTAAAGCTTGGCAATAATAGCGATGACCCAATTTAGTAATGTGAAGGCAAGACGGCACCATTTTAACAGGATTAGTCATCTCTTCTTTTTGCTGTCTTTTCTCCCCCTTTCCATTTGTGTCTTTTCCCATTGCAAATATACGAGGTAATAATCCAGTATTTTCTATGGAGCATGGCAAACATGCTATATATAAGACACAGTTGAACATTCTGTGAGTGTAATTGGAGCATAAATGTAACTAATCAAAATATTATCATGCCAACGGATGTGTGAAGAGTTTGGAGATTTAAAAATATATATATTTTAGTTCCATGTCATTTCCATTTAGAGCTGCAGAAGCAAGGGACTCAGCCCAATGAATGTCAAGAACAATTTGGGGTCTGACAATGTTCCCAGCAGCCCTGTTGTTCTCTTTACTCTTAATATGGCAGCAGCTTGACAACTGACTTAATTTTTGTTCGTTCTTTCCATTCTTTACCCCTCTTCCTGCATGAACCAGCTCCCCAGCGCAAGGCCAGCTAACTCCAGGGAGTTGATGATCACTCCTTGCCATCAAACACAACGTGCCCACATGTGGTGTGCAGCCTAGCAGCTAAATGAGAATTATAACTTCCTAGGTTTGAATCCTGGCTCTGCTACCAGCTGTGTGGCCTTGAAAAAGTCACTTAAGCTCTCTGTTTCTCAGTTTTCCCAACTGTAAAAGAAGAATGATAGTAGTCACTACCTCATAGGGTTGATATAAGAATTAAACAAATGAATCTTAAGTAAAACATGATGGTATGTGTTGGCTGTTGTTATTGTTAAGAAGAGGAGTGACTGAGAAGATAAATAAATTCTCATGAGAACACAAAAAGTACTGCATTTCTTTGGGAACAAGACCCAAGGAGAAAGATCTTTCCTTCCCACCCCTTCTTCAGAGAGAGTCTAGGTAGAAAATCCAAGCCAGCCTGGGCTCCTGACTTACCACTAACTAGTCAGGTAAAGTCGCTGTAAAGTCTTGGAAACAGACTTCTGTAGCTGGAAGGAACTTTAAAACCTCTACCTGTATATATACCTGTTTTGCACGTGAAGAAACAGACAGAATTCTTGCTTACGGGGCAGTGTGTGGTTAAAATGGGTGCATAGGAAGAGGTGAAGAGTCTGAAGGGAGAGTAGCATTATCTGACCTTCAGTTTCATCTGGACTTTGCCAAATGAATTGTCTATTTCCAACATCAAAGAGCAAATCGGTCAAGACCTTATGTTTTACAGTTTATGTTGCTGAGTTGTCATTCTGTTGTGTTTTGGGTTCCATTGTTTTTCCTACAATAACATTTAGTTTTGCTCCTGGGAGATTGAATTGAATTGTTGGGGAAGGCAAGTTATGAAGTAATAAAGGGAGACGCAGGTCCCAGTATGCCCTGCAACATTGTCCCGGGGTCTGTTTTCATCACATCATCATTGGAAGGACCAGAAGAAGTATGCTGGGTAAAAAGTCTTTATTTTCACTTTTGCTTTTGTTTGGGAGGTCAGGAGGGATGCAAGCTTATGTAGGGGTTGCGTGTAGTTTACATGTTATTCTGCTTTGTCTCCATAATCTTTTGCCTCTTCTCTCCCCCTGCTCAGTACCCCTTCCCTCGCCTGCAGTTCATGTCTCCTGCTTCTCCTTCTGCCTCTTTCCCTTGTTCCCCTTCCTCCCTTCTTCCCTTCCATCCATCCTCTTCCCCTTTTCCCTCCTTTCTTCATCTTAGTTTTCATTACTCTTTTGTTTTCTCCTTCTTTTCTTTCTTCTTCCCCTTCTCCATTCCTTCTTTGTCTTGTGTCTCTCCCTCTTCCTCTCTGCCTTCCTTTTTTTCTCAGAAAGTGTAAAAGAATGCAGGCGGCTAGGGATTTGGTCTTTGAGGAAAAGACCCACGTGCACACAAACTCCCTGCCTGACTCTGCTTGCATTAGGGTATCCAGCACCGGTTAGCAGAGCCTCTCCACCAGTGCGCCTTCAAATCCAATCACTGGGGGTTAATACCATATTTAAACGACATTATCCACAGCTACATGGATTATTAGATAGTTGTTTCTTCAAAAATTGCCTTAACAAATTTGCATATGAAATGCTGAAACCCCAACTTACCGGTCTGAATGAATGGTTACAGAAATGCTTATTACTTGTTCACGCAAAGTGACAAAATGTTCACAATATTCAATTCCTTTGAAGTTTCAGGATGTATCTTTTTTTTGTTTTAAATAGGTATTATATATCCATTAAGTTCCAATTAACACCACCTCCCCATTTTCTGGTATATTAGAAAAGCAGCAGATTTCTTTTTTTTGACACTTGATAATTAGATTGCTTTCATAGATAATAAGAATAATGTTGAATGATATGTTTATTGGTATGGCTATTGGTCTATTGTTATGTTTGCAATTGGCTTGATGATTACTAGTTTTCATGGTAATACTGGTAGCACTATCTGCTTCTCTTGCACCTACATTTTCTTACTTGAAAGTGCATTGTGCCTTTTGATGTCTTTGTGCCACTTTCACTTTTATTATGACTAGATAGCTAAATTTCATCATTATGGACTTTTAAATTAGATCCTGTTTAAAATACCTATAATGGAAGTATGCACTCTGAAGTATAGGAACAACAATTCAGAAGTGCCTGTTTCCTGGACATTAGTGAAAGCCATGTAGGGAAAGTGATATTTAAGTAGTTTAATGAAGGACCATGGCTGAGCTGGGTGGCGTGGATTTCAGGAAGGGTATCACCTGGGCAAAAGCCTAGCAGCAGGGACATGCGTAGGATGTTTGAAGTGTGTATTAGTTTCCTATTGCTGCTGTAACAAATTACCACAAATTTAGTGGCCGAAACCCCACACATTCTAATCTGGACATCAGAAGTCCTAAGTGGGTCACACTGGGGTACATTCAAGGTATCAGGGCTGCATTCTTTTCTGGAGGCTCTAGGGTAGAGTTTGTTTTCTCACCTTTTCTAGTTTTTTTCTGGCCACCTGCAGTTTTTGGTTCATGGCTCCTTCTTTCATCTCAAAGTAAGCAGCATAGCCTCCTCAGATAGCTCCTCAACTGTGATTCTGACTCTCCTGGCCCCCTTGTCTACCTAAAGGACCCTTGTGATTACATTGTGCTCAGCTGGAAAATCCAGAATAATCTCCCCATCTCAAGCTTATCTGGTTAATAACCTTAATTCCATCTGAACCTTAATTCTCTTGCCATGAAAGGTAACATATTACAGGTTTCAAATATTAGGATATGGACATCTTTGGGAGGCCCTTATTCTGTCTACCACAAAGTGGCCGAGGACTGTGTTTGCGGGGGAGGGTGGGAGAGATAGTCTTCATATAAGAGGCAGGAGGGGTGGGGGTCAGGATGTGTAAGGCTCCACATATTCTCATGAAAGACCTTGGGCTTTATAGGAAGTGGGGAATTTCCTATAAAGGAAGACCTCAATGGAAGTCGAGAACATGTCACGGTTGGCTTTGTATCTCAGAAAGATGGTGCTGAGTACTGTTTTATTGGATGGTGAGAGAATCAAGGACTAGACTGCTTAGGAAGTCGTTGCAAAATAAACAGTTTCTGACACAAATGCCATGGACCTGAATTAGGCCAGTGCCAAGGGAGTGGAAAGGAAGAAGATGGTCAGAGAAACAAAAGGAGGAGGCATCCCTGGACCTTGATGCCTTATCAATTGTGGGAGGTGGAGACGGGGCAGCAGATTTTACTCTGCCTCTCAGTGGATTTCTTACTATTTTCTTCTTCAGTCTATTAAGGTCTCCCTGCTACACTGAAACAAAACTTTAGGGGTATGGGAAAGATAGAAAAGAAGCTGTTTTTGAGGACCTACATGCAGCGATACTTATCTACGCACTTTATAAATAGTAGTTGTATTAATCCTCATGGATTACATGAGGCCACAATATGAGATGTGTTTTATAACCATTTTATAGAAGATGGTACTTGAGAGTCAAAGAGTTAAGTGACTTGTTTAAGATCATCAGAGAGAAGAGATGTATCTTGGGTTCCAGTTTATCCCAGGGACCCCTTGTTAGAAGCATCCTACATTGTCCTTGCTCACCAGGGCTTGGGCCTCAACAAACAGTTGTTGAACTGCCTGTCAAAGCTGAGGCTGGGAATGCCCAACGTGTGTGCACATACTTCTCCTAAGTCATGTGACATGTAGAATGCCTAGGACTTCTATGCTTCTGCTTCCTGAAGGCAACATATGCTCTTTTCCCTCTTAAATAGCTATCTGGGAAACCACTTCTGTGGCTGTACAGCTCGGGCAAGGAACGGCAGAGTTGTCTGCGGTAGAAACTGAAATCGGAGTCGGAAAATCTGAGTCTAAATCTTCATTGTGTTGGTTGACCTTGGCCAAGTTACTTGTTCCCTACTGGAGTTTATAAAATGAGTAGGTTGGGTTAGTTAAGTTCCTGTGACTCACTTGGATGTAATTTGTTATGCTTTGGTAAGTAATCCACAACTTCAAGACCAGTGCTATCCAACAGAAATTTCTGTGACAATGGATGTATTCTACACCAGCACTGTTCAATATGGTATCCACCAGTCATGTATGTCTACTGGGCACTTGAAATGTGGCTAGTATCTCTAAGTAAATGATTTTTTTCTACTTAATTTTAATTATTTTAAATAGGCATATGGCGTTATTAGCTACTGGTTAGGAAAGTGCATTCCTAGACCCTGTAGTCTCTGCTTTCTAAGAAGGAATAATTGGTTTGAGTATTTATCACTTTCTGGCTATGTGGCTTTAAGAAAATGACTTTACCTCTCTGTTCCTTCGTATTCCTTGCTTTAAAACAGAGATTGCATGGCACCACCTCATTAGGGTGCTAAACAATGCTTAGATCAATGCCTGGCACATAATAAGTTCTCAATAAACATAAGGTTTTATAAACGGCATTGGGCTCACTGTTACCTGCTGTTGGCTATCTGTTATAAAATTAGCATTTATTAAGTACCGTTTTTACTTAATATTCACTGAAAACAAACAACTTTGATCTGTAGGTTTCATTATCCCATTTTATAGATGAGGGCATTGAGGCCCAGGGAATTTTACTGACTTGCTCAAAGTCACACAACTAAGAAATGCCAGAAGCTGGAGTGAAACCCAGCTTACTTAACTGAAGATCCAGAACTTGTTTCATGTCACCACAGCTGCTTGGCTTTTGGCAGCATTTGAGGCCCCACCAGCATCCATTCCCTTCAAGTAGGTGCTGGCACTGGGAGCTGGCGGGGCCACCTGTCTGCAGGGACCATGCTGAGCTCTTGGTGCCCAAGGCCCTCAGCTGCCAGTCGCCCGAGCACACTCATGTAATCTTAATGAACAATGTGCAAAGCCATTAAAAACTCAATTAGGACTTTCTTTTTACTGCCGACGTGAGGAAATGCAATCCTGAGGTGCTCATGTGTAAACACAATAGCCACCATCTGCTATGGAGAAGCATTTTGCCTCCAAAAAGGAGATCTGTGTTGCAGACACATCAATAACGAGGCGCTTATCAAGGCATTATTATGCACGAAGGGGAAAAATGCAAAATTTATGGCCAGCCAGAGAGTACTTCCTGGTTTAATTCCACAATTTTCAGTGCTATGTATAATAACTATGAGGAAACTAATGCTGTTTTATGTTCCTTATCACGTTAGTAGATTTTTTTTTTTTAAGGGAGAAGGGAAAAGAATGTATTTACAGTCTTTCTCTTTCTTGTTTCTGACTGATCTTGGCGTAATGACCGGCTCATTTTTGATCTCCAGGAAACTGACAGCCCTGGGATGATATTAATTATGCCAACCTGTTGATCAAAGCGGGCCCCACAGAGCTGATGATATACAAGGGTTTTCACTCCTGAGCAATCTCTAGTGGCGCGCTTGAGCTCAACTCGCAGATAGGCTCCCTTCCTTTCTGGAGGGTGTGGTCAGACCTATATAAGGTGGGCTACATGTGGAAGGGGCTAGAGATGGCCGCTGGATCCCACCCCCCACCCCCAAGACCTTACACTAGCATTGCTGGATGCTTCTGTGCCTTTGCCTAGGCTATTCTATTTCAAATGCCTCCCAAGTTACCACCAAGGCTTGCTGCTCTTAATGATATCCTTAGGTAGCCTGTCTTGCAACTTTGCTTAGTAGCTACTGTTTCACATCTTATTGCCTTAAATAAAGGGACTTGTAGCTGAATAATAGTTTATTCCCTTTTTACTTAAAATCCAAGATGAGTGCTCCTAATAGGTGAGTAGCCTTCTGTGTGGTTGTGCTCATTCAGGGAACCTGGCTTCTTTTATGGTGCACTGCCCTCTCCTAGGCTCTTGAGCTCTGGGACATTCAGCTGGTAGATGGGAAAATAGAATGGGCCAATGATTCTCACTGCTTTATGTACATGCCGATCACCTGGGGATCCTGATAAACTGCAGATCCAAACTCAATAGGCCTGGGGGTGGATGTGAGATTCTTGTTTCTCACAAGCTCCCAGGTGATGCTGGGGTGGCTGGTCCAAGGACCAGTCTTTGAGAGGCAAGATCATTTAGTATGGAGGTGTGGGGGTGAGAGGGAGGCAGCTTTTACCAACCAGGCCTGGAAAGTGGCACACATCATACTCATGCCCCATTATCTAGAACTCAGTTGCATGTCCCTACCAAATGCTAAAGGGAGGCTGGAAGACATAGTCTAGCTGTGTGCCCAGAACAATGTTACAGGGTTGTGCATGAAGCTACATGGAACAGGGCAATCTCTACCTCCTCAGCGAGCCTGCCCTGCTACCGAAGCTAGGATGGAAAGAAGTGGGATCATGAACTGGTGGAAGGAAAACCTTCCCAACTCTCTCTACAGTGGATTGTAAGGAGCCAAGGGTACATGAGCCCGTGGCGTGAATTGGCAGGAGGACAGGAGCTGAAATGTGCATGCGGGTATCATGGGATTCAGAGAGGAGAGAGACACTTTGCTTCTCAGGCTGCTGCCTCTGCTGGGAGATGTGCTACTCCTCAGTGGCAGAGGCAGTCACAAACCCTTTGTGGGGCTTGTGAGTTGCTACTTACCTGTCCAAGGAAACCTTTTGGAACCCTGTGGCATGTAGGCCAGTGGACAGATATGGGCATGGATGCAGGCTCGGTCTCATCTCTAAGCCTCAATTTCTGCCCCTATAATTGCTCCTTTTTAGCTGCCCCCTTGCGAGTTTATGATAATTCAATAACTTCTCTGACATAGAGACATTGCTCCACTTACCTTGTGTTACTGCACGGCCATAAAACTGGGACGCCTTACTCAGAAACACCAGGCAAAGACACCCGCACCTTTGTTCCACTTCCAGTGGCTCCTTCCCCAGGAGGTGCTACATTTTCCGAAATCATGACTTTTGCGGCAATATGGATGGAACTAGAGACAATAATCTTAAGTGAAGTAACTCCAAAACAGAAAATCAATACGGCATGTTCTCACTTATAAGTGGTAGCTAAATAATGCGTACACATGGACGCAGAGTGTGAAATGATATTCACTGGAGGCTTGGAAGAGTTGGAGGGTGGGATGGGGGTGAGAGATGAGAAATTACTTAATGGATACAATATACATCATTTGGTTGCTAGTCAAACTAAAAGCCCGGACTCTGCCACTATGCAACATATCCATGAAACACAGCTGCACTTGTATCCCTTATATTTACACACAAGTTTTTCTCATTGGTAGGATGGCGAAAACCTGATAGCCACTGGTTCAGGTTTCTCTGTGCTTTTCACCTGGCTACCTTTTGGTACAAACCCACCCAACTATCCTAAGTGGTCATCCCAGTAAGACAACTGTGGCCCTAGGGATCTGGGCACAGTTGGAGGGTGGGTCCATGGCCATCCGCCTGCTCTGCATGGTGGTTCAGGGGAAACATGCAGAAAGTCTAATTTGGCCGTAAGTCCAAGTTACTTTGTGAATAATAACGTGGAGGTTTTGAACTCCTCTCTCTCTGTCTCTCCCTTTCTATCTCTCTCATGTCTGTTTTTAAATTCACTCAGAACCTGAAGGAGACAGGGTTTGATTGGTACCTTCTAGAATCCCAAGAAGTTATGGGTTTCCCAGCACTTATTAACTGGGAGCTGTTAGTCTTTTTGGTATTAGGGTGAAAGAATGAGGTGACTTTTAGCTATTGAAGTAGCTCAACTTGGCTGAGGATAAGTGGTCTTAAGGTTTATTTTTGAATTGAAGATTTTAGTGGTTTTCTAGGTGGAAACTGTCCTTCTAGAATCAACTGAGTTTATCTGCAGTGTTCCATGATGCAGTTTATTTCATAGAATCATAAGACTCTAAGTTCAGCCCTCCCAGTTGCTTGTGAAATTTCCTTAATCATCTCTTTAATTTGTCTAGGCTCTGTTTTGCCACCTGCTTTGGTGGGGACTCACTTTGTCTCTGGCCAGTCCATTCTATTTTGCACCAACTTTACTTGTTAGAAAGTTATTTGTACACTGAACTGAAATTTACCCCCTCATGGTTTCTTTCATGAGTCTGCCCTCCCAGGCAGCTTTATCAATAAGCTATTGTCACAATAAAGCTGCATGACACACTGAAAAGAAACTCACTGGCAAACAACAATAAGCGTTTATTCTAGCTCTCATGGAACTGTGCATTGATTGTAGATTGGCTGATCTAGGTTGGGCTTTTGGGCCATGTGGCTGTGATTCCAGCTGCAGGGGTGGCATGGCTTGGTTCTTTAAGATCAGTTCAAGTCAGGTGTCCTCCATGTGTGTATTCTTGATCCCAAGCTGAAAGGGGCAGCAGCTACTGGGGGCACATCCTTTTCATGAAAGGTAGCAGTAGTGCAAGACGGCAAGCCCAGCAAGGCAAGCACATTTTAACCTTTGCTTGAATCATTCTGTTAGCATCCTATTGACCAAAACAAGTCATATGGTGGAGCCCAAAGTCAAGGGATGGGGACATACCCTCTGTTTCTGCTGGAAGGAACTGCAAAGCCAGTGGCAAGGGACATGGATCCAGGGAGGGATAAAGAATTGGAAACAACCATTTAATTTGTCAAAGCAACTCAAAAGAGGCTCACTTCGTCCTACAAGGAAACTTTTTGAATGCTTGGAGATGTTTTCTGCAAACAGTAATAGTAGCTATGTTTTCTGCAAATAGCAATAGTAGCACGTTGTAGAAATACTTCATACATGTTACCATCTCTTAATTCTTAAAACCACCTTATTGAATAGATTTTTTATACCCAATTACAGAAGAGGATACTCAGGCTCAGAGAGATGTGGCTTTTGCAGGGTCACCCAGACCCTTCTAGAGTGACTTGATCTCTGGCCACTCCTCTGGCCACCATGTTTATGGGTGTGACTGATTTTCAGAAGGATTTTCTTACTTTCTCTTTGTCTCTACTTCCCACCTGCTTTGTGGGTCTCCAGGATCTTTCATGATGGTGAACAGCTCTGGGAGAGCCTCTGGCCAGAAGGCCCACCTTCTCCTGCCAACCCTGAAGGAGAATGACACCCACTGCATCGACTTCCATTACTACTTCTCCAGCCGTGACAGGTCCAGCCCAGGGGCCTTGAACGTCTACGTGAAGGTGAATGGTGGCCCCCAAGGGAACCCTGTGTGGAATGTGTCCGGGGTCGTCACTGAGGGCTGGGTGAAGGCAGAGCTCGCCATCAGCACTTTCTGGCCACATTTCTATCAGGTATGGCATTTTACCATGGTTTTATTTTTGAAAATTTGTAATAAATCTATACACCTTTGCTCTCCCTACAGGTGCTAGGTCTAGAAAGGACTTCATTTATTCACTCGTGTTTACTGTGCTTCTCCTCCTAGCCAAGCTCTGCAGAGGTGACCTAACACAGCCGCTGTCCCACTTGAATTCATCATTTGTAGGAAAAGACTGATATGTAGATAAAATAACAATGTACCAGGATGCATGTGGCTCCTGAAGATGCTAGAGGAACATAGGCATTGATTCCTTTTTATAAAGTCAGTGCTTATGACATGATGAGGGAGGTACTAGTACTAGCCTATTTTATGGATGAAAAGATTGAGGTTCGGAGAGATGAAATAACTCGTAAAAGATCACCCTCTGGGGAATGGGGTGTTTGCTGGGGAAGGCAATTAGGATGGTTTGTAAGAGGAGATGACATCTAAGATGAATCTTGAAGAATGAATACAAATTTATTTTAAAAGGGAGGGAGGGAAAGGCATTTGAGTTGTCACAGACAGTGTGTACAGTGAGCTGCAGGGGTGGATGATAGACTATGGCAGAGTTTGGAAAGTCTAAGTTGTTTAAGGTACATTGCAAAGAGGACAGACAGGGAGATCAGCCTGCAGGGACAAGCAGATCATGGGGGGCTTTGAATGTCAGGCTAATGGATGGAACTTAGTTTAAAGCAGTGCTGCTCATACTGTCCATGGTGAAGGGACACTTCCTCTCAACTCATTGTGGAGCAATACTCTTATAAACCATGGTAAAAAAAAAAAATCATGGCAATGACAGATTGTTGCAACAGTTCCTAAACCTCTCTCTCTTTCCTTCCTTATCTCCTTGCGAACTGATGCACACAGCGCACAGATTGGCACCAATCCATAAAGCATGCTTAGAGGAACATTTCTCCACATTGTCTTGGCCTGGGGCCATTGAAAGTTTTGTTTTTTTTTTTTTTAACAATGTTATTAAGGTAAAATGTACATATCACAGAATCCACCTATTTTAAGTGTGCAATCCCATGACTTAAGAAAACCTATTGAATTGTGCAACCATCATTATAAAGCAGTCCAGAACATGTTCATCATCCTAGTAAGATACACTGTGCTCATTTGCAGTTAATCTCCACTTGCACTGTTGAAAGGTTTTAGGTTAGAGGGTGAGGCAGTCAGATCTGCATTTTGGAGAAATTTCTCTAGCATCTGAAGCAGAAGATGAACCGGTGGCTGGGGGCTTCTTAGACATTCTCCAAGTTAATATCCATGGTACAGTTCTTCCAGATTTTAGTGTTAGGAATACATGTATCTATTGAGATTGCTTGTTGGGTTTACCTTAATGAGGCAATTCAAGCTTTATTTCCCTTTTGCCTTGGTAACGAGAAATCAGAATTTAATACTCAATTACCCTCAATATTTAGACTGGATTTTTGCCATACATATTTCAATTTTATCCTCAATGGCTTGTGATTTCCTTTTAGAATAATGTTATTTTTCTTCATGATGCATTTCCTGAAACTCCTTTCAGAAATAGGGGAGAGGTAGTGATGATGATGGTAATGGTGGTGATGGTGATACCTACCGTTCATTGGGTGTTTATCATGTTCCAGGCACAGTACAAAATGTTTCACATACATTACCTTGTTTAATCTTCACAACAATCCTTTGAGGCAGGTACTACGTACCCATTTTATAGGTGATGAAACGAAGGCTCAGAAATGGTAAGTGATAACCCAAGCTTGAACGGAGGTAGTGCCTTGTTTTTTACCCGTTTTGTTTGATTTCACTGTCTAAGCTAGTATAATCCAGTATAAATATAATGGGAACCACACATGTCATTTATAAACGTTTAGTAGCCACATTAAAAAGTAAAAGGAAATCAGTGAAATTAATTTTAGTAATACATTTTACTTAAACCAACGTATCCAAAATACTATCACTTGGACATGTAATCAATCTAAACAATTATTAGTGAGATGTTTTCTGTTCTCTCCCTGTCAATCTTTATAATTCAGTCTATATTTTACACTTACAGTAAGTCTCAATTTAAATGTTTTATTTTCATTAGTAATAATGATCTGTATTTGGACTCATAAAATGTATAGCTGAAGAAGTGGATACATATACACAAGTTGTTCCAAACATTCTTAAGTGAATTGGGTATCAGTTTTTAAATTAAAATGTAAGGTAACTGAAGTTAAGTAAAATGAGAAGTTCAGTTTCCTAGTCTCATTAGCCACGCTTCAGTAGCTCGTGGTTGTCAAATTAGTACAGATCATAATTCTTAACCACTTGGCTCCACAATTTCCCCTAGTAGAGTTCTTGAAAGGCTTAGCCACGCCTGGAACTTGTGGATGGGGAGATGAAGCGGGGTAACTCCAAGGCTGGGCTCTCAGAAGGGACCTGGCCTTTATGAGGTGCTGGTTCTGCTCATTCTCATCCTCCATTGCTGGAGAATCCCGCAGCTATCTCTTGTAATGCCTTGGTCTGTGTTGAGGGTTTTCTTAAGGTTTTTATTTTGGGGTTCTTTGTCAGGAGACTTAAAGGAGTAAATAATGAGATATAATGGCAATGACTGTCGAACAGCACAGGTGACTCCCGCAATCCTGGAGATCTGCAAGCAGCCTGGGAGATGGACCTAAGTAGCCTTGTTTGGGACCACGTTTCCTTTGCTTTTCCCCCAGCCTCATCTCCTTGGCCTGCCCATGGGTGACCAAGAGCCAGAGGCAGGAAGTAAGGAAAGTTAGGAAGAGAGCAGAAATAAAAGAGGAAGTGAGAAAGAGAAGAAAAGAGAAAAAGAGAGAGTAAATTCTTGGAAGAACTCATCACACCATCATTCAGCCACTCGCTCCCTATTCTCATCTGCTTGTCAGTCATTTTGCATCCTGCGTGAGCCAGGCCAGTTCAGGCATTGGTAACGCAGAGGTGAGTGGGACAGAGCTGGCCTTGGGGTGGTCAGGGTGGACTGTTGTCATTTGGTGTGAGGTTAAGCCCCTGTTCCCTTCTTTACAACAGCAGGAACCTATGAATGAAAGTGGCTAAAAGCAGAGTCCTTTGTTTTTAACACGTGTCACTAACAACGTGACGTGTTGTATCCTAGATGTTTTGAGACAAATTATATATCTTTGGCCTCTTTACTTCGGTGTCTTTTCCTTTTGTGTAATATGTTTTAGTACAAACCTTTATCTGAAACTGATGGTGTCAGATATGTGTCAGAATTCACAATGTTTGGAATTTAGTAATATATTAGTAATATATTGGCATATCTTCTGTATTTTATAACAACCCTGGTAGGCTCTGAGGCAGTACCCTGTAATCAAATGTAATATTTCTACAGCAAAACTTACACACACTCACAAGAAATGGGATAAATAAAGACTGTAAGTAGTATCAGGCCATTCGGCTGTGTTCAGGTTTTACCACCAAATTACTTTTTATAATACTAAGGTGAAGAACGTTGTTTTCAGAGCTTTTGGGGTTTCAGAATTGCATTAAGCATATAGCCTTATATTCTCTACCTGCACAGTTGCGTGAACAAGGGGATCAGATCTTGCTTGTACATTCTGGGAAGAATACCCAGTGTATGATTTGTAGAGTGTGCTCTGTGGAACATGTGTTCCCCGAGATTCTCTGTAGTGAAGGCTGATGTGGTGGAGGTCACAGCATTTTGAAAAAGCTGTGTGATGTATTCGGTTCTAGGAGACTCACAGTTACCCACGTGGGAGTTCTGAGGAGTCAGAAAGAAATCCATTTATTGGTGTTTAACCTCCTGTCTTGCCTCTAAGTTTGATCTTGGCCCTCTTTTTGTTGGATGACCACCTGACTATAGAGATAGTATTCTGCAGACAGGTGGCCCTACATCTCAGTTTGCTGGGACAACCCTGGTTTACTCCCATTATCCTGGTGAAATTAAGAGCATCCATTTCATAGTGTGCCCCAGTTTCAGTGATAAATTATATAGTCTTCCTATCCATAGACATTTACAGAATGCATACTGGCACATGTGGCTTAGGTTTATCCTCATTTTGTAGATAAGGCAAACATTTTCTGTTAAGGGCAGAAAGAAAACATTTTTGTCTTTACAAGCCATACAATTTCTATTGCAATTACTCAATTCTGCCATTGTACCATGAAAGCAGTCATAGATAATATGTAAATGAATGGACCCAGCTGTGTTCCAACAAAACTTTATGTGCAAAAACAGGTGGTGGGCTGGATTTGGCTTCCAGGCCATAGCTGAACCCTGATGTACATGATAAAGCTGATGATGTCCAGAGTTGCATAGTGAAGTCCAAGAACACGTAACAAATTATTGGCAAAGCTGAGAGCAGATCCCAGATACCCTACTCCCTAGACTGTCACCACTGTATCATTGACTGTAGACATAAAGTATCTCTAAAAGCTCATGGGCACGGTCAGTGAGCCTTTAAGGTTTCAATTAGAAACCCCATATATAGGACCAGACACAAATGGGTACAGGATGGGGCCACAGGTTGAAGTACAATGAACAAGAAAATTGACTGAGTACAGGGACAGTCATACCATTTGCCATGCTTTTGGATGAGGCATGGGGGGAAAGGACATTTCTGGAGTACCCCCTATGTTCACACCCTATGAGAGGCATGAGATCTGTGCAGTAGCTCCCTCTATTAGGTGGCAACATGTCCTATCTTCCAGCGTAGGAAGCACTACTGGTAAATTCAAGTCCCCATGATCCATCCCAGGTCCTCTGGCTCTAAGCTCTGCTTTGCCTTTAGGGAAAATAGCTTGCACTTTCTGAGAATCTTCTTCCTAGTTGTGTAATGTTAGCTGTATCCTGTCATCATTCAGAATCACAGTTCCCTCATCTGTAGAATGGAGAGGATATTAGGTATGATAGGACCTTCTGCAGATGAAATTAGAGAACATATATGTATCATCATGTCAGGTATATTAGTCTGTTCTCATACTGCTATAAAGAACTTCCCAAGACTGGGTAATTTATAAAGAAAAGAGGTTTAATTGACTCACACTTCCACATGGCTGGGGAGGCCTCAGGAAACTTACAATCATGGCAGAAAGGGAAGCAGGCACATCTTACATGGTGGAAGGCAAGAGAGAGCCTGTGAAGGAGGAACTGTCAAACACTTATAAAACCATCAGATCTTGTGATAACTCATTCAGTATCACAAGAACAGTATGGGGAAAACCACCCCCATGATCCAATCACCTCCCACCACGTTCGTCTCTCAACATGTAGGGATTATGGGGATTACAATTCAAGATGTGATTTGGGTGGGGACACAGAGCCAAACCATGCCATCAGGCTTGTAGTGGGCCTCAGTGGAAGGAAGGGAGGAAGGGAGGGAGGGAAAAAGGAAAAGAGGGAAAAAGAGACAAAGGGGAAGGAGGAAGGAAGCCTTTTTAAAAGAAATAGCCAGTGTTGTTAAGCCTGTACTCAGTAACCTCCATGCCCTCCCTTGGATAAGTAGCCTCATCTGGGAGAATTTTCTGATTTGCACCTTATTGGCTACTACAGCCTCATTGCATTTCCTTGGCTGAGAGCAGCAGTTTGGAGAGAGATGTTATACACACACCGTCACTAATGGTTACTCACTTGGCCACAAACACTGCAGAGTGCCCACATAGGGACAAGCACCCACAAGACTCTCAGATTCAAAACATACTTGCACATATACACATAAGTACAGTGGCAAGAAAAGGAGGCCTATCAGAAAATCCAATGACACTAGCAAAATGGGTTTTAAAATTCACCAGACCTGGAGCTCTGGTCCTGTACATATGATTCTATGGGCTAAATACAAATTACTGGGCTTCGGAGCTGATGGTTTATGTATTAATTTATTAAAGTCGTATTTTATAGTTCTAAAATTGACTTTTAGCTCTGTAATAAACACTGAAATTTCCTCTTTCTCATTAGTGAGCTTTCTGGCACCAGACTTTTGGCAAGGCCGGGGGTGAGAACCTGCCTCTGCCAGCCATCTCCCGACATGTGCCTTTTCTTGGGAAAGCAGGGGCTTGTTTGTTTATTTACTTTTAATTGACAAATATTAATTGTGTGTATTTAGAGGGTGTAGTGTGATATTTTGATCTATGCATGTGTTATAGAAAGACTTAGTCAAACTAATGAACATATCCATCACCTCACCAACTTAACTTTTTTTGTATAGTGAGAACATTAAAAAAATCTATTCTTTCAGCAATTTTGAAATGCACAATATATTATTATTAAATGTGGTCACCACTCAGTGCTGAATGACTGTTAAGTCACGTGTACTTCAGATCACAGCTCCTTTCTAGGTGATGTTAATTTGATTTCATATTTTCTAATGATTCTGAATTTTCTGTTTCAAGATTTAAAAAAATAAAAGAACTTCTGTTAATTTTGCAGCCATCTGCTTGCCCTAGTCTCCATCACCTGCCTAGGAAAAATTATCTTTTATTTGGTAGTTATTATCGCTATATAGGCCCCTGAAATTAAGGACTCACCCAGCTTTGGTTCAACTGGACTTTAAACTCAGTCCCTTTCCCTGGAAAACGGTGCTATGTGGCACTCTGTAGATTTAGTAAATTCACTCACAATGAAGTGGAGTTTATCACAATGAGGGGCCCACTCTACCACTCTTGGAATTCTATTCCATCTGCTTCCTTACCCATCCCACTTCTCTCCACTAAGCATCAAATCCTCCTCCTTGTCTTATACAGGTCTCCTTGGGCTGATAGGGTAAAAAAAGTCTCTCTTAATTTTACCCTAAACAATCTCTCCCCATGAAAACATGTATATTTATGTTCTAAGAGGAGTTCTGATGTGCCAACATTTTTCTCTTCTCCTGAAAATGTTTGCAGCCCCTTGAAATTTTTGCCATGCAGATTTTCTGCTCAAGAACTATAAAAGATTAGGTTAAAACACCAGGTCTGTTAAACCATGGCCTGACATATCCACACCCTCCTCCAAGTATGAACAAAAACCATTTTTTGGAAGGATGAGCAAGACTCATCTCAGAGCCTCTTGTGGGGAATTGCTTCCTGGCTTTGCACAAGTAGTCATGCACAGGGAGAGGTTTTCACCTTTCCATGCAAGCCTCATCTCTTCAACACCCGCACCAGGAGGTCTCTAATGAAGCCTATGGGCTGGAGCATGTGCAATAGATGGTAGGTCCACATGGCAGCCTTGGAGCTGAAGAGCATCTACAGAGACGTTGGAATTCTCAGCCTGGGCCCTCTGCTCCACTCCCTGTACTCAGGGTCTCGGCCTCCATTTACTGACTTGGAGTGCCACTGGGTATGCATGGCCTGCCTCCTGAAGACATCCCATCCCTACTCCCCTGCCTCCTGAAGACAGGAGGAAAACACTGCACCAGAGTCACCTCTAGACTTCTCTACTCACTCCCCTGGCTCTCCCATTTCCTGACTTTGATTCCTCAAGGGCCGTGGTTGAATTTTCTTGAGAGTGTGCTTGGGTCAGAGATAACCATTCTCCCTCTCCTCAGAACACCTTGGCAGGTCTTTCCATCTCTGAGGGTCCAGGCATCACCTTGTCCCCTTGTGGTGTCTGTCCCTAAAAACTGGAGCTGGCTATCTATTGGGTGGGGCTTCCTATGGCTAGGAGTCTCACGTCAGAAGCATATTGATGGAGTGATCATCTCCCTCCAAGGTTGTAGGTGTCTTCTGGGGCACCTTTTGATCATACTCAGTGTCATTTTACACAATTACATTCATAGATTATTACCATTTTTACTTCCTCTTTTTGTGAATTACCTGTTGAAGTCATTTGCCACTTTTTAATTTGAATGATTTGGGTTTTTTTTTTTGTTGATTCTCAAGAGTCCTTTACACATAAAAAAGGATATTTTCATATTAGCTGACATAGGTATTACAAATATTATTCTCAACCTGTCATTTGACTTTTAATTTTGTTTTAGATTTTTGCTAACATACAAAGCACACTTGACACCATAGTTATTAAGAAAGCATTGTGTAACTTTAAATAAATTGGTTTTTAAGACATTGTCACTAATTTCTAGTTGTAGTGAATTTGGTTAGAAAATGTATAGGCCCAAAGCTAAACAATTTCTTCTTCGAGGGATTTATTGAAGTTATATTGTAGCCTAGTATATGATTTTTTTGCAACTGAGCCATAAGCCTTTGAATGGAAGTTTCATTCTGTCTTTACATTTATTAACATGTATCTAGGAAATACATTATTATTTACATTATATATACTTGCTTTTTCCTATACGATTAGTAGTCAAAGTCTAAGACATAGATTAAAGTCTTCAACCCATGTCTTTTTCATCATTTTCTTCACTTAAGTCCCTTGACTCATGTGTTTTTTCTAAATGACCATTTTAGTCCACCTAATTTTTTCATTGTTCTTTTCAGTTAAAATTCTACTTCAAGGTTTTCACACTATTTTTGCAACAACTGCTTTCTGTTTATTTGCATTTCTTTATTATGTCTTTCTTCAACTTGTTCTTTTTAATGTTGTGCAGTCATTCTGTTTTAGGTGTTTATCTTATAGCATACAATTCAGAGATGTATGACATGGGAAGATTTGAGAAATGCTAATAAGGTAGAATAAAAAGGAAAATGAAGATGAGGGCTGAGGCAGAAGTTGAGGCCCAATAGACACCCTGGTCTCCAGCTTGGGTGACTGAATGGGTCATAGTGCCACTTAACCATATTCCGTATTTCAGAAAGAATAGACTATTGGTCAATGAGGGAAAAGGTTTGAGGAGGAATCTGTGCAGATCTGTTGGATTCACGTCATTGATGTGGTACCTAGGTAGAAATACAGATCTGTGACCTGGACACCTAAGACGGATGTGTGGGTGAAAGGTCTAGGGTGCAGAGCTGGGCTTTGGAGTTATCAGTGCATTGGCAGCTGTTGAAGGGAGAGTGTATGCAGTGAAAAGATGACTAACAGGGGCCCACGTTAGAAGGGAAGATGGAGAAGGAGGAATGCCTACAGACCTCCCAGGCATTGAACAGTGCCAGATTTATGAGAAAAATAACAAGAATAAAGTGTTATCTGAGCCTAAATAGAAAAAAGACCCAGAAATGGAGAGTCTATGAACACTGACAGTTGTAGAAGAATGGTCAAGTTGTGATAATAATTCTAGTAAATATTTCTTGAGAATGTACCATGTGCCATACATTGTTCTAAGTGGGGTCTTAACTCCCTTAATCTAAAAAATCACTCAATGAGGTAGACACTATAATTAAAGATGCAGAAAATGAGGCACAGAGCAGTAACATAACTTTTCCAGGACTACTAACTAGCAAGTGGCACAGCCAGGACTTGAACCTAGGCACTTGGAACAAGAGTTTAAGCACTGTACTATCTTCCTTCTTAAAGTAAGATAAAGATTGAAAATATCTACTTGATTAAGCAATTAGAAGATTATTAGTATCTTCCGTGTAAGCAGTTTTAGGGGAAGTTCCAGATCATATTAGGTTAAAGTTTTGCAGTGGAAAGTCAGGAAGTGTTGGGAGTCAATGAAGATAAAACTGCTGAGAATTTTAAGTGTTACTGAAACACAACTGGATGGTATTAGAGAAAACCTGCTGCTGAAGGGTAGTTTTTAAAGAATAGGAGAAGCTGTTGACATGTCAAAATTAGGGATAAAAGGGAGGGTTTGGAGATATAGGGTAGACAGAGAAAACCAAAAAGAATCCAAAAGATGGAAAATATAGCAAGAGTCCGGGTCAAGAGCGCTGATGTTCCTTGCAAAGAAGAGGCAGGGGATGGTGTGGATGGATATCAAGTCAGTGGGTAAAAAGTTAGAAGTCAGCCCCTCTTTCCCTCTTGCCTCTTGAAGATGTGGGTGTCTGCTGGGATTACATGGGTGCATGTTGAAAGGGCGGCAGTTGTGTAAGGTACAGGATTGGAGAAGGCAAATGTGTTATAGGCTGGGCAAAGTTGAAATAAAGGTGCAAAGGAATGGGGGCTTTAGGAGAGACTCGTATGGAGTCTGAGGAGCTCACATGGTAGCCTGGACCTTCTGCATTAATAATCCAAGGATTAGATAAGAAAAGCAGAGGTCCAGGCTACCACGTGAGCCTGAGGAGCAGGTCAAGAGGAGTCAACTGGGATGAGACTGTCGGTAGAGACTGTGCCGGAGTATGGGAAAATGGAATTTCCAATTTCCAGAAGGTGAAAAATGAGGTGAAAGTGGGGCTAAAGTGGATTGAAGAAGGCCATTGGAACCAGAGAGTTCAAGGATGTTGGCCATGCTATCCACACAGACATTCATATCTCCTTGGTGAAGATAGAGGTTGAGTGATGAGGGAAGCTAAATGCATTACAAAATTTTTATGGAAATAGCAGTTTAGGTGGAAGTCAGTTGCCTTCTACTCCTGGATACCAACAGGTAGATTGCCACTTATTTTTAAGAGTGTTATTATAGATTCAAATGTAATATGTTCCTTGGCAATGTAGAATCAACTCATGGTAAACCCTCCTTGGCTTATGGTAGCTTCCAAGGTAGGCATCTATCTTATCCTTCATAAGAAAGTTGGAATATTAGAAAGTAGTTCTCTGTAGAAGAATGGTCAAGTTGTGGCTTGACCCTTGAAGCTGCAATGAGAAAGATGCAGACTGGGGTTTCCGAGACCTCGGTGTTTGGGTTGTTTTTCCTGCATCTAAGTGTTATTTCTGAAATTTGTTAAAAATATTCTTCTTTTGCTAGCCACCAAAGTGTGGCCTTTTTACCTTGTGTTGAAAATCCCAGTCAATTGCCAGGGTAGCGTGCTGTCTTAACAGAAGGTTTCTTGGGTTGCTTCTGATGGGAAGTTGAAACATAAAGGGCTGGGGGCCGGGCAGCTTCTTGTGATGAATGCCTGCAACTGTTTCTGTGAAATTGACTCCCGCCCTGTGTGTTGCAGGTGATATTTGAATCCGTCTCATTGAAGGGTCATCCTGGCTACATCGCCGTGGACGAGGTCCGGGTCCTTGCTCATCCATGCAGTAAGTCTTTCCCTTCCTCCCAACACAGCCTTGATCCATGCCAGACTGGGTAGCATAGAGCCTGCAATCCCTTCCATTCATTCAGCTTACAAACATCTCTCACTCTCTCTTTCTCTTTGAATCCTTCAGAAATGCTTACATACTCAATGCAATCAGTCCTGAATAAATCCATAATTTTGCCGGCCTGTTCAACAGGCAGCACCTCCAGGAATTTGCAGAGAGTGGCAAAACATCTTTGTTTGAATCTCTCTCCATTATTAAGGGAGTCTAAAGTCCTGATTGTTTATTAGTGGGATTCAGACCACTGAAGTGGTAGAATTAGAGGGCTTTGGATAGAATCTTGTGCAATTGTCTTAAAAAAAAAAAAACACACCACCACCAAAACACTGAGCAAATTAGCACACTGTTCCCTCACAGGGAAAAGTACCCTGAAGTTATTAATTCTTTTAAAATAATTTTAAATATACTCATCAGCTCCATGTAGGCATAGAGATTTCTCATAGTGGTTAGTACTTATGGTACAGCGTCAAGAGTCCTCAAAGGCGTGGCACTCCTCCATACCCATCTACTTCTTTGCCATATTTAGTCTCAGATATTGGAATGTGTTTCAGCAGGGAGATGTGGTTTCTGGATTTACTAAATCTCAGAGGCCATAAGTCCTGGGTACAGGTAGTTGAGATGACATCATACCCAGTGACATTTGGTTGGGGGGACTGAAATCAAACTGATTTGCATGGAGATTATGGCAGACCCTGGGAGGGATACCTGGAATGCCAGCCCCATGAGTTTGTTAGTGTTCTGCAGATTGGAGATTCCCAGTAGTTTCTTGGCAGCCATCCAGTTCTAGGTAACCCCCTGTGGGCTCTCTCCACTCCTCCCATATGGGCATGAGTCATGCTTTGGGCTATGGTGCAGTTTGCTGCTGCCTCAAGAGACATCATGGGTCCTCCTCTCCTTATGTGCTTCTCAATCCTCGCATTTAGGGACTATTCTCATTTCAGCCTCATCCATGTTGCTTTAATTGAAATAACTCTTTCCACTTCTGCTGCAATGAATTTGTCAGACCCTCAAATGTAACTTCCCTCCCTCTGCCTGGCACTAGAATGCCGTTGTCTGACTCATTGTCTTAGAGCCCCTTCTCTGGAGGAATTTGGAACACATTACAAGTTCCGAACATTATTTTGAGAAATTGTGTTTGGATCCTGTGCAGGAGAGACCCTCTTTCCCAAGAAGCAACTGGTATCTTGGGAATGCTGAGATGCTACTGGGCTCTTCTTTGCACTGGCTGAAAGTCCCTACCCTCTGGGTTACTTCCTGAGGCTTTTAGAATTTCTCAGATGGGTCTGTCATTCAGTCATGCCTGGGGAAATGTTTCTATTGACCCAGACTTCATGTGAAGAGGATCCCAGAAATCCCCCCAGCTATGCAGGGTTTATGTAGTAGATATGCATATGAATCTCCTTCACTAGGGTGAAATATTCCCCACCCTGGACTCGTGGGAGTCACCATCAGCTGCTCATTTGAGAATGAGCCTAAGACTGGGCAACTGTGTTGGGAGATGTCTGTGCTACCTGTGGTCCATTTAATTGCATGCGCTCAATCTTGCACTACCTCCAGTTTCGAGGTAGTCTCTCTGAAACATGCCTTCTGTCTTCCTCATTCCCTGCCTACATCCCATCCACTCAGAGCGTGCTTGCCTCTGCCACATCTACCTGTGTTCCTGCTTCTTACTTTGTGCTGGATGCTTGGACTTTAGCTTTCTAGTAGGTGACAGCTGGCTTTTCCCAAGGGAAAATAGCATGAGTCTCTCTACCTGGATCCCAGAACTTTGTGCTCTAATGGGAATTTTCATCTCCGTCCTGATGCCCAACCTTGACACCTGTCTCTTACCCTAGCCGTAACTACCTTCAAGGCCAGAGTGGTAAAAGCTCTGCCTTACCTCCAAGCACTGACCATGGTTTGCTGTCACAAGCAAATGCATCCTTTTTCTTTGATAAATCTCCATGGGAGAGGGCTCTTTGGAGGGCACTGGAATGACTTTCCACCCCCCAAAGTCTCATGAATCCTTTTGAAATTCTCGTTTCACTGGGGTTGCTCCTGAAGTCAGGATTCTCCTGACAACCTCATCCTCCTCCTGCAGAGGGGTGTGGGTGGCATGGTCATGAAATTGCTGAAAGCCAGTTACCCAGCAAATGGACCATGGGATATAACTCAGGAAGGCGTGATCCTGGCTTTATGTCTGCATAATGTGCTCCTGTTGGGTTCAACCTCAGTGTTGAGGCAGCTTAAGCATAAACTTCCCAGAAAGCATGATGTGAAGACCCCATAGGAGTGGCTGGAATTGGAAAAAATTTCACTTAACTATATGGACAAATACTGGCAATGTATATAATGCCTGAGGTATATCCACAGCTCACGAATCATGTGGAGTTGAGTAGGGCCTAGCAAAGTCCCTTTCCTAAGGACCAGTGCTCAGTCCATACCTAGCCCAGGTTTTTATTCTTTCTTTCAGCAAGTAAATTATTGTACATCAGCTATGTGTTAAGAACTTTCCTAGGCACAGTGATACTTAAGTGACTAAGAAAGGTTCGGTCCTTGTACTCATGGTGTTTGATTAGCAGAAGAGCCAGTGGAAAGAAAGGCACTAAATCAGTAACTAATATTAAGTAACCAGAAATTTCAGATAGTGAAAATAATAGTGGATATAGTAAGTGTCGGTGTCTGGGATACGGGAGGGCTGCTTGGATATAGTGGTCAGAGGAGATATCTTTGAAAATGTGACCTGGGCTGGGACTCAAATCACAGGAGGGAGTTCACAGTCTAGTGATTTGGTGGAGGGGTGCTTCAGACAGAGGAGATAGTGGTTGCAGAGGCCCTGCACACGGAGTTGGCTTGATGCTGCCAGCATGTCCTGAGCATACAGGGCACAGGAGAAGGTGGTCAGGGCAAATGTTGGGCAGGAAAGCCTGGACTTTGGGCAGCATCGTGAGTAGTTTAAATGTTTGTCTAAGGGCAGGGAGGCTCTGCTGCAGGGAGTGCTGCTGGAGAAGGGTCACTTGGGCTGCTCTGTGTTGGAGGACCATAGAGAAGATGTCGGGAGACCTAGGAGGAAGAAAGTTCTGGAGCCATGCAAGAGGTGGTGGTGGCCCGCACCAGGGTGACTGAGAGACATCCATTCATCATCCAACAAGTATTTACTGAGCGTGAGCTCCATGTCAGGCACCATTCTGGGTTTGTGGGAGTGAGAAAGACAGATTGACTGTCTGTCTTCATGGACTTCTATTGAAGTGAAGGAGGCTGAAGCAAAACAAATAAAGTAATTATATGATTATATTATTATAATCTATATATTATATAATTGTACAAGCATTATATAGAAGTATATATTATATAAATGTGAGTTATAGTATATAAATAATTATATAATCATATAATTTACATTTATATATCATATATACATTTATAATTATATAAGCATATCATATATAATTATATGATATGCTTATATAATTATATGATATGATTATATAATTATATGCACAGACAGTGCGTTAGTTTGCTAAAGCTGCTATAACAAAACCCCTCAGACTGGATGGCTTAAGCAACTTAAATGTATTTTATTTTCTCACAGTTCTGGAGGCTGGCAGTTCAAGGTCAAGGTGTTGGCCACCGTAGTTTCTCCTGAGGCTCTTTCTTTGCTTGCAGGTGGCTGCCTTCTTGCTGAGGCTTCACATGGTCATTCCTCTGTACTTACAATCCTTTGGTGTCTCCCGGTGCATTCAAATGTCCTCCTCTGTTGAGAATACTGGTCAGATTGGATTGGATTAGGGCTTTCCCTAAAGGCCTCATTTTAATTTAATCATGTCTTTAAAGGCCCTGCTGCTAAAAATAGGAACATTTGAGATACTGGGGGTTGGGGTCATATATCAAAAGATAAATCTGGGGGAGACACAGTTCAGACCATGACAAATTATGAGCAGGACAATGAAGAAACTTAGAGCATAGAGGTGGATAGAGGTGCAGAGATTAGCGATCCATTTAGGAGGCAGAGCCAACTGGTCTCATTTGATAAATTGGATTAAGAGTCAGGCATCGGAGATAGTGCACTCACAGATTTGTAGCTTAAGCAAGGTGGTGAGAGCCTGGGAAGAACTGAGCAGGCTGCCTGGTGAGGGGCCCTGTGGGCCCCAGGGACTGCTTACAGGGATTACCTGTCATGCAAGTGGATAGTAGCTTCTGAACTCTCCTTTAGACTAAAGGTGCTTTTCCCCAGCCTCCAGTCTTAGAATTTATGACTTCACTCATAGATGGTTAAAAATTGAACTATATTGAAATATATGCGTTCAATTCAAAAAAGCCTGTGGACATAAAGTCTTTTTAATTATCCCTTTCTGTCCTCTAAAACATATTTTCTATTAACATATGGTCAGAGTTTATCAATAAGTGATTCCACTAAGTATTCCAAAAGTTCCAGGGAGCGAGTGACTGATTTGCAATTGTATCTTCAATTGATTGGCACTGAAATTAGAACTGTAGATAATTGCCTCCAAGCTCCCAAAACAGTAACCAAAAGACAGGCATAATACTCAAAGAAATTATTTTCTCTTACAAACGGAAGCCTCTCATCTATATTTTATAGCCCATTTAACATTTTTGTGTTATTCTAAAAGTATTCTATCCTTAGTTACCCTCTGTTGCTGTTTCTCAGTGTTAGCCATTAGCAGGGCCAAGGCAGTTATAACTGTGTAAGATAAATGTCAGTATGATTTTTCCACTCCGTTTCAAAGTTTCTAGCTTCTAAGTTGACTTTTCTTTCTCCCTCACAATCTTGTGGGGCCGTGTCCCCGAGCCCACAGAGCATCTGCAACATGTTTCTAATGTGCGTACTGGGCTTTCTCCACAATTGTGTGGCTTCCTACTGAGCACTGTCAGGTTTAAAGAGCAAGATAAAGGGCACAATAATATGTCTTCAGATGCTGCACTGACATCTGTAGGCGTCTAAATGTCACTAACGTCAAGGCATTTTTGCCCCAAATGCACAGCCAGTCTTCTGTTAAGCCCATTCAGTGGCATCCCATCTGGGGGGAATTGGGTCTCAGTGTGGAGTGAGTAGGAAATGCTTAGAACCACGAGCCGATGGCTGACCTGGGTACCAAGGTCAACCATGTTTGGCTGAAGATGAGTGATTTGAAGCTCGTGGAATATAAGTTCTCTCCCAGAGCAGCAGATGCTGGGGGAAGGTGACAGTTGAGAGAGCTTGCGGCTGATGAGCAGGCCGTTTGGGGGCATGGAAAAAGGAGGGTCAGAGAGGCCAGGAACGCAGGGAAGAGGACCATACAGGCCCCCCACATAAGCACAATCACCAGAGAGCACTGCCTGTCATGAGCCAAGGATGACCCAGAGCCCCAAGGAGCAGAGACAAGGGTCTTGAGCAAGAAGAGGGTAGCCTAGATCAGCTCCTGTGCTGGGAACTGTACTCGGGGTTGGCCTTCATGTGATGCCCACCGCGTACCGCATGGAGTGGTGGGGGCATCCCTGAATGTATGGGGCTGGATCGGGTGAGACTGGCTAGTGGAAATTGTTGCAGAGGACTTTCATAAGAGCTACATATCAGGGACCGCAGATTGATAGAGCCTGCATGTACACATGTTTTGTTAAGCCTGTACTGTGTTTTAATAACATGTTGAGTTTAGAGTGAGAGATTTCATATAAAGTCTGGATTTCTTACTGGCCTGGAGAAATCAGACGTTTGACACCCCTATACAAAGCATGCATGCCTGGCCTTCCTCTGCTGAATTTAAGTAGGAGCTGCCCCCTTTCAGTGTCCCCTTTCAGAGTCTCTCTCCAGTTCCCTCCAGTCCTCACCACTCCTTATTGTCTCCTCAGTGCTGAGGCTACTGGTGGATACCAGTTATTGTGCTTACAACATTGCTTTTCTTATATAAAGAAATCTTTATTTTTCTCAAGTCTCTATCAAAAGTGGGAAAGTAAAAGATGGGGCAAGGAGGTGGTATTTTTGTTTTGTTTTACAGCTGAACGACTTTATTAATTTACATAACTGGCTCTTGTAGGTGCATGCGTTCATTATCTCTGCTGTAAATTGCCAGTATTTCCCCAGAATATTCACACTAGGAGCCATTAAACATCTAAACTCTCTACCACTGAACCTAGAAGGAAGGGAAGAAGAGGAATTGAAGATGAAAGAATCAAGGCAAAAGGTCTGTTGCTGAGAAGGAAGAAGTGGAGAGGAGTCAGAGGCATGCTGGGGACATTGATCCAGAAAAGATTCATTGCTAATTGTGCATATCCCAGAGGTTAAACCATTTTCTCGAAGGGTAAGGGAAGAGCATTTCTTTGTAAAACTAAACACAGAGTTTCCCAGCATTGGAGCTAAGACTCTGCACTCCCTCCCCACCTGGGGTGGATGTGTTCACTCCCCCTTTAAGCCTGTGGCATGAACAGGCTTCCAAGGTTCACTCTATTCCCATTTTAAGAATTGATTTGAACTGATAGTTCCAAAAATAACTTCATAAAATTATACAGGAGAGCCAAAAGGAAACAATTTCAGACAATCAGAGCAGCATGGCATTTGTCAAGTTGACTAGATGCAGGAATTTTCAACTCTGAAAAGCCCATAGAGGTGGTTTTCCCCGGGCCTTGGGTCCTTGACACCACACCAGCCATGGTGGCTCAAAGGTAGCCTGAGGGGTCTCTGAGCTGCTGTCATTAGTTTAAAAACCTGAGTAAAAGTACATTGGGGAAATGGGGATACTGCCCACTTCCTGGATTTTTTGGGGGTTTCAGTGAGATATGACGTGTAAAGTCCTACAAACAGTGTCAGACTCATCATAAGCGATCAATGAACTCTTCACTGTGCCAGGCCACTTCTCAAGCACCAATTCCACGCTGCCCAGTGCTCTCCCAACAAGTCTGCCTAATTGTTCCAAGATTCTTGGCTTTTGCTGAGCTTTATAGGTGCTGACACAGATTGGTAGACAAAATAGTTCAAATCAAGGAAAAATAGCATGGAAAGGGGTCACTTTTAATAAAATATTTGGGAGCATGGACAGAAACCTGAACCATCAGCACAGCCCTGACTGGGAGCCCCTTCTGCAGACCCTGGAGTCTATCTGGAGACACCATCCTCATTCCCAGTGCCCAGGAGGCAAGGGAGCATAGCTGCTTGTTACATGCTGAGTTTGGGGCTAAAGTGGACCTGGATTGAATTTTGTTTCTGTCTTTCACTAGCGCTGTGTAGCTTTCAGCACATTAAACTTGCTGAGCCTTGATTTCTGCCTAACAGGGAAATCATAATAGTGTCTGCTTTATAGGAATGTCATGAAGTTAAATTAGATAGAGCATGCAAAGCATTTATCATAGTACCTGGCATTGTAGGAGCTCTCAGTAAATGACATTATTGTTACTATTTGTCTCTCTGTGTATTTGACTCCTTGTAGAAAGATGGCCAAAGCCTCCTGTTAAACCTCCTTGATCCTCTCCTAACCCTCCATTTGTTTCCATTCTGGGGGTGATCCCAGTTCATCACTGATTTGATTGATGGCATAGAGATCCTTCATTGTGCCTCAATGAAGAAACCAATTCTTCTAGATACAATTTATCAGCCAATGGAGAGCTGTTACTGTTGTTATTATTTGTAGAGTGCAGGTAGGTGAGGACCCTTCTCCACAAAAAAGGAAAGAGATGAAACCAGGTTACCCAATATAAAACATAGACTTAATCCGAAGATTGTCTGCTCATACACACCCTGATTTTCATTTGAAAGACCCTTTCCCTGTTATGTCCAGTCCCTAGAATCAACGCTCCCCCTCATGCTCAGAAAGCACCATCACAGAGTAAGACTCTGGGGTCTTGTGATATTGGGCACGTTTCTAGAGTTCTCTGTGCCTCAGTTCATTCACTGTGTAATAGAGAAAATAACACTACTGACTGCATTGGGTTAAGTGAGTTACTGCAGAGAGACACTGCATGTGGTACTTATCAAATGGCAAGCGCTAAGAATGACAGCTACTAGTGCTTTCCTTCCCTTTTCCTCCCTCTTCCGCTCTTTGTCTTCCTCATCATCTTCCTCATCAACATCGTCACCCAGGCCAAGTGTGCAGGTATCAGGCCCAAAGGTGCTTCACTTCAGCTTTCTTATTTTGCTTCTTCAGGCTACAGGGAAGCATCACCTATGGTGAATACACCCCTCCTGCCCCCCAATTTTTCTTTTAACTTTCAGTGTCGTAGTTTCACCTTTTGTGCAATGCCAACCCCAGAAGCAATGATCAGTTTGGGTGTATTCTAGGCATGTTTGTGCCAATTTCACAGAGCACAGATCTAAATTCACGTCCTGGTTCCCTCCCCCTCTGGATATGTGTCTGTGCCAAATGATGACGTAAACCCTCAGAGCCTTAATTTTCTGATCTGTGAAATGGGGATACTGCCCACTTCATGGATTTCTGTGAGGTTTCAGTGAGATTCTGCGTGTAAAGTTCGAACAGTGCCAGACTTATAATAAGTGATCAATGAAATCTTGACTGAGCCGGGCTACTTCTTAAGTGCCAGTTCCACCCTGCCCAGTGCCCATCCTGAGCTGCCATCCACCAATAGGGAAGTGGTGCAGGCTGTCGAATCTCATTCTCTTGTGTTCTTTGGTTTCTCTCTTAGGAAAAGCACCTCATTTTCTGCGACTCCAAAACGTGGAGGTGAATGTGGGGCAGAATGCCACATTTCAGTGCATTGCTGGTGGGAAGTGGTCTCAGCATGACAAGCTTTGGCTCCAGGTAAGCATGAGAGAAGCCTCTGCTCAGACTCGTTAGGATGAGAAAGGGAAAAGAAGGACTGGAAGGAAGCAGCTCTATGGCAACACAAGTGTATTGAACAAAGACATGCAGAGGGGGACAACAGCTAGCACCGGAGCCCACCCTTGCTTACAAACTGGGGTAATTATAGGTCCAGGCGGGAGAGGTCTGGGCTTGTGAGATGGGGTGGGTGGTGTGGTCAGTCGCTGGTAAGTGAGGAGTTTCCTGGGGTCAGATGGTTAGGCCTGGGACTTGTCTGGCGGGATGTGTCTCATGGCCCAAACCCCTGCGGAATTTTCTGCTCTAACCAGCATTTGCAAAATGGTGTGAGTTTACGAAATGGGGCAGCTTGGGCTAACGATGCTGTCTTATCCCTTGATAAGGGAAGAAAGTGTGTGCTATGATGAATGGTTTGGTGTGTACAGGGAAGGGAGATTTTTAAAGTACTTCTGTTCCTCTGATGGTGCCCTGCATCTATGATCTTGTTAAATCTTAACTACGATTCTGCTAGTCAGGCATTGGTATAACCATTTTATACATGCAGAAACCCAGACCAAAACCTAAAAGTTCCAGAACTAGAATTTGTAACTATGACCTTTTCCAACTACCCTCTAACAAACTTTGTCTTTTAATTGCAGATTACTAGGGCTGAGGCAAATGGAATAGCTTAGGTTCTTGGTACGTGGTTGTCATGTAATCTTAACTGGAAGGTTCTTGGATATCCAGTGATTCACTGGTACTTCTGGGTAAAATTAGAGAGTCGCTTTTTATGGGAATTTTTCACTAAAATGAGCAATCTGTCTATTCTTTGGTTAAATAAGTCCGTTAGTAAAGTCCATCAGGGAAGTGTTTGAAGCTTGAATTTGCCTTCCTGTTATTTCTGCTTGTTCATCCCACTTTCCAAGAAAGATGAGAAAGGATCTCTTTGAGTGGGGGTTAGGACAGAGGGCGACACATAGAACTAAAACGTAACTTGTTATAACATTAGCATACTTCCATTAATACTAGCACAAATAGCAAGTTTTTGGGGCAGCACAGAAGTTGGAGCCATGCTGTTCAGTGCAGGAACCACTAACTACATGTGGCTGTGGTGATTTGACATGAAAATAATTATTTCTATAGAAAAATTAGCTGGGCGTGGTGGCGAGTGCCTGTAATCCCAGCTACTTGGGAGGCTGAGGCAGGAGAATCACTTGAACCCAGGAGGCGGAGGTTGCAGTGAACTGAGATCGCACCACTGCCCTCCAGCCTGGGCAACCAGATTGAAACTCCTTCTCAAAAAATTATTTCTAACTAGCTTTATTGAGGTATAATTGAGATGTGATGTTTAAAGTATATAATTTGATAAGTTTTGTATGTTTACATGTGAAACTATTACCACAATCAAGATATTGAATATTTGCATGGCGTCCAAAGTTCCGTCCCCATGTGTAATCACTTCCTTCTGACTTCCCCACTCCCGTTTGTCACAAGCAACCGCCAATCTGCTTTCTGACAGTATGTATTAGCTTATATGTTCTAGAATTTTATATAAATGGAAGCATGCGGTATGTACCCTTCTTTCCTACAGAATTATTCTAAGGATTACTTATGTTGTTGTGTGTAACAGTATTTCTTACTTTTGCTAAGAAATATTTCATAGAATGGATATACTACTATTTGTTTATCCATCTACCTGTTGATGGATACCTGTTGGGTTGTTGGCAGTTTCTGGCTATTACAAAGAAGTTGCTGGGAGCCTGCATGTGTGAGTCTTCGTAGAGACGTATTCTTTCATTTCTCTTGGGTATGAAAGTGAATTAGAAGTGGAATGGCAGGGTCATCTGGTAGATATATGTTTAACTTTAAAGAACAACGAGCTGTTTGAAAAAATGGTTGTACCATTTTACATTCCTACCAGCAGTCTATGAAAGTTCTAGTTGCTCCATATCCTCACCAGCACTCAGTATGGTCAGTCTTTTTAATTTTAGCATTTCAATAGGTGTGTAATGGGAGCACGTTATAGTTTTAATTTACATTTCTTAGAGGACTGATGATACTGAACATATTTTCATGTGTTCCTTTGCCTAGCTGTCTCTCCACACACTTTCTTGGAAGTTCATGTTGTCACTTCTTTTCTTGAATTTAAGCCATTTCCTGTGGTTAGAAAAATCCTTGGGCATAAAGAGCCCATCTAGGGACCAACAGTTCTTCCTTGCCACTTAGCAGCAAGCAGAGTGCAAATAGCAGCACAGCAGCGTGAAATACCTGTTCTTTCTGCTTCCCAGGGTTGCTTACAGACCACAGGAGAGCATAAGAAACCTCCACGTCACCTCAGTATTCGGTAGAGTTATTTACTCTTTTCATTACGATTAGTGTTCAAGTGTATTAGGCTGCCAAGAAGCTGTGTGATTTCAATGGCATTGCCTCAGCTGGGTCATGAGAATGAGGCAGGACCATCACAATATTTTCAGCAACTTTGTTTGGGTTTTCCAATTATTTTATGATCGTTATTGTGGCAGTTCTTAGTTGCATGCCCTGAACCTTGGGTTTGTCAGTGGGAGGATGTTAAAGAGATCATAACTGAATATTTGAAGAAAACAGATGGAAACACATGACATGGAGCTCTTCCACATCTTATCTCCTTTTCAATGTAAACCAAATCTTATTTCACAAAACGTCTTCCAGGTGGCTTTCAATGGGACATAAAACATGACAAGATATCATAAATTAAAAGTGGGACAACACCAGATAGAAGGAGAAAATACACAGAGCTGGTAATAATGCGAAAACCGCATTTCTGCACACGTTACTAACTGGTGGGTCACACACAGAGCCCGCAGCTTTGTAGCCACTAGTGGAATAAAGGAAACTTGTCAGATACACAGTTCACAATGTCTGTGAGATAAACAAAAACCAATTGCTCAGGAAAATTCTACCTGTTGTTCACACAGAAGCCAGACAGGAATTGTTCCCAGGAGTCCCTGTGAAGAAAACACTGTATGATGCAATGAACAATGTTCCCCACCACAGTCTTACTGAGGGCACACAAGTGAGTTTCACAGGCCTGTTTCACATCATGATGGCTGTGAGAAAGCAGTCTGGGGAGGAGAAGGGGGAGAGAGGGGTGAAGTGGGCAAGAGGCTATGGCAGAGTCCCCTGCTCTCTGCCAATCTGTCTCCATCCTGGGGCACTTGAAACGTATCTGGTAAGTGAATAGATTCAGTAACTATTTTTTCAAGGAAACTTCCCTAAATATTGTCTGTCTCATCTGCATTTCAGAAAATATTGGGAGGTACACAGTTTATATCGTGCCATCTGACAAATGCCTGTGTGGCTAGTTAAATCCAGGCTTATGTGCAATCAGGTAATTGGAAGTAGGCTGTATTAGTCAGGGTTCTCCAGAGAAGCAGTGTGTGTGTGTGTGTGTGTGTGTGTGTGTGTGTGTGTGTGTGTGTGTATAATTTTATATATTTTCATATATAATATATAGTATGTTATAATATATATCATGTAACATAATTATATGTAATTATATGTTATCCTAAGTTATGTATAATTATATGTTATACATATAACAAATTATGTTATTATATGTTATATAACATATATAATATATAAAAATATATAATTATATGTAATATATTTATGTTTAAAATATATGTATATATAAATATATAATCTTTATATAGCACTCATTAAAGAAAATATATATTTTATAAAATATATATTATAAAAATTTATTAAATATATTAAGGAAAATATTTATATGTAAGTATATATTAATATATATTTGTGTATATATAGTTTTTTTAATAAGTGTTTCCTTATAGATGTAAACACTTCCATCCATAGTAAGTCTTTTCCTTCCATATATAATATGTCCTTCCTATATGGAAGGAAAGGACTTAGTACAGGAATTGGCTCATGTGACTGTGGAAACTGAGAAGTCTCATGATCTGCCATCTGCGAGCTGGAGATCCAGGAATGGCAGTGGTGTAATTCTAGTCCAAGTTCAGGAGAAGACCACTGTTCCAACTCAAGCAGTCAGGGAGGAGGCAAAGGGGCAAACTCTTCTTCCCCTGCTTTTCTGTTCTATTCTTCCAAAGATTGGATGGTGCCCATTCACGCTGGGGAGGGCCATGCACTTTACTGAGTCCACTGATTCAAATGCTCATCTCATCCAGACACCCTCACAGACACACCCAGACATACTGTTTAATTTGGGTACTCTGTTACAGTCAAGTTGACTCATAAAATTAACCATCACATAGGTTAACATCTTTCTACAAAAAGAAGGCACCTATCAACACACCTGCCACCCCAGAGAGGATCGCAGCCACCATCCAAGACAGGCCAAGGCAGTGGCCAGTTTCTCCTGAGATGTTTCTTCAGATGTGTCCAAGCAGTAGAGGAGTGGCTGGCACTCTCGCTGTTGTTCTGCCTCATATAATAAGGTTGGGGTGACTTAGCCTGAGAATTTCCAAAGCAAATGAAACAGGCCCATCATGGCCAAAAGAGTCTCTATAAGACAGCTACAGCAGGTCTACTGTGTAGCAGTGCTACTTCCTGCTGTAGCTTCTGAGATATGCTGAGGAATTTCACTAAGTCACTGAAAGTGGTAACTTCTCAACTCGGCCAGTTGTAATTCAGGGAAATAAAGATGTTGTTTCCAGCATAGCAGGTATGTCGGTGGCCCTTCTTTCTGGCAGTGGTTAGAAAGGAGCCAGTGGATTCATAGTTTGAGATAAATCCCTGTTGCCTGTGTGGTGAAATGCTGGCCCTCTTTTCTGTAGAGTGGGACTTTATAGCTTGCTTTTCCTTAAGTGGTTTTGGATCATAAATTAATAAGTTAAAAGGAGGACCAGCCAATGCCCCTGTTTTGCACCCCTCTGGAAACTTTATATGTCTTTAGAAGATCCCATCTGCCGGTGCTGGCTTTTGTGGAATTACAGTACAAGTTCTACATGAGAGTCAATGGACAGGACCGATGCAGAAATGCAAACACATGAGCCTAGAACAATTGTAGTGAATCAGGGAAAAGGATGATAGAAGGCTAGTAAAAAATTATAAGCAGGTTCTTCTTGTCCTGGGATCATTTCTCCTTGAGGTGAAGTGTATGATGCCGTGGTCTGTGGTGGAAGGGGCTCAGTCATAACTTGCTTATTCCTTATGTGATACTTTGGCCTGAGGAATCCAGACATGTAACTTTGCAAGCAATTTTTCAAGCAAGGAGATGGTGTGCATTCCAAGGGGAATAGCCACTAAACAAAGTGGTCTACAGTTTTGTGGAGTCCATTTAAAAAATGACATTCAGGATACAACTAGGTGGGGCTATACCAACATAATTATAAGTGTAGCACAGAGCAAATATAAATGTGTACATCTTTTCTGCAAGATAATTAGGCAGTTGATATCCAAAGCCTTAAATATGCATATTTTTCCAATGAGTAAATTTACTTATGGAAATTTACCTAAGGAAATATCTAGAGATGGGGACAAAAATGTATCTGCAATTGTGTTCAGTAGGACAAAAGGCTGGAAAGAACCTAAATTTTCAGCAAAAGAGACTGATTAAGTAAATGAGGGAATGGTATCATTAAATATCAGATTTTAGAAGTATATTTAACATTTTCATAACATGTAAGTGAAAAGGATGAGTTATAGAGTCATATAATATTAAGCTTTATGAAAAAATATATACACATATACATGCTCATGTACATAATATATAAATATATATAATCTGTATATACATATGTATATACATAGACACTCCTATAACTCCATGAAATACATATTAAGACACTTGATTGTAATAATAGATTATGAAGCTTTTTATTTTCATCGCTATTCTTTTCTGTTTTATCCAAATATTCTAAGATGAATACAGGAAACTAACATAAACAAAATGCTATTAAAAAAAGAAAAATGGTCACTTTTTCCCAGTTACAGAATACTCCTAGTATACGAAGAAGCCTTTGCTGGGTTTGGCATAGCTAATTCCAACAGTGAGGACACAGGTTTTTCCCACACCCCCATCATCACCATCAGACACTACTCATCCAGAAGCATGTTTAGAAATATTTTATGTGTGTCCTCCTGTCTTTATCAAGGAGCATGGTGGATGGGGCTCTTTCCTTGAATTACTCAGGGACTCCAGAGCAGAGTCTGTCAGCCCCACCATGGAGCTGACTCTCAGGCCTCCCTACAAAGGATTCAATCCACGAGGGGTTTTTATGACAAATAACATTTGAAGAGTCTCAGAAATGAAGCCATGTGTCCAAACGCCCTGTGCAGATCTCTGTAGGGACAGTGTATGTTTTCAGACAAATTGCATTCACTGGACTGGGAGCAGATCTGAATCTCATAGGAAAAGGTTCCTGCCTGCACTCCAGCAGCTGCAACAGGGTTGATGAGCTGAGGAGGCATATCAGTCTTTACTGCAGCCGGTTCGCCCAGTAAACCTGTTTCCTTGCTCCTGCAGGGCTGCTGCTGGCCTCTGAGGCTGTGAGTGTTCTGGGGACCAGCTCCTCCTCCTACCTACCTGCCTGCATCTGAACCAGGCATCCCTTCTGTGTGGCATTTCTGTTGACAATCTAGTGGTCACGCTGCAACTAAGCAATGATGATAATGTAATGATACTATGTTTAACAGCTGATGTTTACTAAGTGCTTACACATAGGATGTATTTAATTCTCATAACCAGTCTTTCAGTTAGATGTGATTGTAGCCCTGTTTATAGGTGAGGAGACTGAGCCTTAGATGGGTAGATGACATCCTCGGAATTACACAGGCAGTGAGCAGCAGAAGCATGGTGTGAAGAAACATAGGTCCTGTCTCTCAGTCCTGGGCTCATTCTTCCATGCCTACCTCATGGCCCTGTCACCTTGGGTTACACTCCAGCCTTTCCTTCTATACAGGAGGCTTTCTATTTAAAAACAGATTTCTTTATTTAGCATATATTTATACACTTCTAAATTTATTGGCCGCTGAACCAGATACTTAAGTATATTTTAATTTCTCAAATCTACATGAGATCAATGAAATAAAATGCCCTTGGAATTATTTTTGAATTGCCTCCCCACCCCCTAGTTGCCTTCTTAATTCTCTTATCCCCTTCCTAGCCACATTCTTTAAATGGGACGTCTACACTTGGAATGAGGCTTTCTTCAGTGCCACCTCTTCCAAGGAGTGGCCCTTGTAAATGTCCCCAGTGCTTTCCTCATTGCTATAGCCAAAGGGTGCATCGCAGGCCTTATACTTCTCTTTTCAGATTTGATGATACTGACTGCTCCCTCCACAAAAATCTTACTGCCCACTTGAAACTGTCTATCAATAACTATGAAAGGCCTAAGATTTTACCTTATTTGGAGGCTCACAAGGTAGACTGCCACAGTTTCATAGATGCTGGCAGAAGACATGAAACTTCTGGGTCAGAGACAAAGAACTTTGTTATTCACCACACAGCAAGCAGCATTAAGTTTCATGTTCTCATTAGTTTCCTTTGTCCCCCACCAAGCCCTGTGGGACTTATGCCAGGTCCCTCCTGACTCTTTGCAGGAGTTCTAAACCCAGAAATCAACCCAAAATGAGCAGTCAGCCACGTACATAGAGGGCTCTTGGAAGGGTTTCAGCACAGCTAATCAAAAATGATTTATGTCTACTTCTATTTCTTCTGACTTTTAATAAAGAATAATCAAAAGCTATTCTTTAGAGACTGCCAAAAAGGTACAAATGTGATCTTAAGAGAATCAATGGGCTAGATTTTAGCAAGTTTCTAAATGTCATGCCGTGGCAGCAGGGTGACTAGAAGTGAAAAGAATACGCATTACAAGTGAATTGTGGGAATTTCACCTAAATATTTTCTGGCCAGGAAATTCCTGGAGCAGTTGGAACAAATGACAGCTGGAAATGCTGGGCCTAATTTTATTTTGTTTTATTTTTATATTTTTATCTTTATCATTTTTTTTTATTATTTTGATGCCAAGAAGTTCAAACCAACACACTGAAGGCTTCCAGGATCCTGCATTAGAATATCTTCTGTAAACCAGGCATAGTATCTGTTGTGCAAAACCAGAAATGGTTTCCTTTTATTAAAGACAGTACTGTTTCCACTTCTGCCAATTACAAGTCAATTTCAAGGCTTCCTGCTCTTTCTGAAATAATGACAGCCATTTTTGTAGTCTTGTCTTACCTCTTTGTGAAGGAAATAATGTCATGACACTAAAGGAGAGTGGATGGGGAATTGCAAAATGGCAAGGCCATTACAGAAACCTTGATAGATAATCAGACGGTAGGAAAACAGCACTCTCTGTGGCATCAGGTGCAACTCTTGCCTTCCTCTTTAGGTGGTTCCTGAAAATAGAGGGGTCTTGCCTGGGGGTGGAAGGATGCACTTGTGCTGGGGACAGAACATTAAAGTGTAGCTATTACAGCTCCTGTTCTTCCAATGAGTGTGTGCTCTCAAACCAAGCCGACTTATCCACATAAAACAAAGTAAGCCAAGGGAAGTTGGAATTTGAGTTGTTTTTAAAGAGCAAGGCAAGCAGTTGAAAAAGGGGAAAGAAAAAGAGAGATTTCAAAGGCAACATAATCAGAGAAACATAAACATAAAATGGGATTAAGCAGAACCACCGATTAGGCTGTAAAATGCCTTTCTTCAATTTAGAACATGTATCCCTCCTGTACGGATGAATTGGAAGAAAAGGGGTTCACCTTCTGGGCAGATGCAGCTCCATAGATATGTAGCTTGATATGCAGATAGAGCCCTTGGGCAAAGCACAAAAGTGACCTCCCTCCAAGGGGGCTCAGTAAGGACTCATGGCTGTAGTCAGAACTCCTGGCTCTGCCAATAGAGTATGGGTTGGGTTTGGGGGCCACAACTCCCGCCTCTTAGCTGGGCACTGTTGGTGCAGTGACCAGTTGCTCATCCTCAGGACATGGTCTTAGATTTAAGGAATTTTTCCATTCATGTGTTCTGTGGTATTATTTGGCCCCTTGCTTTCCATTAAGGGACTTAAGAGGACATCAGCTTTTAAGTCCTTGAGACCCAGGGTAAAGTCAGCAGAATTTAGCATCACCAGGGAACCAATTAGAAATGCTAATTATCCAGCCTCACCCCAGACCTCCTAAATTACCCTCTAGGTGATTCTGATGCACATTAAAATTTAGGAACTACTGTTCTAGTCTGAAAGAGTGGGGATAAGGAAACCTCACCCCAACCTAATAGTATACCAGGTATGCCATAACTTAATAATATATTAAAAGAATCTGATGGCCAAGAATATAGGAAGATACTCTGTTCCTTCTTACATATATATTTCTGACCTAAGGTCTTCCAAGATTTCCAGAATGCTAGGCATCTGGGCTTCTATCACAGCATTTCCAAAACTGTTTTCTGTGAAGCAGTCATTTTCTGCAAGTTATCATTAGATATTCTTTGAACAAACAAAGTAAGTTTCTGGAACACTGCACTCTCTACCCTCCTTTCACAGAGTTGCTAAGTGTAGCTGTGTACTGTTTAGTACTAGGTGGCAGATGGGTGATGTGATTAATGTCTCAGTGTCTGGTATCAGATCACCTGGGTCCAATCCTAACTCAGCCCCTCAGCAAAGTGATATCAGGTTTTGTTCCTCCTAGTAAGGTTCATGGACCAGCAGCATCAGCAAGACCTGAAGAATTCCAATCCCCATCACAGGCCTTCTGAATCAAGATGTGCATTTTTAACAAGATCCCCAGGTGGTTTGTATGCTGTAGTCTGAGAAGTACTACTAAAAGCCATATTGCTTGACCGCTCTCTGCCTCAGTTTCCTTATTCATTAAATAGGAATTACTAGTAGGACTTATCTCACACTTTATCAGACATTGGAATCCCCAGGAAGGTTTGTTAAAACAAAAATGGCCTGGCCCCATTCCCAAAGTTCCTGATTCATTAGGTCTGGGAATTTATTAGATGGCGCTAGATATTTCACTTTTTTATTTGTTTTATTTTTTTTTTTTTGAGATGGAATTTCTCTCTTATTGCCCAGGCTGGAGTGCAGTGGCACGATCTTGGCTCACCTCAACCTCCGCCTCCCGGGTTGAAGCGATTCTCCTTCCTCGGCCTCCCGAGCAGCTGGGATTACAGGCATGCGCCACCATGCCCGGCTAATTTTGTATTTTTAGTAGAGATGGGGTTTCTCCATGTTGGTCAGGCTGGTCTTGAACTCCCTACCTCAGGTGGTCCACCTGCCTGGGCCTCCCAAAGTGCTGGGATTACAGGCGTCAGCCACCGTGCCTGGCCTGAGAATTCACATTTTTAACAATTTCCCAGGGGATGTTAGTGCAGCCTGTCTGGGGACCATGGTTCGAGAACCATAGCTCTAGATTTTTCTAAGAGCATTTCTGTCTCCATGCCAGACCTGTTTTCCTCCATGAAGTATACTATTTCAATGCTCGACTTAGTGTTTATGTTTTACTCTTTCTACTGTTTTTACAATCTTAATCCAGCCTATAAATTCCTCTGGGCAGAAATTATACCTTCCACACTCTTTCATTTTCTGTTTTGTAAAATAATGAGTACATCTTCAGCATGATTAATAATAGAATGGAGAAAGGGGAAAAACCTCAGACTATCAACCCCAGTAAACAACATCTCCAAGTGGATATCAGCCCTAGAATTATCTTACAAATTTACATTTCTAACAAGTTCCCAGATGAGGCCGATGCTGTAGATTCAGGGACCACTCTTTGAGAAGAACTTTGACAGGGACTTTAAGAGGATCAAGTGAACAGTCTATTATGTAAGCCATTAACACAGTGGCTGGCACAAAGTCAGCCTTCAAAACTGTTAGTTGATGTGACTTTTACTTGATAAACGCTCAGATAAATCTTGTTAAGTTGAACAAAATGTTTATCAAGCTCAGCTACGGAGTGATTTATTTATGTGAGATGGAGTGACATTTCATAGGAAGCAGTGCTTAATTACAGCTATGCTCACACCTGGTATTGCCAGTGTGCTACTGAGGTCAGTTCCCAGCCCCATGTGTAAAAAAAAAAAAAAAAAAAAAAAAAAAGCAGATTTAGAAACAGACTGCCAGAAAATCTCAAGGCAGTAGCTCATTGGATTTCAGGAAACCCAACGTATAATTTACTGTAGGAGAAGGCAGAGACAGGAAAGTGCCAAGTGGAATGCATGCTTTTAGTGTCCTGGACAGATCCCCTTTGCAGGCAAGTGCCCTCAACCCTAGAGCACTGGGCATGTCGGCTGCTAAAGCCTCACAGCTTCCTTTTCCCAGAGAGCTGCCCTCCGTCAAGTAAGAAGTTTCCTCCTCTCTCTGCCTCGTGAGCCCTGACCAATGACTGATGGACACAGTAGTTCAACCACAAGGTACCATCCACTCTGGGGTACACTTCATGCTCCATGACTCCTTGTGGGACCAGGCTGGAGCTTGACTCCAGTTGTGATCTCATCCTTTCTTAGCCCCTTTTCTCACTCTGTCCTTTATATCCTTTCTCCTGAAAGCACTTGATAAATCTCCATGTGTCAAAGTCTGCTTCCAGTGAGCCCAACCAGAGACACCACCTGTTGGGGCCCACTGGGACATTTGTTGAGTTGACTCGTGGAATCAGAGGGCCAGACGATGATTTCACTTTAGAACAACACACATATTGACTTGAAAATCTTGCCACAGAAGGAAAAGAAGCATGCCCTAAAAGTTCAGAGGAAGGATATACTTAAATCTGAAAAACTACTGCAGGAACCAGAAGAAAATTTCCGAGAAGCCAAGTGGTAGATAAGGGCCTTATCTGACGGAATTTTTCCTGGACTTCTGTGTGCACACATCCTTGCTATGCTTCTTTGTGGCATTTCCCAGGACTTTGGGCTTTCCTTCAATGTCTTGCTCCATCTTCCTGACATCCTAACATTTGTATCTCTGTGCATTTTTATGCTACCTGATTTCTGGGTTTCACCGTATTAGCCAGGATGATCTCAATCTCCTGACCTCGTGATCTGCCCGCCTCAGCCTCCCAAAGTGCTGGGATTACAGGCGTGAGCCACCACGCCCAGCCCAGTTTCCTCTTATATATGACAGCGATAAGAAGTGTGCCTACCTTATTTTTCATGGGGAATAAATGAGAAAGCATATAAAACATTTAGCACATAGTAGTGTTTAGCTGTTATTAGCTTAATAAAGAAAAAATAAAAGTGTTTATGATGTTATAAATAACTCATATTAGAAAATATTGAGCCAAAGCCTCACCACTAACTCATTCTTATCCCCCATGGTGGCCCTGAAATGCCTTGCTCAGCAGTGGGGAAGATGGGCTCCTTTTGATGACCCCCTGCTTCCAAGGCCCTCCTATTCATTAAGTGATCTCTTCTCCAAATCAGGATACATTCCTGGTGTTTGCCGGAATTTTCCCGCCTTTCTCCCTGCACTACTTTGGGAATTTCCGGGGCATTGCATGTGGTGTCTCCTAGGTTCTCATAGTGGGGTCCAAGTTGTGCCATCTCCTGCAAAGATGCCTCAAGGCATGAGGAAGCTGGATGGCAGTTTCCGCCCAAGTGACCTTTCTCCCCTTCCATTACCTTGTACTGGTTTTTATTCGGGCAAGCGAATGGAAACTTTCCAGCTCAGAACAGTGAAATTGCCTGCTCAAGTCTGCATAGCTTGGAAGCTGCAGAGCTGGCATTTGGCTTCAGATTCTCCTCTTACAGCCCCATGCATGTTGCTCTGATGTGTACTAACTATTCCACATGTTGGTTAGTTTCTGGCATGAGAGGGAGTTATGGCTGCCTCTCATTCTGCCATGGCTTTTGAACAATACCATTTTTTTTTATGTTCAAGTATAAAGCAAATACGTGTTTGAGACAGAAAGTTTGAAGAATGTGAAAAAGTAAAAAGCAGCAGCAAAATATTACCTACAATCTCCCTGTAGCCTGGAGCCTGTAGCCTGTAGCCTGGAGCAAGTCTCTCTTAGCTGCCCTTTGATGGGGGCCTGGGATACCCTGGGTTTCTGGCCTTCATGATCACTGCCTTCCCCTGGTATTGGTCTCCCCTCATTTGCTGCCATAGAGCTGAGCAGTGTGGCTCTACCTGTACCTGTGCCCCTCTCCTGACAGGTCACTGTAGAGGGTGAGGAAAGATGACATAGATGAAAGTAGGTTATGCACATGGGGAAACTGTTTACTTGGTGCAGGAAACAATGAAGATCGCGTTGCGAGACTGGGAGACTCAGGGCATGAGAATCATAAGTCATAAGGTTTCCCTAAGTCCAGATAATTAAAGGAGTCAATTTCACTTTTTGGGGAAAAACGTTTTCAAATTAAAGCAGGCACTGAGAATATGGTCTTAGTAAAAACAGTGCTTGACTTGAAGTTGGAAAACCTGGATAAGGGGCTTGTGTACTCTACACATTTAGTTAAACTGTTAGACATTTGGATTTTTCTTCTGAGAAGAGCAGCAGTTGTACACTCCCCAAACAAGGCTGTGAAGACACAATGAAGATTTATACAAAAATACCCAGCTCAGGGGCTGGCACATAGTAGATAAATATCCAGTTAATAACATTAATAAACATCCACTCAAACTGCACCAACATGCATGTGCCTTACCAGTTCTCATAACCTGCAACTGTGAAAGAGGTTTGTTCAAACTCAGGATATCCCTCCTGAGATTCAGGATGCTGAAGACAAAAGCCCACGTGTATTCACCTTGATTCTAGAGATGTCTACCAACTTGGGAAGCTTTCAGACAAGCTTCTAAAGATGAACAGAGGAAAGTCCTTCAGTGTAAAATGGGCAACACTTGTGGGCAAATGTGTGTGGAAAGTTTGTATCATACATAGATAAGATTCCAGAGATGGTGTGACAGTTGTGAGAACTGACTAGAGATGGCTGTGAGCTGAACGTGGCTTTTTACGGAAGACGGAGTGTCCCCAGGGAGACCAGACCCTCCAGGCAGAGAAAAGAGCATGTGCCAAGGAAGAGAGGTGTTGGAAGGCTCCCATCCCCTCCCTACCTGTGGTGATAGCTTAGGGCAGGTGGGGCTCAGAGCCTGTGGGGTGGGGTAGCAGGGCACCAGCCACAGGGCCTGTGAGCCAGGCGGTGTTTATTCTCCATGGGCTGGGTTTTCACTAAGTCTGCTGAAGTTTGTCTGAAAGAATGCTATGAGTTCTGCTTAAGGGAAAAAGGAAAATAGGGAGGAAAGTTAAGGGGCTACATGCCAGCCCCAAATGCAGGCTGAGCCAAAGTGTTTAGAAGGAGCCTTTTTCCTCTCTTCTTACCACCAGGCCTGTGTCCTCAAATCAGCTCACTAGCAAAGTTTATTCTTGAATCAGCTCATTAGCACAAACCAGCCATGAAAACTCCTGCCCTTTTTTTTTTTTTTTTTTTTTTTTAAAGAGGCAGGGCCTTCCTCTGTCACCCAGGGTAGAGTGCAGTGGCTTGATCATGGCTCACTGCAACCTTGGTTTTTGGGCTCAGGCGATCCTCCTTCCTCACCCTCCAGAGTATCTGGGACTGAAGATGAGTGCCACCATGCCTGGCTATTTTTTAAAATTTCTTGTAGAGGCAAGGTCTTGCTTGCTACCTAGGCTGGTCTCAAACTCCTGGCCTCAAATGATCCTCCTGCCTCAGCCCTTGCAAAGCACTGGGATTACAGGCATGAGCCACTGTGCCTGGCTGGAAATCCCTTATTATAGTGGAAAGTCTTGAGCCCCAGGGGTGTGAGGATGGGTGGATATCCGTGTTGGGAGTCACCTAGAAGCCTATGATGCTATGATTCCTCCTCTCCCTCTCTTCCTCTGTTCTGCAGCAATGGAATGGCAGGGACACGGCCCTGATGGTCACCCGTGTGGTCAACCACAGGCGCTTCTCAGCCACAGTCAGTGTGGCAGACACTGCCCAGCGGAGCGTCAGCAAGTACCGCTGTGTGATCCGCTCTGATGGTGGGTCTGGTGTGTCCAACTACGCGGAGCTGATCGTGAAAGGTGAGTGCCTCCAGCCTGCGCCTCTACTGCCATGGAAGGTTGGCATTAATGGGCCTTAAAGCCCCTTTTCTCATCTGCTGATCCTCCCCCACATTCAGTAAAAGAGGAGATTAATTTCTAGTCACTCTGGCCTCCCTCCCCAACACAAACTCCCCAAACGGGAGAAACTATGGTAAAATCATGCAACATTGCATTGCTATTCCAACTTGAGTCTCACATACAAGAGCCATACGTGAAAGACTGTGGAATATATAACACAGAAGACATCTTCAAATTTGGCTTTATTTTGTATTTAAAGTTAGAATGAACAAATGTCCTTGTATTTGGGTGGCATGCTGTGGCAGTGTTCTCGTACTATTGTTTCTGAGGGATTTTTTTTTAAAAATTGAAAACTCAATACAATGACAATATTTTGGAAGGACTTTTGAAATGAATAATTCCTCACCCCACTGGCCTTGATTCAATTCTTTTCAATTTTCTTGTTCTTGTTCACCTTGAGATACTGTTTACATGCTTTCCATTAAAATATGCAGATTGTTTTCTGCTTCTCTCAAAAAGCCAGATATCCCATTTCTTTCTGCAACTTTGTCATCTTTGTTATGATGCTTAGTGATCGTATGCTATCTCATCCAATGAGTTATCCTATTTTGTTAAACCCCCCCATTTGCAGTCATTTCGATAATTCCACGTGTCTTGTTTTTTTCTTTCCTTTGTGTATGTAACAATTAGCACCTCCATGGAGTTCTTCTGGAGAGAACATTTTATTCTATTGAACCAGATTATTTCCTTAGGATAAATTCCCTGGGGGTAGAGTTGGGAGGCCAAGAATATGAGCATCTTTATGGATTTTTCTTTGTGTTGCAATATTGCTTTTGCAAAAAAAAAAAAATGGTTTGACAGTTTACACTGGTAACTGCAGTGTATGGATGTACTCATTTTACCAATGTTATGTTTGCCGATTAAAATTTTAATATAGCATAATTTAGTGAATGAAATAATGAAGCTTTTCTTATTATGCTAGCTGTAGAATGAGACCTGGTGTGTTTGAAGGGAAAAAACAAAAAGCAAACAAAAAAAACCCCACTGATCGAGCCTTTGAGGCCTCCTAAGTTAGTTTCCTTTGTCAAAGTATGGGTGGGTGTGGAAACTTTGACCTCATTTTGCTGACCCAGTGTGACTGGGATCCTTGGGCCAACTGGACTGGGGGTTGCAGGCTGGGATTCTCTATGCTGGCTGTCTTGACTTCATACAGACATTCACATGGCTGATCATGTGCCATCATTCAGGTCTCAGCTGAAATGGCAGTATGTCGTCTTCTCCCAGAGAACTTCCCTGACCCCCCGCCCACACCTCCCTTCCTGGTGGTCACAGTTCCTTCTCATTACCTGGTCTCCTCTTCCACATAGTTTTTATCACACTTTAAAATGCTGGTTTGCCTTTATTTGTTTACTTGGTGACTTTTTGTCTCCCCTTTTAGGATCTAAGCTCTGTGAGAGGAGGGCTGTCTGCTGGGTTGGAAGTCCCTGCACTCAGCGCAGTGCCTGGCACTGGTTCTCAGTTTGCTAAACCATATGAAGTGTTAGTGTTCGCCTGTTTTGACTTGCACAATCAGTCATTTCACAAGGCTCAACTTGAAAAAATGTGTGGACTGATAGAAGAGTGAATGAATTATTGGCCTCAGCAGGAGTTTATTATTTCCTCACCACAATGCCATGAACACTTAAGCCAAAGATCAACAAGTTAGGCACTTATGAAAAAAAACTTTAAAAATCTTTAAATTTGTTTACATTAAATGTTATTAACATAGAAAAGAAGCCACCACTTTGATGGCATTAAGCTCCTATCTTTGCTTTGTTGATGCCATAAGATTAATTTGTGTGGCCCGGTATGGTGGCTCACGCCTGTCATCCCAACAGTTTGGGAGGCCAAAGCAGACAGATCGATCACCTGAGGCCAGGAGTTCGAGACCAGCCTGGCCAACATGGTGAAACCCCGTCTCTACTAAAAATACAAAAAATAGCTGGGTGTGGTGGCATGCGCCTGAGGCCAGGAGTTTGAGACCAGCCTGGCCAACATGGTGAAACCCCGTCTCTACTAAAAATACAAAAAATAGCTGGGTGTGGTGGCTCGTGCCTCTAGTCCCAGCTGCTCGGGAGGTTGAGGCAGGAGAATCGCTTAAACCCAGGAGACGGAGGTTGTGGTGAGCTGAGATCATGCCACTGCAATCCAGCCTGGGCGGCTGAGCGAGACTCCATCTCAAAAAAAAAATTTTTTTTGAAGATTTATTATTATTATATTTGTATTATGTGACACAGGGGTTATTGCAGGCCATTCAGGTTCTCAGTGAATGTGTATTTTCAGATGTCCTGCTGGAATGTGTCTTATACCTTCCGTGGCTGGTCTCCCACACCAGATTGAGAGTCCCAGGAGAGGGTGTGCTGTGTTCATTCCCGCTCCTCATGGTCTTGCTAGCACCTTGCATGTACATGGGGCAAAGTTGGTGGCAAAAGAATGTGACCAGTGGCTATGGGAGTTAGTTTAGCACTCTGAAATTCCCATGAGCAGACAAATGGAACCAGAAAACGCTTGGTTTATTATTTGCTTATATGCCCCCATTCAGGGGCAGGATGGGAGCTATGGGAAGAGAAACCAAGAGGCTACTGGGACAGAGGATGTGGTGGAGCATCCTTGCTTTATTCGGAGAGGTGGCCAGGGTTTACGGGGACACTGATTTGTCCTCTGCTGGTTGTGCATCCTGGGCCCAAGTCAAGAGGAGGGGCTGGTGCTAGCCTGGGTGCAGTAGCCAGGCCTGGCAATATGACTCCGCAGCTACCACTGCTCTGAAGCCACTCACCTGCAGCCCCTGCCACTCCAGCTTAGGGAGGGTGGGGTGGTGGGTGGCACCCAGTCTCCTTCACATTGAACAGTGGGGGGTTGGCACTTCCTGTAATCTGGTCAATCAAGGTGTAATTTTATTACACATCGATGAAATTCATCCATATTTTTGGCATAGGTTATCAGTTTTTTAGTGCCCATTTTTCCTCCATTTAAATATTATGATGGTGGTAAGCTAGGAGCCTGGTCCCTTGCATGTAAAGAAGTCCCTTCAACATATGTTACCTGATTTTTTCCTAATTGCAGCTCTGTACATTGGTTTTATTTTAACTCATTTCATGAGTGGGAGAATTAGCACAGCCAGGTTGAGAAACAGGACCATCCCAAGGGGTACAACTGGAGTCCGACCTGCATCTGGCTCATGCTGTTTGGTCACACCTGGAGGGCTGGTGGGTTGTGGTCTTGCTGTTACCTGGTGCCACAATGTCATGAGCAGTGCTGAAGGGGCCCAGGTACCAGGCAAGCAGGATTCCCTGGGTCCGTCTAGCTAACTTGCCATTTTGACACGTGATATTCCCTTCCTGACTGTCAGCTAACTTCCAGATTGCTGGAGAAATACATTTAACCTACCCTCACCCCCTGCCCCGACCCCAAACACACTGCTAAAGAGTTAGTGGCATCCAAGCAAAACAAGAAAATAAAAGGCAGGGACCCCCTCAGGAGCAGAAGCAACCAGAGGAAACCTGTCACCCTGGAGTGGGTGCCCAGGGACCCATTTGAAGGCAGCAAACCCAAGCGTTTGGAAGAAACTGTGTGATGAAGAATGACTCACTTACCTCTCAAGAGCCCTTTGCCTTTGCGGAGCCAGGATGCTTAAGTACTTTAATACTGAAGTATTTGTACTTGTTTAAAAAAATACAAGGGAAAAGCATTAATCCTCCTTCTTTCAGAGAAGGGAGAAAATCTGAAAAACAGACCAAAAAAGAAAAAGGATTCTCAAGGGCCAAGTGCTGTGTTATGGGATGGGATCTGGATTCCTTCTTGGACTGACGTCACCCACAACCCTGGGATATCACAGAAAGAAAACCATGTCTTCAAGGTCTTCCTCCTCACAGGTTCCCACCCTTTGGTTCCAGTTCAGGGCAGGAGATAACTCTGCAGCCAAGATGCTTGGGTCTGAATTCTGGCCCCACCTTGTCCCAACTCTGTGACCTTGAACATGATCTAACCTCTTGGGGCCTCAGCTGGCTCATCTGGGAACAGGAATGTAGGATTACCTCCCTCAGAAGGCGTCATGAGGATGACATGTGATAATGGATGTAGGAGTTCTTAGAACAGTGCCCTGCATAGGCACTCTAAGGTATTTGTTAAATAAAATAAATAAATTGCCCATAGGGGTGGGATTTATCAGACAAAGAAGTAAGAGAGATGAAGGACTCCATGGGTGGGGACAGGACATTGGACCCAGGTGCCGATTTGATGACTGTCTCTGTGGCTTTGGGGAAATCATGTCAGGCCTGTTCTGTAAAGTGTGGCCCAGTTCTCTGTTGGTACACGGTGATGTGCCGAGTATAAGAAGAGGGAGGGAGGAAATATGAAAGTGTGGACTGGGGGACATTTGGGTCATGGGGTCTTTTATTAGGGTTCTCTAGAGGGACAGAAGTAATAGGATATATGTATATATGAAGGGGAGTTTATTAAGGAGAACTGACTCACATGATCACAGGGTGAAGACCCAGATGGGCCGTCTGTAAGTTGAGGAGCAAGGAAGACAGTAGTGGCTCAGTTAGAGTTCCAAAACCTGAAAAGTAGGAAAGCTCGGCAGTGTAGCCTTTAGTCTGTGGCCAAAGGCCCGAGAGCCCCTGGGAAACCACTGGTGTAAGTCCAAGACTCCAAAAGCCAAAGAAGTTGAGGCCTGATGTTCGAGGGCAGCATAGGAGGAAGACGAAGGCAGGAAAACTCAGCAAGTCCGCTTCTTTCACCTTCTTCTGCCGGCTTTTTCTAGTTACGCTGGCAGCTGATGGGATGGTGTCCACCCACATTGTGGTTGGGTCTGCCTCTCCCAGTCCGCTGACTCAAATATGAATCTCTTCTGGCAACACCTAGAAACACCCAGATACACCCAGAAACAATACTTTGCATCCTTCATTTCAACCAAGTTAACACTTAATATTAACCATCACAAGTCCCTGTAGGTCAGAATTCTCTGGTCCTTTCCTGTGTTCACCCCTACTGGATCGGGAAAGCTGATTCCCGGGTCTGGGGACAAAGGAAAAGTAGCTAGTTTTGTTTGTGCTCAGCCATCTAGTTACATGGACCACCCCTCTCCTGGTATTGTTCATTCAAAACCCTAACCACTCCACAGTTGGGAGGTCACTGGGCCCTTCAGCACCCGAGGGTTCTGGGAGCTGTAAACCCCTGTGCTGGCTTCCACAGCAGGTACTCAGGCTGAGAGGAACAGCAGAGGCCCAGGCTGGTCTCTCTTTCTCCCCAAACAGGCGTATTCATGGCTGACTGGCTCACAGCTCACGTGTGATCCTGAGATGGTAAAGATTAGCACTTCAGAAGATGCTGCCTAATGTGAGGGTAGGTAATATCAAATTCTCAGGGCGACACACAGACCGAAATGAAAGCAAATTGGAATTACTTAATTCTGGGGAGCTGTTTATTGAGTTGTGATAATGTACCTGGGTATACATTAGATTACTCTGTAATTGAGGTTTCGCTCAATTGACAATTCGGCCCCTCAACCTACCTGGTCCAGACCAGTGCTCAGCAAATGCTTATTCATTTGCTTTGCTTCTGGTTTTCTGAGTGTCTTCAATTTCAAGGTGTCTTAGCTGGCCTCAAGGACTTGAGTGTCTGCAACCAAAGTTATGCAGATGTATCTTGATGAAAATTTTCTAATTCATAAAAAGTTTCTTGTCGGTGGTGATTTTTAAACCAATCTTTCAACTCCATTTAACAACCTATTATGCACTCAGAACACTCATCAGTATGAGAATTAGTGCTCAGAAGAAATGTGATACTAGTGCTGTTAGAGGTTCCGATTTAAACACTGATGTGACTTCCTACCAAGGGAGGTTGTTAGGATCAAGAGTAGGGATTATTGTTCTAAATACACTTGAGTTTCCATCTTAGTCCTGCTCCCTGGTACCTGTGTGATTCAGCAAATCATGTATTTACTCTGGGCGTCATTTTCCTTATCTGAATAATGGAGGTGAATATATATAAATAGGTCCTATGAGAGGGAGAAAATATAACATACATATAATATATAAAACACATATATATAGCATAATATATATGTAACATATATAAACAGATACATCCTAGTACTAGAAAGTATAAAATTATGTCTTTAGTAGTAATCATATTTTTTACATTACTATTAAGGAATGTTTCCCAAAGACATTGTCCATTGTTTGTTTTCCTGGATTAAAGGAATGATATTCTGTACATACTATGAAAATTTAAATTTAGATCATCTTAAGGTCTCCCTCTTCTGAAATGGGATTGAGGTCATCCAATCCAATCCATTGTTTGAAGTCAGTTGCGAAAGTGCTTTACTTACATTGTACTGTCTTCTCTTTCCTTTTTAAGTTTTTTTTCAGCATTTACAAGTTTCTTGAGACTGTATCAGGCATAGCTACCTGGAGCCTACATTTTAGGATGGCAACAGTGGGCTCCTCAGCGTCCCTGTTTTGGAAGCACACGTTCCACCGTTGACTGCTGTCCTGGCTGGTCCCGTTTTGCTCTCTCACTAGTCTGGTGCCAGCAGTGATTTGCATTTATAGCCTCTAGTTTAAAGATGGAATGCCTGGAGTAGCTGACTCATTCCTGTATTCATTTGCTTAATAAAGGTTTATGGAGCCCAACTGTGTCAGGTTCTGTAATAAGCTCATGGTCTAGCAGGAAGAATCATGCAAATCTGTGCTGCATGGTCAGTTAATGTTAGCCACCTGCCACACTACCTCCCTAATCCTAACAATGGCCCTATGACGTAGGTGCTGTTAGCAACCACCTTTTACCAGTGAGAGCATGGAAACCCAGAGAGGTTCTGGACCTTTCTAAGATCATACTGCTCATAAGTGGCAGAGCTAGGCTTGCCTTGCCTTGGCCATGCTGTCTCTTTTATACCACATTTCTTGCAAAATCCAGTATGGTAGACCCTGCATTCAGGTGTGAGCTAAAGGTGTACAGAGGTTGGAACAATGAGCGCAGTCTGGAAGAGTCTGGGATAGCCTCTCCGACTGGCCCCATCTGAGATGGGTCCTGTGGCTTGGCAAGCTCATAAGCAGGACAGCCTGGGTTAGTTTTGAGACACTGAGTGGGTGACATGTTTGGGGCTGGATAAGTAGGCAAGGGGACATTTGCAGAGTCTTTGTACCAGAATAGGAGCCTGGGCTTCATCCTGTAGTAGTCTAGGGGCTGTGACGGACCCTATCCATGGCCATGGATAGTAGTGTGCACACTCATAAGGTGGGATCTCTGCATCCAGCTGTTCTTCCTTTCTCTGGTCCTGCAGGGAAAAACCATTGTCAGACAGCTGGCTATGGTCACTGGCACAGACTGCGTTGGAAAAGAAGAGTGAAGATAAAAGGCACATGGCGTTGAGACCCCTAGAAGCAGACTCAGGGCAGGAGTTCCGAGTGCAAGGTGCTTATTTGGTTTTAGGGACATGAGACAGAGAATCAAGGGCAGCGAATAAAGGGTACATTCTCAAGTGAGTAACTGCTGTGACCGTCTGGAGCTCTATCCTACTAGGTAATTCTGGGATTCAGTGTAGAACCCCTGGGGTGTGGAGGAGGGGGTTATTTGTACCTTAACCCCCTCCAGTCATTGGTTGAGAGCTGCTCTTGGGGGTCTTAATTTTCTGGCTTTACTGTCTTGTCATACAGGATGTAACCCCCCGCTCCCCAGGGCTTTGGCAGAAGCCCATGTCTATTAGCTATTTGACAGTTGGCAGAGGCAGTTGGAGGTTGGACTGCACTCGGTGCAATAATAAGTCCTGAGGTGGCGGTGGGACGCAACAGCTTCTGCTACAGGGATCCTACAGCCTCTGTGGCCTTCTAAGGTGACCAAGGCTGCTGGCTCCTGCCTCCTTGGTGGCAGCAGCCATGGAGGACAAGCTCATGCTAGGAGGAGAGGCAAAGCCACCTTGAGCTCTGTGCTTGTATAGGGAGTGGAACAAAGCAAAGGCTGGCCTCAGACTGGACTCCAGAGTTTCCATTCACGTTCTCCACAAGTCCTCAGAAGTAAAGAGGAGCTGGAGGGCTATATCACCCAGTGATCAGAGAGCAGGCATGGTATCAGAGAGCCTGGGCTAACATCTGGCCTCTGCTCTACCTCCTAAGTTTATCTAGAGCCTGCCACCTTCCACCACCTCTATTGTCAACATCCTCGACAAGGTTGGCAGACTTTCTCTCCAGGGCATTAGAGTCAATAGTTTCAGCTTTCCAGGTCATATGATCTGTGTAGCAAAGACTCAACTCTGCTGTTGTAGCAAAAACAGCCATAAAAAATATGCAAATGAATGAGCATGGGTTATGTGCCAATAAAACTTTATTTACAGAAACAGGCAGAGGGCTGGATTTGGCCACAGTTTGCTGATCAGTGCATGAGTCAAAACTCTATTCTGTTCTCAACTGCATGACTATTCCAGCTTCCTCCCTGCTCCACTCTTGCCCCATTGATGTCTATTCTCAATGCAGCAGCCTGAGTGATCATTTGAAAAAGTTAGATAATGGCTTTTTTCCTGTTGAAAAGCCTCCAGAATTTCCTGTCACACTCAGAATAAAATCCAAACTTCTTAACATGGTCTCCATATCTAGTCCTTGATTTGTAATGCCCCACCCCCATATTTGCCCTCTTATTCTCTTTTCTAGCCATGCTGATCCATTTCCTCTTCCTTGAACCACACCAAACTAGTTCTGACCTTTGCACTTGCTGTCCTTGCTTTGCCTGACATGCATTTCTTCCAGATAATTATGTAGCTCACTTGTTTTATCGATCTGGTCTCTGCTCAGACTTCAGCTTCTCAGAGAGGCCCCCTCTGATTACCTTATCTGAAATAACACTCTCCCCCACCTCCCACCCCTTCCCTTTGTAACTCTGTTCCTTTGCAGGGTGCTTTGGTTTTCCTCCTAGATCTTGTCACTATCTGACATTGTAATTTACATCTATTTGTGGATTACCCATCTTTCCTACTAGAACATGAGCTCCTGGAGGAAGAAGCTTTGTAAGCCTTATTTCCTGCTAGACCAGCAGTACCTGAGTCAGTACCTGGCATATAGAAGGGGCTTAAACATTTGCTGTATCCAGGGAAGAGTGCTCAGGTCCTTACTTTACAAGCATGTGACGAGACCCCTCACCATCCCTTCTTTTTTAAGGTTCTCGTTATTGATTGAGCTCCTGGTTTTCCTTCTACCTCTGAGAAAGTTCTGTCTCCTTTATAGGTATCTGTTTCTTTACCTTTTCCTTTAAGTATTACGTTTCCTTAATTCTTTTCTTCCTTCTTATGGGAGCTGTGAGCTTTGTAATTCCCTGTGCTCCTCTTATGGTCTTTCTTTGCTCTGATTTGGCTACAAATTTAGGGGGCTCAGTTGCCCTGCCAGAGCCATGCTACTTACCCACCCCACCATGTGCCCCTTAGAGTGGTCATTTTAAAAACTCCTGGGCCTTCTTCAATGCCTTTTCAAGGAAGGCTTGCCTCAGTGTGAGTTCTACCCATTCCCCCAAGAGCCCTGCATATGGATCATATATGCTCCAACTTAGGTCTGGAAGTTTTTTTGTGGTAGACTTAGCTTACCTCCTCCTCTCATCTCATGCCTGATCTTGACTTTCCTGGAACCCTATTTCAAAGCAGAGAAACCTCAACATGCTCATCTTCTGCGTGAGTTTCATTCTTTGTAGGAAAATATGCTGGTGCTTTGGTTCTTATTTTTTAATCTTTCTTTGGTCTTAACTTTTATTAATAATACTTGCATCATTTTTTTTCCCATGACTGCTATTGTCAAGAACACATAGATAGCAAATCAGAGGTCTCGGGTTCAAATCCTGATTCTGCCTTGTGTTAGCTAAGTGGATTAGGACCATCATTTCATGACTGCCTAATTGGAATAATAATGCCGGCTCCCCTAGATTTGGGTCAGAGGCCATGGCTATGAAAATTGTTCCTAAACAAAGTGCGTGCCTATGTTTGTGCTTCTCCTCATCATTCCCCATCCTCCTCATGGGTGCCCGGTTCCCCACCCTTAGCCTCTGACTCCTTCACTCTTTGATAACGTCACCATTAGCTTTTTATGGAAAGAGAAAAATGACAGATGGGAGAAAAGTGGGAAACTTCACTTGAACATATGTGTGGAGGGGAGGCTAACCGGGAGATATTATGTATATTGTAATCTATATGGGCACAAAGACCAGCTTATTTTTAAAAAAGTGTAAATGTGGATAAATAAAACCTGATAAGTATTGGTTTCCTTGAATTATTTTGACTACTTTATCAGCTGCATGCTGATGTGTTGCATTAACACTTTTAACGCATTTGGAAATTAAATCAAATGGCAACTGCATTAAATTCTCATTCACTTGGAACATTACCCTCCTGTGTTCAAATGGAAGAATGATCTGAGGTATGGAACAAGCTGCAAAGTCTGTAGTTAGCTACCATTTGTGGACCATTTATTGCATGCCAGACACTTCACTGACTGTCTTCTCATGAGGTTGTATTTAATCTTCACCATGGTCCCCTGTTACCACTGAGGATGCTGAAGTCTGATTACCCAGTCTCATCAGAGTCACACAGTCCAAGGCCTGCCCTCTTCCTATAATGAGCCCATAAATGAGACTATTTTCTGACCCTCCTTATGCTAATTTTCCATAATGTATTATTCCGTGACAGATATATATGGAATATTTTTTCTGAGAACCCAAGTTCCAGGCTAGGCTAAACTCAGTTAAACCCATGGGCTCCAGTTTAGTAAGAATGCTCTAGATCATTGCCTTTGTCCAGTCACTGGAGCCTAATTTATCTCTGAAACACTGCAGCCTCTGCCTGGACCAGTGATTCTTAATTGAGGGTGATTTTCCTTCCAGGGGACATTTGGCAATGTCTGGAGACATTTTGGATTGTCACGATGGGAGAGGGGGGGTACTGACATCTAGTGGGTGGAGCCCAGAGATGCTGTTAAACACCCTACGATACACAGCATGGCCCCCTGACAACAAAGAATGACCCAGCTCCAAAGGCCAGTCGTACTGGCCCAGATCCTGCCCCATGGGAAGGCTTTTGTACTTAGTGCCCTACTATTCATCTAGGACGCCAGGTGCAGAAACTGGATGGGAAGATACTTCCTCTGTGGGCCTCTGGCCAATGGAGCTGTATGGATGGGAAGGCAGAGCTGGTGACGTGGCTGTGAAGAAGTGGTTCCACTTATTTGAGCCCCAGAATCCCTTTCTGGAAAATTGACATATGTCTTCTGGTTTACTCTGACTAGTGATGCTTGGCCTTCCCTCTGCCATTTCCCCACTAACTATCCAGGGAAATACAGCAAAAGGTAAATGCAGACTGACTCCCCATTTCCGAGATCTGAGAGAAATTTTCTGCTACCTTTCAGGCCAATAAAGCTGGCCAAGTGCCCACCAAGCACATGTGCCTCCCTTCCATAGGATAAAGTGGTGAAGCAGCTGCCTAACCACGGACCTCATTCCCAGCCTGCTCTGCAATCACTAGGGCCCTGTGATAATAGTTCCAGTTTAAGGAATGTGAGCAGAACTGCTGCATGTCCTTTCAGAGTCAAAGAGTTAAAAAGCATGTAGTCATTCCTCATCTGCTCACCCCCCTCTTTGGTTAGCTGGATGCAGACAATTTCAAGGTGAGGGGAGAGTCAAAAGATTGAACACGCCTGGGTCCCTGAATCACCTTGTGGAGGAAAATTGTCTGCTAAGCAGGCCTGTTATTAATATTGAAGTGATAATAAACTATTATTGTGTTAAGCTACTAAGCCTTGGGGTTTATTTGTTACAGCAATTAGTATTTTCCTAATTAATACAATTTGGATCAAAAAAAGCCATTAGAAACCCCCACAGGCTTAATGTCTTGAATGAAAACTTTCTAGCCTACCTGAAAACAGATGGGAAGATGTTTCTTCCTTTCCCACTGATATTGGGCTTAAACGTCCAAATTCTGTACGATCTGAAAGCTGAGCAATTATCTTTTTCTTGTCACGTATTGATTGTTTTTGAAGATTTTTTTTTAAAGTCTCCTCCCAAATGTTCTTTCTTGATGTAGACTTTACAAATTCCAGAATACATGAGGGCAAAAATTGTGTGTTCTGTGTTATGGGAAGGGGTTAGAGACAGACTTGGCTATGGCCACGAAGCCCAAGAACTACATGAACTCAGGTAGAGTCTGGCCAGATGTGGCAGCTTGGAAGTCTGATCCTGAAGGGTAGGTCTTGCACTAGGAGTCGGAGGACTGGTGATCCTCCTGTCAGGCAGGGCCTGGTACATGAGGTAGGGTGTCCAGGTGAACAGTCCCAGCCAGCCCAGCTGGTCATGGGAACTGTCCTTGTACCTGGCCTCACCCAGCTTCCAGCCCAAGCCAGTTGGTCCACCTACCGGCAACCCAGTGACTCCAACCGCAGGTGGGTGGGTGGAGAAAAGGAGGTAGAGTAAAAGATTTTGCAGTTCAAAAACAAGCACCGCCAATCATTTAGAAAGGATTCTCATGAAGAAATCGTCGCAACACATTCAAACATTGAAAAAACAAAACAGTAGCAATTCTCAGGAAGCAGATGCCGAAAACAGCCGTATCTCAACAGTTGGGGTGGCTGTGGGTTCCCAATGTAATCGATGAGGTTCAGTATGCTCACGTTGTATTGTTTTTAAACTTCACCCATGCCCCTTGCACAACATGTGCTCATTTTGATCCAGGGAGCTCAGAAGCCGTGCTTAGCGGACATTTACCTAAGAAGAGATGTGGCCTTCATTCTCCTGCTAATTAGACTTAAGTGACCATTGCTCAGGGCCTTGACTTGACTATTTGTCAAAATAATGGGTTGTATTCTAAGGCCAGGCTTCACGCTTATTCCCGCCTTAAAACAATGGAATTCCTTTCTAAAATAGTATAAAAAACAAACGATGCAGCTCTGCAGAATCACAAGGTTCCTAGAATAGAATAAAATCTCTGCTTTCCCACCTCTTGGGCAGGTAGATTTCTTTGCTTCTTTAAAGTTTCTTTTTTCCCCCCTAACCCATATGATCCTTCTCCTTTTTCATGCTTTCCTAAACCTGGTAGAAAAGGAGGCTAGGATTTGGCCTCTTCTCTTTTAAAATGAAATGTGCTTGCACCAGCTTTTCATTATTAATCAGAGTAGCATGCCTGTTGCTTTATATGTCTATCCAGGGGCAGATGTGACTCACTTTCAACCCAGTAAATGGAAACTGTGCCTTTTTGATGGAATGCGGCCTGGTGGTACGGAGCAGGCAGTTATTGGCAGAGCAGCTGATCATCTGTTCTCAGTGAGGGAAAGCCTCCTCTTTGAGTTAATCAGCGGCAAAATGTGCTCTGTGGTTTGTTCTTTTAATCTCTTCTGCACGTGAGTGAGGAACTGCTGGGACCCCAGCAAGACAGGGCTGCAATTTGCTGTGCCTGAGCAAGCAATTGGAAAGGCCCTTCGTAAGGGGAGGTGAGGAGGCTGCACTTTAGAAGCAGGCAAACCTGGGGTTCATTCTTGGCTCTGTTCATTTTATGTTGCTGAATGCAACTCTGCACGTGACTGAGCCTCAGTTTCTCCATCTGTAGAAAGGGACAGAAGGATGTTTCTTGCCTCATGTTTTCTGAGGATCAGTGAAATAAAGTGTGGAAATCGCAGAGTGTGGGACCTGCTTCATACCAGCAAGAAAGTTCAAAGACTCGTGTGACAATGTTACGTTCTCTGTACCATTTATTTTTCCTTCTGGGCACACAAGCTTCCTCCATTCAGATGGGGCCAGAGGAGTGTGTGCAGAAGTGATATACACTCCTTTTGGGCCAGACCTATTAAAAAACTCCCCTATGCAAGCCCCCTCTCTTTTTCCCCTCCTGCTGTGACATTTGAGACCACATATTAAGTCAGGCAGCAGCTCCAGATCGGAGCCTGGGTCCCTGAATGACTATGTGGAGTACAGCACCACCTCTCCTCATCCAGTAACTTCACTGGGCTGTGATGGGAATGAGAAAAAGCTGAACCAACTGTGACTTGTCCAACCCGTGAGGGCGGGGCAGGTGGTGCTACTGCAGGGAGGCTCTGTCTGTTACCGTGGCCCTTCTCGCCTTGATGGCTTAGAAACCTCATTCTGGCCATCTATGCAGTGGACAGATACCCACAGCATGCAGACAATGCCATAGTTTCCAGTCAGCATTTTGTGGGAGCTGAACAGTGATCAGAAGCAGGTTTGCTGCGTCTGGTCTCATAGTAGGCGGAGTTAGCTGATTGTATCTACCCACAGTGCTATTGGGATTCAATTGTCTGAAAGGCGCTCCTTCTCCCTGAGCACATCTGCACTCATCTCTGTGGCTTTTCTTCTATGACTCACCTCTGTGAGCTGACCGCCACCTTTTATTCTTCAATGTTTGTCCCAAGTTAGGGTAATATAGTTAATTAAGTGACCAACCAACTTTTTCAGATATATTTGCATGCATCTGCTGAATTCCAGGCTCTGTTGCCTTTATTTCTTGACTTCTGAGATAAGCAGAGATGAAGGAAACTACAGGGTACCCTCCTCCCAGGTCTTAACCCATATCTAGCAGTTATTGACCCGTATCTAGTACGTCTAGGTATTGCCTGTGCCTATGGCCCTTACCTTTACCACCCCAACTCCAAGCTACCACCTTTCTCACCCTCTCTTATCCAACCATGACCATAAGACTCTTGGTTGACTACTAGTCCATGATGTCATCAAGGAATTGCCCTACTGTCTTCAGAAATCACAGAAAAGGCCGGGTGTGGTGGCTCATGCCTGTAATCCCAGCACTTTGGGAAGCCGAGTCAGGTGGATCACCTGAGGTGAGGAGTTCGAGACCAGCCTGGCCAACATGGTGAAACCCTATCTCTACTAAAAATACAAGAAATTAGCCGGGTGTGGTGGTGGTTGCCTGTAATCCCAACTACTCGGGATACTGAGGCAGGAGAATCGCTTGAACCTAAGAGCCAGAGGTTGCAGTGAGCCAAGATCGCGCCACTGCACTCCAGTCTGGGCGACAAGAGCAAGACTCCATCTCAAAAAAAAGAACAGAAAAGACAGCTCATGGATATACCCGTAGTGATTGCTTTTGCACAAAAGGGCTCATGCCAGGCATTCCTGGGGCTACATCTGAGAAGAGTTCACCCAGTCCCAAATTTATCAACCATGATGCCAACAGAAGTTACCATGACCTTTGAGATTGCAGTATCATTAGCTCTCTCTTACCTTTGTGCCTATTCCTAGGGGTTTCTTCTATGGTCACTTCTGACATATCTGTTTACCATTCCTTCTGACTTTCATCCTCAATTCCCTCTCACTCCTTACACCTTCTGTCCTCTCTAAACCTTCCAAATTTGGAACTCAGCTCCCCTTAATATTCTTTATCCTTTCTCCAGCATGCACATGCACATGCACACTCTCTCTCTCAAGTTCTTTGGGGTATAATAGACCTCTGAGGATTTAGGGTACTGGAAGGGGTTTATAGCATAGAAATACAAATGTCCTCAATGGGATCTGATGAATTTCTGCCCTTACAAGTGCCCTTGCCATCCCAGGAAGAAGTTCTTGGTGGCAGCTCTGGTCTCCTACCATGTTGCCCTGGCTCCTCCCCTCTCTCTCCTTCCTCGGAGGCTCTTAGAGCAGTCTGACAGCAGACAGTTGCCTCAGGACCTGTTTGCACAGCTCATTTCTGCCAGCCCCACTTGCCAGTTCTTCCCCCACTGGCTCTGGATTAATTCCCTCTGGCAGATGCATGACTTTTCCCTGCCTTTCTTTTGCATCTCGGAAGCAGGGCTCCATTTCACTGCCAGGATGGATTTTGCCATTGCCTCAGTCCTTGACACCTACCTGGGCTGGGACATCACTGCGTATAGTCCTGCTCTTGTCCTGCCAAAACTGTGCGGTCATTGACATAGTTAAGGGCAGGAGGACTCGGCAGGGGCTGCACAGAGCAGGAGGATGGAGATGAGGAGCCATTCTCAGCCTGGACCCTGGCAGTGGTAAGTGGCAGCCACCCAACTCTAACTGGATAAAACCCCAGAGGAAGGTTGTTGGCCCACGTCCCTGGAATGCTCTGGCATGGAGCTGTCTCTGTGCAGATCACATCCTAGGGCTCAAATGAGGACCCAGGGCTTTGTCTCCTTTGTCATTTTCTGTTTTGTTTGTTCCTCATTGGCACTATTATCCTACATGCTGATGGGATAAGTTGGGGGCCATTTGGGGGCTGGCATCTCCAGATCCACACCTTGTAGTTTAACAACCTCAAGGGCAAAAGGATTATGTCTCCCCATGTCTGAAGGCCAGTCCCAGGGAAGGATTCTGCCTATCCCTGACAGGGTTGAGCGTCCGATTCTAGACCCACCATCTGCCCAGTGGCAGATGGAAGGACCCAGTCTAAGTCATGTGCCCAATTCTTTAGCCAGAGTGTGTGAACCCAGGCCCTCCAGGAGGATGCAAAGTGAGACAAGAGCCCTTCCCCTCAATAGGAATGCTGGGCATACCAAAATAGGACATGCATAGGTGGGGCTCCCACTGGCATGCACCTCCCCACTTTCTGTAATAGAGCAGGAAGGGAGTTGGCCGCATGAAGTGTTAGGGCTGATTGGTAGGTTGTGGTGTGTAGTTTGTGTCTCCTGCTTTCAGGCTTAAATAACAATGAGAATGATCTATTAATACCTTAAATTTTTGTTGTAATGAATTTCACACTGATGGAAACCCATTTTAGAACTAAATATGTTCAGAACTAAGTTGTGTTATCTATGTCTATTTCAGAGTCTCAGTCCCTCTCAGCTTCTCTTTCTGCCTGTCCCTGTGCTTCCCTGACTTCCTGTCTAACACTTCCCCATCTTTCTTTCTCCTCTCCTCAGTGTCCGCCAGCCTCTGCCCCTTCCCTCTCTCTTGCAACCATTCCTATGCATTCAAAAGGTCACAAACAGGTAACTTGGCTCACCACTGCCATGCTTGTCAGTGTCTGCTGCTACTGATAGTCCCTCCTGAAAAACAGTTCCTCTTCCTCCTACCTCTTCCTCCTCTCTTCCCCCTACCACATCCTCCTCTCTTCCCCTGTTCTCCCTTCCTTCTCATTCCCTGTAAATCCTGCTTTTTTTTTATCTCTCCCTTTCATTTCTTATTAATGCCTTGTTACACACCAATGTTTTGGGTGACACCTGTCTTGTCCACTGCCATGGAGCTGTTGGCCATGGCTTCTGCAGACTCTCAGGTGCAGGGGTCGAGCCTGCACAAATGTGTGGCATTAACATTTTCCTTTGAGTATTCTTTGATTGAGGACAGCAAGCAATTAGTACCATTTGCCATTTTGTTTTTGTTGTTGTTGTTGTTTTGAGACAGGGTCTCACTCTGTCGCCTAGGCTGTGGCACAATCATGGCTCACTGCAGCTTCAACCTCCCAGGCTCAGCGATCCTCCCACCTCAGCCTCTTTGAGTAGCTGGGACTACAGGTGCCACCACAGCCAGCTAATTTTTATATTCTTTGGAGAGACAAGGTTTCATCATGTTGCCCAGGCTAGTCTCAAACTCCTGAGCTCAAGCAATGTGCCCACCTCATCTTCCCAAAATGCTGGGATTACAGGCGTGAGCCACTGTGCCCAGCCCCATTTGCCACTTTGTTAAATTAGTATAGAAATATACACCTGGACAGTGCCATCTTAGTCTCCAAATGCCCCCTATTAGTTGACTGATTAATGTGACAAATATTTATTAAATACCTGTTATGCCCCAGTAATCTTCTAGACACAGGGATACAGCAAACAGCCATATGGATCAGGGCTTCGACTATTTTGAAGCAGATATTCTAATGGAGGGGAGAAGAAAAATGAGCTCATAAGTGAGACCATTTAGAGAGTGGTAAGAATGTCATTCTTTTTTTTTTTCTAAGACAGAGTCTCACTCTGTTGCCCAGGCTGAAGTGCAGTGGTACAATCTTGGCTCACTGCAACCTCCACCTCCCAGGTTCAAGCAATTCTACCTCAGCCTCCCGAGTAGCTGGGATTACAGGCACCTGCCACCATGCCTGGCTAATTTTTGTATTTTTAGTAGAGACTCAGTTTCTCCATGTTGGCCAGGCTAGTCTCAAACTCCTGCCCTTAAGTGATCCACTCACCTCGGCCTCCCAAGTGCTAGGATTACAGGCATGAGCTACCATGCCCAGCCAAGAATGTCATTCTTAATTCTGTGAATAGTGAATGCTTTGTGGACGGGAACTAACTGCTTGTTTATAATTTTACGGCTCAAAAGCAAGTCACAGGATGACTTGTATTCAGATCCCAGCTCTGGCACTTGCCACATGGACCCGGGGCATGCACCTACACTTCTGTAAGCCTGTCATACCCTCTACAAAGTGAGCACAGTGAGGTGGACCCTTCAGGTTTGTTGTGAGGTATGAGTGAGATGATGTGGCCAGAACAGGAGTCAGCAGCTCCCTACCCCTCGGGCTAACACCAGCTACTTCCTGGCCCTGTCCTGCAAGGTGGGGCTAAGTATATCTGAATGCAATTATTGGGTTACTTCAACTTGCCACCCCTAAGGCTGTTGACCCATCCAAATTTAATCTGTACAATTGTGAGGTATAATTTACTATTGTATTAGTTTGCCAGGGCTGCCATAATGAACTACTATACACTGGGTGGCTTTAGACAACAGTATATTCTCTTACAGTTCTGGAGTCCTGAAGTCCAAGGTCCAAGTGTCAGTAGGGTTGGTTCCTTCTGATAGCTCTGAGGGAGAATCTGTTTCATGCCTTTTTTTTTTTGGAGGCAGAATCTTGCTCTATCACACAGGCTGGAGTGCAATGGTGTGATCTTGGCTCACTGCAACCTCCGTCTCCCGGGTTCAAGCCATTCTCCCTGCCTCAGCCTCCCGAGTAGCTGGGATTACAGACTCCCACCACCATGCCCGGCTAATTTTTGCATTTTTAGTAGAGACGGGGTTTAGCCATGTTGACCAGGCTGGTCTTGGACTCCTGACGTCAGGTGATCCGCCCACCTTGGCCTCCCAAAATGCTGGGATTACAGGCGTGAGCCACCATGCCCAGCCCATGCCTCTTCTAACTTCTGCTGGTTGCCAGTGATCTTTGGGTGTTCCTTGGCTTATAAATGCATCATTCCTGTCTCTGCCTCTGTCGTCACATGGCCTTCTTCTCTCTGTGTGTTTCTGCATCCAAATGTTCCTCATTTTAGAAGGATGCCAGTCATTGATTTGGGGCCCACCTTCTTCCAGTAGGACTTCATCTTGGCTTGATTACATCTACAAAGACCCTATTTCCAAATAAGGCCACATTCTCAGGTACCAGGGGCTAGGTGTTGAACATATCTTTCTGGTTGACACAATTGAATCCGCAGCACCCATGTGTATTGGCTTTCATGAATTTGAAATCCCCCTCCCAACTCCTTTTGGGTTATTCTTGTATGTTTTTGCTTCTGAAGAATTCAGACGCCTCCTTTTATGCCCATACAGAGGTCTGCACCTTCCCAGGTGTGAGAAGTGACCACAGATTCACAGCAGACAAGAGTGTGATGAGGTCTGGCTGAGAGGCTGGGGGCTGGTCCTTTCCTTCCCTCCTTCCATCTCTCCTCATCTTTTAGTTTCTTCCTTTGTCTTACTGTCAGGCCAGAGCCTGCCCCCTTCCCCTGCCAAGGCCCTATTGCCCACAGAAGGGCATAAATTGTACCCCGTGTCTCTCTCCAGCCATAGTCTCTCTCCAGCCATAGTTCTCAGGAACCCCTTCCATGAACCCCCTTTCTTGACCACACAAATTCTAATTCCCCAATGCCACCACCCTTGTTATCCAAGGTGACTTCTTGAAACTACACATGTATAGCAAACATGCCAAGTTCATTAGGTTATGGGTTCCACGAGGACAGGCACTGGGTCTGTGCTTGCTCGGCCTGTGTCCCTGGTGCTTGGCACATTGTGGGCCCTCAGTGGACATTTGTTGCATAAATGAAGCAACTGCAGGGCTTGGATACTTCTCTATTACTTGCTGCTTCTTTGCAAAGGTGGACAAAGCCCTTCACGATATCTTTTCCTTCAGACCTTTTCACTGCACACGAGGCTGGAGACCAGCCCAGATAGTTCTAGTTAGCCTCAGAGCCTTTGCACATGCTGCTCCTTTCCTTTGGAATACCTTTCCCTACTTCATCAACCATTTTATAATTCAGCCCATGTATTTTCCCTGCAGGGAAGTCTTACCTGAAACTTTCCCCACCATTGTAAACTATATTACATGCCCCCAAATCAACAGCAGGAACCTCTGCTAGACTATAATTGTTCGAAGGTAAGGGCTGTGTCCAACTATCTGTTTATTCTCAGTATCCCTGTGTATAGGAGGAGCTCAGTTGGTGGCACTCCCATGAAATCAAATAGTTCTTTGATGTGTACAAAATGATGAGGATGCCTCAAATATCCCAAAATTATTATGATTCTTATTTTCTAGGTGAGGAATCAGAGACTTAGAGAGGCTTAGTGACCTCTCTACATTAAGACCTAAGGTTAAGGACAGACAACTAGAGTGAAGTTGAGGGCCGAGTGGCTGCAAGTTCTCCTGGGGTTAGCACAGAGTCAGGCACACAACGGAGCAAATGCTAGGGTATGGGCGACCCACAGAGAGGCACGAGAAGCCCCAGAGCAGGGCTGGCTCCCAGCCATGTCCTTGGGAGACTGTAGGCATCAGGAGCTGCAGCCACTGCCTTCCTTGCGATTCTTGGGAGACTTCTGTTCTAATTGCTCTTTTCAAGTGTCGTGCGTGCAGTTCAATGTGTGGGGGACATAGTGTTTGTAGCAACTGCTAATGACAGGGCTACTGAAAAAGACTATTTTTGGAGTTAAGCTTCAGCCTAAAAGAAATAAAAATAAACACTGAGTTTTTTTTTTTAAAGAAAAATATGTAGAAAGGAATCAATTCCATCTCAAAATGTTCTTTCTCCTAGTGAGGGTGGAGTAGGGATTTAATCTAGAATTAGAGTAAGGCAATCTGGGTTTAAGTCATGGTTCTGCCATGAACTCAGTTTTCCGTGGGATGCCTTTTCCTCCAATTCCTCCTGGTCCTAAGGACAGCTCAGGGGTCAAGCCTGACCTGGCTGAAGCCGTTTCCCTCTCCTCTAGTCACATTTGGCTCCATCACAGTTCTTACAGTCAGTCTTGACCTTGACCAAGCAATAGAGGTTAAGCTTTCCCAGGGCCATTCCCAAGTAGCAGCCCTCCAAACTGTGTCTCATCCAACCCAACCTTATCTGAGCTTCAATGAATCATCAGCAAAGCCTGTTACTAATAGTGATAGTAATACACATGTTGATAATAACTAACATTTTCTGAGAGATGACTATATCCCAATTCCTTATTGAGCACTTCTGGAACACTGTGTGGTTTTTCTGCAAAGATTCACTCTTCATGATCCCTCCCCATGGGCAGAGTACACTTCCTGATTGGCTTTGACAAAGCCCCATTGACCTTGAGCTTGGCCATGTGGCTTGGTTTGAACCGTAGAATGTGGGCAGAAGGGATGGTGTGCCAGTTCCCAGGAGAGATTTCAGGAGGTATCATGTGTCCCTGCTTGCTCTGTTGCCTGCTGCCATCCGTCACTGGAAGAACCTGCCCCTGGCAGCAACAGCTCCTTCAGACTAGTTCCTGGAATGAGAGGCATAGGGAATAGATTCAAACACAGCCTGGAGCTAACTGAGAACAAGAAACAAGTATCTGCGTACATCAAGATTCGGGGTTGTTTGTCACTAAGAAAAAGCTAAGTAATACAGTGCTTTAAAGAGATGATCTAGGTAATTCTCATAGCAGATTTTCTGAGGTAGGTGTATTATTACTCCATTTTGTATGAGGTTGTGCTAATTCTTTTCCCCTGGGATCCTGCCATGCTCTGCCCTTCTATAATGCTAAGTCTTGGTATCTGGCAGCCTCAGCTCTCCATTAGGTTGTGGTCAGTGGGCCTTGAAGAACAGCATTGCTTTATTGGATTTGGATAAGAAGGATGATGCTATTGGAGACTCTCAGGGCTAGAGGGACTCTCTCTTGGGTTCCTGCTGGTGATTGGAAGGGCTAAGAGTGGTCCTTTATATGCCTTTATTTTACAGAGAGGAACTGGCTTCTGGAAGGCTACACCTGCAGGGTTGGAGTCAATGTCACTCCCCAGAACCTACTGTCCCAGAGGTCTATGAGGATCCCAGTCCCAGGATCTTGTGGCTCAGCTGTAGTGATGACCTCCCAGAGGGATGGGGCCAACCAGGCCACATGTAGAACTCAAATTCTCCTGGTCCCTAGTGGCCATATGCATGACAGCTACAAGCTGGCTCAGGCATTACAGGAATCAGTAAGGGAAAAGCATCTCAGACACAGCGTTTCAGGGCCCCTAGGTCTGAATTGGGAGACATGGCTTCAGGGTCTGCTTCCCAGTTGAGACTCCTGGGCCTTTGCCTGAGCTGACCATAGGACCTCCTCATGCAACACCCATTGCCACCAAGGCCTTTTCCTGCCCACATTGCCAGAGCACCTGGCCAAGGCCTTCCTCCCTACTCCCAGTACATCCCTCGTGCCTGCTTCTCCCCAGATCTGGACCCTGCTGTGTTATGAGCCCAGAGGACCAATGTGCAAACCATGGAATGCTGCTTCCTGTGAAGTGAAGATGTGTATGTTGATAAACCCCAACAGTTCTTCTTAGAAGCCTGTAGCCTCCGATGGCTGCAAGGGCAGTGGATGGAGCAACTGCAAAAGCAGCATATTGATTGCAAGGAAGTAACTGAAGGGAGAGTTCAAAATGCCTCCTGGAAGGCAGGCAGCCCTCGGCTCTGGCGAGGTGCTAATGAGCTCCCCAGCCAGCTCCAGTTCGACCTGCCTTTTCCCAGCAAAAGACCCAGGGCCTATGTCGAGAAGGGCAGCAGGAAGTGGGGGCGATGGAGATGATTAATGTAGAGCAGCTTCATGGTTCATACCAGCTCTGCTCTCTAAGTCTTTTGTTTCTTCCTCCTTTTATCTTCACAAGGCAAAGCAAAGAGCAGCGCATGCCGTGGGAATTCCTTCCTGTAATGTGTTCTGATCTGTTTGCTTGTATAAATGAGCCCGTGTTTCAGAAGAGAGTGAACCCCCCTCGTCTAAAGGGACATAAACCCAAGGATTTGCTCCATCCTCCCGCTGTGATCTTGGCCACCCTCCTGGCTTTCTAAGACTGAGTTACCTTGTTTCCATGCAGATGTCAGAATGTACACGTCATCTGCAGGGCAGGTGGTTAAACCCCATGTCTAGAGAGGGAGTTGCTTGAAAGCAAGCATGTGCCAGCGTATTGAAGTAAGTGAGGGTGGAAGTAAAGCACCTTTATTTCCACATGAGGTTGCATCATTGTGTTTCCATGCTGAGAAGGCCTCTCGAGATATCAGTGTTCCCATTTATTCATCCTAAAACTGGTACTTTGTCTTCTATACAACCTGTGTATGCTAAAGTATGTCTGCAATACAAAAACAAGGAAGATGTAGGCCAGGAGATAAGTATCCAGGGATCTTTTGTAGTGTATTAAAATATGAACATCTGCATTCCCTTTTCACCTTGAATTTTAAAAATCAGTACATTTTTCCTTCTTTTCAGAGATAATACTTTACCACCACGTTTAAGTTCTGGGCCCTGAGGCAAATATTTCAGCTGTTGAGCCCCCAAGCATCGGACTTTCAATGAAAGGAAACCTGAGTTCTAATCAACTTTGCAGCAAGAAACTTGCAACAAGAAACTTGCCAAACCTCTAAGCATGAAACAGCACGATCTTTCATCATTTGATGCTTTTACCTCTGTGGTTTTCTTTGTTCTATGCCTGCCCCTTCACCTTCTTCTCGCAGTCATCCTTCAAAGCTCATGTTAGATGTCATCCTCTCTGTGAAGACTTCTACAGCTTCCCCAAGCAGAAATGAACATTCCTTCTTGGCTCTGCCAAACATATCTCTATTTAAAATATGCATTGTTCACTTGTTAATTCATTTACTCACATATTTATTGCGTGAGTAGTATATACCCAGGCACTATGGATAGGTATCCAGAGATTCGATTCAAGGGTCAATGAAACTGATCAAGCATATACTATAGACCAGAGCTGCCTAATAGAGCTTTCTGCTGTGATTGGAATGTTCTGTATCTGTGCTGTCTGGCATCTCTGGCTCAGTAGCCACTTATGGCTATCAAACACTTGAAATGTGGTTATCATGGCTGAGGAATGGAATTTTAAATTTTATTTATTTTTTTTAGAAAAGTTTAAATAGCCGCACATGGACATAGCTGGTGGCTACCATATTGGGCATCACTATTCTACAGGGAGAGATGGACTTTGAAAGAGTTAATGGAACAATATAGAATTACAAATTGTGATTGAGACTTTGTTGGGATCAAATAGAGCATCACGACAGAAAGTAAGTAGGGGGCTCCCTTCGGTAAGTGGACAAGAGAAGCTTCTTGGAGGAAGAGACATTTGGTTTAAAACCTGGAGAATGAGAAGATGTCAGCCATTTAAAGAGTAGGAAGATGACCTTTATGGGGAAAGGGATCAGTGAGTGGGAAACTCTAGAGGTAGGAATGAGTGTGGCATGTTGAAAGGACTGAGGGTGGTTGATGTGGCTGGGATAGATGGGTGAGTAGTGGGAGTGGAGGCTGGATAATCAGGAATCAAATCACTTAAGACCTTAGAGGCCACAGGGGAGGGAAAGGGGCTTGCTGGACATCCCAGCACCAGTCAAAGAGCAGAGCACAGGGTGCATGTCTCCTAGCTGTTAGCTCCATAGTTTTTCTGCTGTACCATGCTGCCCAAGCAATGTGGACGCACAACCTTCACACAGTGCTGGGCCTGGTGGTGAGCCTCATCTGCATTCTGTTTCCATTCCTGTCTCTAGCCTGACTTATTTAGGCCTGTCTAATTTATGTAGCGGCTGTACATGGGTAGTGCATGTCAGGCTCGGGGGCCTGCCTGTGTTTGTGAAAGAGAAATACTACCATCTCCACTGGAGCCATCTTTTCTGATCTTGCCTGCTCGGTAATTAAGATTCTGGAAGCATTTAGCACAAGGAGGAATTGCTGTAATGACAAGTGGATCCTTCTGTAACCTCCACTTAATTGGATGAAGTGACAGCCCCAGCGAAGACTCAAATAAAATTTGGTGCAATTAGACTGCGCTGAACGTCTGGTGCCAGAACCAGGGTGGAAATCTTGCAGCTGGCTCGTGGAACCATAGAGGAATCTGGTTGCACAAGGGGAGGCTGTGTTTGCAGGCTAGGTGAAGATGTTCTTGCTTCACCTTTTACCTGCACCCCTCCCTTCCATTCTGTAGGTCTTCTCTCAAGATTACTTGAAGGGTGGTGGGGGGCACAGAGGTACAGGGAGTATCTTAGGTTGGGTTCCCTAGAAACAAAATCTGAGACAGAGATTGGGTGCAGAAGATTTATTTGGGAAAGCTGTATGGACACCCACCTGTAAAGAAGTGGGGGAGGCTGGGCTGGGCAGAGGGAGAAGCTGACTCATGATGTAGTTACAACCGAGGGATCAGTCAACCCTGTGGGAGAACCCAGGAGCTGGGATGCTCCTTTAGAATTGCCCCCAAACTGAGGTTAGAGGACCAGACTTTTTTATTCTCAAACCAATCAGTCATCAGCCATGTCCTCTCACCTCCAAGAAAGCAAACATGATCTTGGCTGAGAGAGTTCCCAGGGAAGGATGAAGCTGTGAGCATTCAGCATTGATAGGGTAGGGGTGCTTCCAGCAGCAGAACTACACAGTGTTTACCACAAAGTGAACCAGAACTGACAGCATTTGGTTCCCTGAGAATTTCTGATCTTCCTCAGACATTGACTGCAAGGTAACCACACACCCTGAACTGCTCTGTTCCTCTCTTCCAATTCCCTTTGCTCTATCCTCTATCTGTTATGGGTGAAAATGAGAAAGTCTCTTGGCTACCTCGAGTCCAATTTTCCCTCTATTCTTTATCCTTCTTGCTTCTAACACTTTCCCAGGCCTCCAGTGCCTCTCTCTTATTGCTTTCTGCTTTTGTGTCCCATGGCTGATCAGCTATGTCTGAAGTCAGCTATTCAATTCACTTCCTACTCATGCCATGATTCTTCCCTTTTGGTGGTCTTATTTCTAGCAGTGAGTCTGGAAGCCCAACTTCTACCATCTATCAGAGCACCCTCCTGGAGAAATATGGAATGTGTGGGCTCCAGGTCAGTCAGACCAGAATAAGGTTCTATGTTCTGCCACTTTCTAGAAGAATGACGTTGGGTAGTAAGTCAGGTTTTCTCTTTGTCAACATTAAGGACACAGACATGGATTCATGTGTTTGGTGTCATACTTTCATTTTGAGCCTTTCTCATTTGTAAAATTAGGGCAAATCTACCTGCATCAGAGAGCTTTTGGGAGGACTAGGAATTGTATGCTGGGCTCATAGCACAGTGCGTGGCATATGGCAGAGGTTATCATCCTTGTTGGCTTCATTGGAAGCTGTGGTCAATTCAGCCTGGCCAAGGGAAGTCCAGGCCAAATCTCAGCTTAGAACCCAGATGCTGGAATCCTGAGTGTAGCACAAAATCTTGAGAAGAGAAGAGGTAGCCATGGGGAAATCAGGTTATCTATGATTTCATGGGAGAGCCTCCAGTCAAGTCCAAGCCCACTCCCCAAGAGATCTGAATGGATGGATACCTTGAAGGGTACATCTGAGTGCAATCCTGTGTCTCACAGCCAGGGACCAAGCTGCATTCATTCCTGGATCACTCCTTTCCTCTGCCTGTACTGTCTTCCCAGCTTTCTCGTTATATAGCCATGGCCTCACCTTTCACGTGGGAGAAGGAGATTGTGAGAGTCATGTCACCCCAGTCCCGTAACTCTGGCTTGTTGTAGGCATCTTTCTGTCCTTGCATGCAGCGAGAGCTGACGGAATCCCACATCTCAGTCCTGTTCTTCCCCTATTGTTGGACACACAGCAGGACTCCACGGGCAAGTGGAAAAGAAAAGCCTTGATCACTGTTTATTTTCCTTAATTTTCATTGTGCTTCTTTTATTTTTACCCTTGATTACAAGCAACAGAAAATTTCCTCTGTTTTTTTCTCCCCTTTTGCAGCTGTGGGTTTTAATAGCATCCGCTAGACCGACCCCCCTGGGTAGACTCAGAAAGGAGAGAAATTAGCTAAAAGGGAAACAAGAGAAGCATTTTTAGTTCAGGGTGGGAGCCTCATTTTGCCAAACCTGAGGTCTTTTGCCTGGTTCCAGAGCCTTCTTTCAGTGTCAACCTACAGCTTCTGGAGATGAAGTGTTTTTTGTTGTTGTTATTGTTGTTTTGCTCCTTTTTTTTTAATTTGAAGACAAACTCACCTCCTCGAAGCCCCTCTATGGATTGTTCTGTGAGTTGAGTCACATCATTTATAGAGAGAAGGTCAATCTACTTGTCAAGTGGCTAAGAATGTGGTTATTTTCCTGTTCTTTGTTCACTCTTTCAGTCTTACATATTCATTCATTAAACATATGTAGGTACCTGCTAATTGCTTGCATTTTGCCAGTGGCTAGGATGTGAAGTTAAATGAGATGATTTCCCCTAACTTCAAAGGTGCTCGTGGCCTGGCCAGAAAGACTTGGTGTGTAAACCAAGAATTGCAATGAAGGGTGAGCAACGTCACATTTAGAAAATGGTCATTGTTAGCGCATGGGCCCGTGGTCATTGTCCCTTCGCTCAGTTCCGTGTGACTTTGGCTGCGATACCTTTTCTGCCCCTGTTTCCTCATCAGCTGTCGTGTAGGAACAATGGCTTTACCTTAGAAGATTCTGAGGATTAAATGAGATACTGTATATGTGTGCTTGGTGGAATGAACTAGAGGTAACTGCTAGTCAATGTTGGATGCTCTTAGTGCTGTTGCTGAGTAAAGGAGCCAGGCTGTGGCTTCAGAGACTGGGTTTCAAAATCTAGCCTCACCACTGGATCATTTAGCCTATGGCAAGTCCTTACCTCTCCCCCCTTGCAAGATGATAATGTAATTTTGCTCACAAGTGAGGCACTGCTACTCAAAGTGTGATCATGGAGCAGCAGCAGCAGTGATAGAAACTTATCAGAAATGTAAATTCTCCGGCCCCACCCCAGACCTATTGAAGCAGAATCTGAGGGTGGGGTTTAGGAATCTGTCTTTAAAGTCCTTCGGGGCATTAGAATGCCTGGGAAAAATTTGAGAGGCACTGGCTTAGAGATAAGGTATGACAGTTGTGTGGCACAGAATCTGCCCAAATACTGATGCATGGTAAAGGTATTTACAGCTGTTAGTGAAGTGAGAGCAAACATAATGGGCAATAATTCTTTTCAAGGGTGCTGCAAGTTGCCCTGGAAGGTCGTCTGGAGCCAGCTCTAGAGAGATAATTGTGGGTTTTGAGAAGGAAGAGAGCCTCTGGATGGAGGCACAATGTGAGGAAAGATACAGTGGTATTTGGAGGATGGTGCCAAGTTTGGTGCTGCTCATGCACAAAATTCAAGAAGAAGGGTGGTTGGAGATGCAGCAAGAGAGATACAATCCAGTAGAGCCAGATCAGGAGGGTCTGATTTGACCAAGCTAAGAACGTTGGACTTGTACCTGGAGACCATTAAAAGGTTTTAAACACAAAAGTAACAAGGTCAAATGTGTCATTAGTAAGATCAGTCATTGAGGCTGCAGTATGGTAGCAGGAACACCTAGTAGACCAGGGAAAATAACAGTCCCTGGAGTCTCCAGAAGAAAACTTTCTACTGAATTGAACATTGGTGGGCATACCAGTTGTCCTTTTCTTACTTGTTCTTCCATTTGCTTTCCTGCAAGCATTCACTGGATACCTGCAATGCTCTAGGCACTCACGGACACACACACATACACATAAGTGACACCTCTGTACCCTCCCATGGTCCACAGTCTCCTGAGAAAGATGTCAGTTATTAGACAGTGTGATAAAGGAGGGCATCCAAACCTTATCGAACACCTGGCACACTGTAAGTGTTATGTTAATGAAATCTCTGCTAGCTATTGTATCTTGGCAGTGTTCTTGGTGTGTTCCAACTGTGATCTTATTTGGCCTCACAGTGACCCATTTTACAACTGAAGAAGCTTCACCGAAAGATGTCAAGTAACAGGTCTTACATAGGATTAGATATCTAAGAGGATATCAAATTTGGGACATACCCTCTTTTTTTGCTTGCATTGGAACGGGGGGGATGGAGGCCCAAATGAGAAGAGCAGTCAGGAGACAGGCACAAGGCCATCTGAGGTTCCCCACAATGGAGGCCTCTCTCTGTCCTGTCAGCAGCAGGGCAGTCTTCAAAAGATGTTAAAAAGATGGGCGTCGTGATCAGAGATACTCTGGTACCTCAGAGTATTGGCAGGCAAAAAGTGAGGCCTTGGGAGGTAACCTTTTGTGAGGGGCACTGACATTTATTCATAGCATGTCTGCTTCTTTGCCTAATTCTCTTAAGATCTGTGTCTGTGTCAAAATCTCAGCAGGATGAATGAGGTACTGAAGCTCTTCTATTCTCCCACTGCCTCTCCCTGCTCACACACAAAAATCCCATTAGTAACAGCTCATCAGTCTCCAAAGTATAGTGATAGCATCTGCTGAGGGACTGAACGTGAGCTGCACGTGTGTGTGCATCTAGAGAATGGAAGGCAGGAGGAGGACAAGAGAGATGGAAGAGCCCGAGGCCCTACTGTGTGGTGAGTTCTTGACACACCAGCTCGTGTCTTCTCAGCATGGGGACCAGATAGTGTTCCCATTTTGCAAATGGTAAAGTGAAGCTTACAAAGGTTATGTGTCTCACTCAGGGTCACAAAGCTGACAGTAGGCTGGACCAGCCCCTTTTGCCAAAGGCCATCTGGCCTCAGAATCCTGGTTTTGTTTGTGGCTGCCCGTAGGCAACATTGCTGCAGGTAACACCTCAGCAATAGGACCTAGTCTTTATGATGGGCAAGTTACCATCCACTCCATGGCCGTAGGCCCCTGTAGTAGCAGAATAATGGACCCCTTAAAGATGCCCACATCCAGGCTGGGTGTGGTAGCTCACACCTGTAATCCCAGCACTTTGGGAGGCCAAGGCAGGCAGATCACCTGAGGTCAGGAGTTTAAGACCAGTCTGGCCAACATGGTGAAACCCCATCTCTACTAAAAATACAAAATTAGCCAAGTGTGCTGATGTGTGCCTGAGATCCCAGCTACTCAGGAGGCTGAGGCACGAGGATTGCTTGAACCTGGGACGCAGAGGTTGCAGTGAGCCAAGATCATGCCATTACACTCCAGCCTGGGCAAAAACAGCAAAACTCAGTCTATAATAATAATAATAATAATAATAATAATAATAATAATAAAGATGCCCACATTCTACTGTCCAGAATCTATGAATGTATTCTCTCACATAGCAGAAGGGATTTTGCTGGTATGATGGAGTTAAGGATTTTGAGGTGGGCAAATTATACCAATTTATCTGGGCCCACCGTAATCAAAAGGGGCATAAAAGAGGGAGGGAGGGATGGTCAGAGTCAGAGTTTGTGAACACACACGTGCATGTATCTTTGTAATAGAATGATGTATATTAATTTGGGTATATACCCAGTAATGGGATTGCTGGGTCAAATGGTATTTCTGGTTCTAAATCTTTGAGGAATTGCAACACTGTCTCCCACAATGGTTGAACTAATTTACATTCCCACCAACAGTGTAAAAGTGTTTCTATTTCTGCGCAACCTCGCCAGCATCTGTTGTTTCTTGACTTTTTAAATCACCAAGTTTGTGGAACTTTGCTACTGCAGCAATAGGAAAGTAATAAAAGTCCCTAGGACTTGGAAGGCAAATGTCACAGTGAGCTGCTTTGCATGCACAAACAAGACTGGATTTGCATAACCTTGGCCACCCTTCCCTTCTCTGAACCTCACTTTTCTCATTTGTAAAGTGGAGGATTTTAATACTATTGTACAAGTGTTTGTCTACCTCATATACATTCTTCCAATCCCACCTGAGATGATAAATCTCCCTGCCTAGATGAAATGAGCCTGTCATTAAACATTCTCAAGGCACCTGCTCTTTCCTTTACAGCATGTTTGTTTCTAGTTAGAGTTTATTGAGGAAGGTTTTTTTTTCTTTCTTTTTTTGAGACAGTCTCACTCTGTCACCTAGGAGTTCAAGACCAGCCTGGCCAACATGGTGAAACCCCGTCTCTACTAAAAATACAAAATTAGCCGGGCGTGGTGGTGTGTGCCTGTGATCCCTGCTACTCAGGAGGCTGAGGCAGGAGAATTGCTTGAACCAGGGAGGTGGAGGCTACAGTGAGCCGAGATCATTCCATTGAACTCCAGCCTGGGCGAAAAGAGCAAAACTCAGTCTCAAACACACACACACACACACACACACACACACACAAAAGATGTCCACATCCTGCTGTCAAGAATCTATGAATGTATTCTCTCACATAGCAGAAGGGATTTTGCTGGTATGATGGAGTTAAGGATTTTGAGGTGGGCAAATTATACTGATTTATCTGGGCCCACTGTAATCACAAGGGGTATAAAAGAGGGAGGCAGGGATGGTCAGAGTCAAAGGAGGAGAGGTGGCAATGGAGAGAGAGAGAAAGAAGAAGAGATTGGAAGATGCTATGCTAGGCTGGAGCGTAATGGCAGGATGATAGCTCACTGCAGCCTTGAGCTCCTGGCCTCAAGTGATCCTCCTGTCTTGGCCTCCCAAAGTGTTGGGATTACAAGCATGAGTTACCATGTCTAGGCATGAAGAGATTATTTACAGGGATATGAGCAGAATTGAGGAAACAAATGAGGAATGAGGAGGCAGCCAGGGACAAACAATAGCAGGGAGCTGTTACTTCCCAGGTCTCAAGGGGCAGGGGAGGGAGTGGTAGAAACTAAGTATGAAAACTAAGAACTTTGGGGTAGGGGATGGTGGAGGGAAACAAGAAAGAAATGCCCTGAGCTTTGTTTTTGTTTTAAATTTACCTTCTACCTCCTGCTGTAGCCTCTCACTGGCTGAGCCCCACTGACCACCAGAGGGTAAGAGGGCTGAGAGATGCAGTGAATAGATTTGGGCCTCCAGGTGCATGAGGGAGGACAGAGACTGAATTAGGGGAGCAAACAGAATAATTGAAACAACCACACAGCTGGTGTTGATGCATTTTCATTGTTATGTAATATTTCTTCATAAGATTGATCTCAGTGGTTAATATTACACTTAGCTGATTAGATTAAAAAGTGAGCTTTCTGAAGGCAAGGATTTTATTGCTTTGCCTACCATTGTCTCTCCAGGGACAGAACACACAGTGGGTGTTCAATGAATATTTGCTGAATGAACAAATGATTCAATTCACACTTGTGAAAATACTTTAAAAGTCATGCATTGCTACATACAAGCTTATTTTCACTCATTGAGACAGCCTCGGAGAGGTAATATGAACTCACTAAGATCAAACAGGAAGTATCAAAGCAAGGATTTGAGTCCCAGTCTTCTGGATCCAAGCCCAGTGATAATCCCACTCCAGTCCAGTTGCCTACCCTGTCCAGATAGGAGAGCAAGGATTCTGCCTTTGGCTTTCAAATCACAGCCTTCTGATCTGCCCATCCCATGTGGGCTCCTTGGGTGGCTAGCTCCCCATGACTGCTTCCTGGGGTAGGGTACCTTCTGCAAGGAATGACAATGAGGATATCTCAAAAGCACGTGGCATCTTGCTGGGATCTCCTCTGAATTTAGAAACACACAGTTGGCTACATTGGGTAGAAAGGGAGGTGTGTCCTGTCCCTGTAGGGTAGAGTGGAAGAGGGGTATTATGCAGGCCCTGAGGATCTGGGAAGGGGAGCTACAAGTCCTTTTCAGGCCCCTGAGGATAGACCACAGGCCACAACTGCACTGAACATGGCAGGTGCCCGCATTGCTACATCTGGCCCACCAGCCACTTCTGGGGATATGGAGATAGTGAGCTCTGTGGGAGCTGCCCCACAGCCCAGCTCACCGGGAAGGCCGCCCTGGGAGGCAGTCACTGCAGCTTCGAATGGGACATCCGGCCCCTGGTTGACCTGCCAGCTGCTTCCGAGCTGGGCAGGACCATATTCAAGCCCTCGTTTTCTGTGTGTTCTTGGTGTGGCCCCTTTTTCTTTAATATTGGCAAAATGAAGATGGTAAGACAATAATCCCTTCTTTGCAAAACCAGGTTGGAGACTTAATCAAAATCGTGACAAGACAGCACTGATTGAGCATTTATATGTTAGGCATTGACCTAAGCACTCTATATACATTTACTTATTTAACACTCCCAGAAAGTCAATGAGATAAGTACTACTCTTACCCCTAGGAAGACATTCTGAGGTTATATTCATATTATTACCAATGAAGACAACTGAAGTTGTGACTTGTTAAAGTCACTCATTCAGTATCAGAAGCAGGATTTGTACTCAAGTCATCTGAGTCTGGCAGGCATGCTTTCCATCCACTAATGTTTACCACCTTCCAGGATAACTGCAGACTTGTTAAAGTTTGCCATAGTCCTGAGGAACATGTGGTATGCGATGAGCTCATTTCTGGGGTGTTGTGCACATAGATCTGTGCTGTCCTGTATGTCAGCTGTTGGCCATGCGTGGCCTTTTAAGTTAATTAAGCTTAAGTAAAAATAAAAATTTCAGTTTCTTGGCCACGTGAGCTGCATGTGCCTAGTGGCAACCATGTGGGATAGTGTGGATATAGAATATCTCTGGCATTGTGGAGGGTTCTGCTGGATGCTGCTGCTGTAGATGAAGACATTCTCCTACTTTTGGACAGAGAGCAGACAGAGTGACCCAGAGCACTCTGAGACTCTCAGAAAGGACAGAGACGGGGAGTCAGCTCCCAGCGAGGGTGCAGAAAGTGGAATCGACAGGCATTTCTTTTGGGAAGTTTCTAGCCAGCCCATTTACAGTAGAAGCAGATGTCTCATGGAGCTTCCATCCAATGTCAGATCAGAGAAGAGACTATTTCCAGGAGCAGGAGGGTCAGTTGCTAATGTCCAGGGGATTTAGTCACATAGAGGCCATTAGTGAATTAAGCCAGAGATGTTCTGGTAAGGAGGTGGGCATTGGAGGTGGGTGTGAGGCAGTGGAGACAGTGGGCATGGGTAAATCTTGCTGGAGACCAGCAGGATTGGCATCACCTTGGAGTTTGAAATGCAGAATTCTGGACACCCCCCACCCCACCGACTGAATCAGAATCTGTGTTTTAACAAGTTCATCAGGTGACTCATAGACCCGATATGGTGAGAAGAATGTGCAGAGAGGAAGGGAGGACACTTGGGAGGAAGCAAAGAGGCCAGCAAGCAGGATTTCCCAATGCAGCTGAGCACAGTGCTAGATGCTGCAAGGAAGGGAAAGGGAACAGGTGCAGATACCTCTGGCAACATGGGGGCATTGGCATCCTTCCACAAAGTGGCCCCAGCAGAGTATCAAGACAGACACAATTTCATGAGTCCCTGGGGGATGTGGCAGCAGCCACCAAAGGATCAGACATCACTGGGAGGTTATCACTAAATGGCATTTTACTGATGGTCTGAAATGGGTTGGCCTGTTGATAAGTGGAGGGAGGTGTCTGTGCAATTAGGAGATGGAGGTGAGGGATGCACCTGTGTGTGCGTGCATGGATGCACATGGCAGCAGGGATTTCCTTGGAAAAGGCCAGAAACCTGACTATGAAACTGGCTCATGATAGGAATGACAAGGGAAACTTGCTGCTCTGATGTCAGCCCCAGGATGCTGCAGAGCCTGCAGGTCCCACAGTCCATTCACACCCCAAACTGCACTGACTGACCCTCTTCCCCTAACCTGCTTCTTTGTTTGTGTCCGTTTCTCAGCATGGCTGTGTATCCACTTGTCCAACCAGAAGCCTGAGGGCCAGCCCGACTGCTCCCTCCCCAGCCCTTGTCTGATTGGTCGCCTGATTACAACAGCATTACACATATTCGCTGCCCACCCACCACGCTTCCATCCACCCACACCGCCAAGACCTGAGTGACACCCACATCCTCCCATCACATGAGGCCTCCACAACCCTGCCTCCTGTGGATCCATCTCATCTCCAGTTCACCATCATGCACTTCCCTTGACATCCCCTTGTTCCTTGTCTTTCAGGGGCTCCCTGCTGCCTTTAAGATACATTTTAACTTTTGAGTCTGACTTCAAGTACCCTTCATCTCCTCATTTCCAGGCATCCTGTCCCTGGGTTTGCCTTCTTTCAGGCCCAAGTAACTTTTGTTCATGAAGTTACCCTTGAACATGCAAACTCCCTGCTTTTTGTTCATGCTGCTTGAACCGTGGTCTGACCTCCTTGGAGGAGTGCTGTCTGTGTAGAGCTAACACTTCGTTCTGTCCCACATTCCTCTTGTTTGACACTTGTTACACTTTGTCAGTTGTGTGTTTGTCTTTTCACATTGACAGGCTGTGAGCTCAGAGCATCTGGGACAGTGTGCAGGCAGACAGGGTAAGCACAGGGCTGCATGCCAGGAGGTCTCTCGAGCTTCCTAAGCTCATCAAGGTTACTGGACCCCAACTCTCTAGTGAGAGACAGTTATATTCAAAAATGCCTGCGACACATTATTCTATGCCTCTATGACAAGCAATTCTGACAAAATATCTTGAAAACAGCTGCTAAGTATGTGATCTGGGGATTTGACAGTGCAGAAGGACAATTCTGCATACTCAGGAAAGCTTGGAGAAAATCCAGTATAACTTCAGTCATGATAATGAATTGTACTTATTCAAGAAGGAGCCACATTTTGATAATGGGGAGGCAAGCACGACTTATAGACAACTTCTCTCTATACAAGGAGTGAGCTGTGGACACATATATTCTGGTGACAATGGAACATTCGTCAGTTTTTTCTTGCCTTTGACCCTTTTTCTTTAACTCTTATTTCGGAATCTAACTTATACGTCAGTTTCTTCATTGACCCCTCCATAATTCCCACCTCTGCAACACACATCTCACCTTACTTCCTTGCAATCACTTGCTTATATGCATTCTCTTATTGCACTACCAGTCAGACACAACCATGTGACCTTGGGCTAATCAGTTAAATTTTCATGCCTCAGTATTCACATATGTAAAATGGGAATAGTGATTTTTACCTCCCATTCTGCTAAGGGATACACATGATATCATTTATCATGCATGTAAGCCCACGGTTCGGTACAAAGGCAATGTTCAATATATATTCACTGCACTTTTCTTCCTTGTTCAGCATCCCAGTGGAACTGTTATCTCCTCAAGGGTATGAAGGATTTCTTTTTTCCCTGTAAATCACCCAGTAGGCATTTAGTATGTGTCAAAGGTGAGTGGCTAAATGATGAGTAAGTGAGTTAAATGAAACTTGTTATTTCTTACAATATCTCTAGTATCTGCACCGATTGTCCCACACCTAGGGGTCTTGCCCAAATGCATGTGAGTTCATGGCGGAGGCCTTTGGTAGGAATGACCCCTTTCGTTGCTTCATCTACCACTTCTTTGTCAGATGTGTCTTTCTCCACATCCGTTCTTACCCTGTGTCAGAGTGGCAGGTGTTTCCATCTACCTGGGGACGTGGGGCTGCCCTTTCTGCTTCTTCTCTGGGTATCCAGTGACGTTTATACACTGGCTCTTCTGTTTGGTCTCTAAACATATCCCTATCTCTCTCATCCTGAGAAAGAACACCCTGCTTGATTTGCTCATAGTTTCTATAGGTCACCATGACCATAGACCTTTCACTATTTGCTAAACACTTCATATGCATTGTCTTATTTACTTCTCACAATAGCCTTTAACAATACTCTTTAGCTGTAACATTCCCACATTGGAGCTGAAAAAAATGAGGCTCAGAGGGGAGAAATAACTTGCCCAAGGACCACGGCTATAGAGCTAACTTCTTGCCTTCCTGCCAAGCTGTTGGAGAGAAGTCACTTTATTGGCCACAGTTTTTCAGGACTTTCCCTCAGGACTGGGCTTCCATAACTATATCTCTTGGTTTCTTAACAATTTCTACAGCTGAACCTTTTCTGTCTTGGTCACAGCTTTCTGTTTCTGGGCCTTTCCCTTAAATATAATGTTCCCCAGAGTGCTGGCTACCATACCCCTTCATATTTCTCTTTGTGAGTGAGTCTATCCAATCTCATTATTTTAATTATGACCAGGGAGGCTGATGACTCCCACACCCATATCTCTTGCGCGGACAGTTCTGCTGAACTTACGATTAACTAGCTGTTGGAGTTATTCCTGTGGATTGCCACAGGCACTTCAACTCAACATGTTCTTCTCGAAGTTTTCATCTCCATCATTGGCTCAACCATTCATTTCTTCAGCGAAGCTAAAAAGAAACCTAAGATTCATTTCAGATTCCTGCCTTTTCCTCAGTCCTCGCCCTACTCCATCCCTGCATATGTTCAATTAAAACAGACCCACCAACTTAGCTCCTGAATATTTCTTGACTATGTATCTTTCCTACCATCACTAGTATCACTGCATTGGCTCTCGTCAGCTCTCAACTGGACTCTTGCAGTTCCTTATTTTTTGGTGTGTGTGTGGATAAACCTTTATTTTGAAGAATAATAAAAATGCAGGAAAAGACACATTATAACTGAATATAATAATGTAAACAACATCCTGATCGAGATACAGAATATAACCAGCACCTCAGAAGCCCTCCTCGGTCTCACTCCAAGTCATTGATTCTCCTTTGCAAAGGTATTGTGACTACTAGAATTATTTTCCCTGTTTTTGAATTTTATATAAATAAGAGCATAAATTATATATTTTTTGGCTAGTTTCTTCCACTTGAAATTATATTTGAGTCTCATCCATGTTGTATTCACTTTTTAATTTATTTTTAATTTATTTTTTTTAAGGCAGAGTCTTGCTCTGTCTCCCAGGCTGGAGTGCAGTGGCGCAATCTCGGCCCACTGCAAGCTCCGCCCCCTGGGTTCACGCCATTCCCCTGCCTCAGCCTCCCGAGTAGCTGGAACTACTGGCGCCCGCCACCAAGCCCGGCTGATTTTTTGTATTTTTAGTGGAGATGGGGTTTCACCGTGTTAGCCAGTATGGTCTTGATCCCCTGACCTCGTGATCCACCCGCCTCGGCCTCCCAAAGTGCTGGGATTACAGGCGTGAGCCACCGTGCCTGGCCCACGTTGTTACTCTTAAATAGTATGTCATGGAATGAATATACCAAAATGTATCCATTCTACTGCTTACAGACATCTGAGTTGTTTCTATTATTTAGACATAATGAACCACGTGACTGTAAATATTCTGTACGTGTTTTTGGTAGTATTGGACTCCATTTCTCTTGGATATGTAACTAGGAGTAGAGTTGTTCTTTGGCTTAAGCAGATACTGCCAAATAGCTTTCTAATATGACAGATTGCATATTGGTGTTGTCTGTGTTTTAATATTAGCCATTCTGGTAGGTATGTGGTGATAGCTCATTGTGGTATTTTTCTGATGACTAGTGAAATTGAGCAACCTTTACATATGCGCGTGTGCACGCGCATGCACACACACACACACACACAGGTGATCTTGATGTCATGTGTTTGAATTGGATATTCAGGTCTTTTGTTTTTTTATATTGAGTTGTGTCTTATTGATTTGTAGTTCTTTATATTTACTAGATCTGAGTCCTTGTATACATATCATAAATATCCTTTTTCTTTCTGTAGCTTGCCTTTTCACTTAATTAATGGCATCTGTTGATGAATAACAGTTTTGATTTTAAAGATGTCCCATTATCAGTCTTTTATTTATTTTTGCCATATTTAAGAAATACTTGTGTTCCCCACAATAAAAAAAAAATCCTGTCTCACATTATCTTTAGAATTTCTATTACTCTACATTTCAAATATAGGTCTATGTAATCCATCTAAAATTGATTTTCACATAAAGTGTTATATAGATACTATAAAAACTGTCACTTTGATTCTGTCTGTATGGATATCAGTTGACCCAGGACTCTTGTTAAAAATATCATCTTTCCCCAGCTGATTTCAGTTGAACCTTTATAATATATCAGGTGTCTGCATATGTAAGGGTTTATTTTGGATCTTCTGCTGTTGTTCTTTTTTTTCTGTAGATCTATTTTTTATCATTATTTTGATGTCTTGTTGTCTTAATTGTTATAGCTTTATGACAAGTCTTGAAATCCATGTAAGACCTACACCTCTGCTTTTATTATTATTATTATTATTATTATTATTATTATACTTTAAGTTTTAGGGTACATGTGCACAACGTGCAGGTTAGTTACATATGTATACATGTGCCATGTTGGTGTGCTGTACCCATTAACTCATCATTTAACATTAGGTATATCTCCTAATGCTATCCCTCCCGCCTCCCCCCACCCCACAACAGGCCCTGGTGTGTGATGTTCCCCTTCCTGTGTCCATGTGTTCTTATTGTTCAATTCCCACCTATGAGTGAGAACATGCGGTGTTTGGTTTTTTGTCCTTATGATAGTTTGCTGAGAATGATGGTTTCCTGCTTCATCCATGTCCCTACAAAGGACATGAACTCATCATTTTTTATGGCTGCATAGTATTCCATGGTGTATATGTGCTACATTTTCTTAATCCAGTCCATCATTGTTGGACATTTGGGTTGGTTCCAAGTCTTTGCTATTGTGAGTAGTGCCACAATAAACATACATGTGCGTGTGTCTTTATAGCAGCATGATTTATAATCCTTTGGGAATGGGAGAAAATTTTTGCAATGTACTCATCTGACAAAGGGCTAATATCCAGAATCTACAACGAACTCAAACAAATTTACAAGAAAAAAACAAACAACCCCATCAAAAAGTGGGTGAAGGATATGAACAGGCACTTCTCAAAAGAAGACATTTATGCAACCAAAAGACACATGAAAAAATGCTCATCATCACTGGTCATCAGAGAAATGAAAATCAAAGCCACAATGAGATACCATCTCACACCAGTTGGAATGGCGATCATTAAAAAGTCAGGAAACAACAGGTGCTGGAGAGGATGTGGAGAAATAGGAACACTTTTATACTGTTGGTGGGACTGTAAACTAGTTCAACCATGTGGAAGACAGTATGGCAATTCCTCAGAGATCTAGAACTAGAAATACCATTTGACCCAGCCATCCCATTACTGGGTATATACCCTCTGCAATTTTTTTTTAAATAGCAATTATTTTTTTGCTCACATGTCTGTGGTTTAGTTAGGAGTCAGCTGATCCGAGCTATTTAGCAGAGCATCTCTATTCAAGCTGTGGGTCTGGCCAGCTCAGATCTATGCTCTTTTTTCATTCTGAGACCCAGAACCGTGGGAGCAGCCACCAAGAGTGGAAGATTCTTACAACAGAAGTGCAATAGAGCAAGTCCCACTGCACAAGTACTTTTTAAACAATGTATTTTATTTTTTAGAGCAGTGTTAGGTTCACAGCAAATGTGAGTAAAAAGTATAAAGTTCCCATATATCTCTGGATTTGCACATGGACTCTTTTAATCAAGATTGTTTTAACTATTTTTGGTTCTTTATACTTCCATACAAGCTTTAGCACCAATATGTTGATTTATTTAAAAAGAAAAAATACTTTTGGGATTTTGATCAAAATTTACGCTAAGTCTGTAGAGCAATTTTGGGAGAATCTACCACTTAATTGGAACCTTCCAATCCATGAATATGGTATCTCTCTTGGTTCCTTATGTTTTTTTAAAATTCTCAGAAATGTGTTAAAGATATTTTTCTGCACTGTCACGGGTTGCAAAGTCTCTTTATTTTTTAATATTTGTGTATATGTATCCATTGTTCAGACTGGATTAGTTCTGTTGATCTGCTTTTATATTCAAGGACTCTTTCTTCTGCAGTGCCTGCACTGCTACTAACCCCAGAGTAAGCTTTTTATTTTAGATATGGTAGTTTTTAGTCATCAGATTTTTATTTTTATTTTCTTACTTCTGATGTCTCTGCTGTGATTTCCTAGCTATCCTCCCATTATATCCAATTTTCTTTAAATCTTTCAAAAATATTTATAGTATCTATTTTAAAGTTCTCATCTGCAAATTCTAACATCTGAATTATCTTGGGATCTGTTCATTTTACTCCTTATTTGTTTGCCTATCTAATTACTTATTTATGTCCTGTTTGTTACCTAAGAATGGTAGATAGTTTGCTGTAGGTGGTCTGGATTATATTGATTGGACTTAAATGGTATTGAATTTTATCCTGGTAAGCAGTTAAATTACCGGCGTGTCCTTCTGAAACTGTCATTATTGTCTTATACTTTGTTAGGAGGGATCTATTTTGGCTTATCAGTTATCTTCATGTGTGTGCCTTACTTTGATTTTGATGTAATATTCACTACTATAACCTGCTCTTTCTGAAGCCTCAACTGCAACTCCACTGCAGGTGGGCCAGGATTCCAGAGGTTCCCAGCACTGGTCAACCTCTCACATTTCTGTTCAGCTCTCAGCCCTGCATCAACCACTCTTTTCTAGACCTTACAGAGTTTTACCTTGCAAATATGCAGGCCAGCCAATATCCAAATTCTAACAGGTACTCCCCATATGAACTCTCTGGTACCCTTCCTCACAAATTCCAGATGAGTCAGCAGCCCAGAACTCTAATTCGGGTTCCTCAGTTCAACAAGACTGCGATGCTGTTTGGCCTCCACCTCTCTGTGTCGGGTCTAGAAAATAACCACCAGGCAGAAAGCCAAGACAAACATGAGTCTCACTTCTGTATTTCTTCGCTATCAATGATCAAAATACTGTGCTGGAAAAAATCACTCATATATTTTTGTAGTGTTTTGATTGTTTTGGCAGGATACCAAGTTAAGTGCCAGTTAGTCAGTTGTGGCCAGATGTGGACGTGTTTGTCATGAGATGCTGGAGACTGAAATCACCTTTTTGTCTGCTACATAGTGTACTTTATACTATGATCTCTGTCCAGGCAGAATTGTATCCTGTTTATAGTTGTATTTCTGGCTTCTAATACTGCACCTGTCACAGAATTTGTACATAAATAATAAGTGAGTGTGTGTTGATTTGACTCATAGTTTGGCCCCCATCTGGACACTCATTGGTTCATTTAGGATGTTGCCAGATGACAGTAAAGTGAGAAAATGCTCATCAGGCAGCTGGTCCAAAGTTTCCTCCAAAATGTGGTCTTGCCTTTTCTCTATTCCACATGATTCTTAGAACCCCAGAAACATAAAGCTGGAAGGAAGTAGACCTGAGACCTCAGCTATCCCATAGCTCTTTTTGAACCAGTGGGGAAACTGAGGCTCTGAGAGGGCAAGGTGCTCACCCAACAGCTGCATGGGAAATGAGAGCCCTACCTAGAGCTTGGTTCTGCTTACTTCTTTCCGTGTTGTCTTAGTCCATTCTTGCGTTGCTATAAAGAAATACCTGAGACTGGATAATTTATAAAGAAAGAGATTTAATTGGCTCATGGTTCTGCAGGTTATACAGGAAACGTAATGCTATCACCTGCTAGGCTTCTGGGGAGGTCTCAGGAAACTTATAGTCATGGCAGAAGGCAAAGGGGAAGCAGGCATGTCACATGGCCCGAACTGGAGGAAGAGAGAGGGGGAGGTGCTATGCACTTTTAAATGACCAGCTTTTAAGAGAACTCACTCACTATAGTAAGGACAGTACCAAGAGGGATGGTGCTAAACTATTTGTGAGAAATCCGCTCCCATGATCCAGTCACCTCCCACTACATCCCACCTCCAACAATCGGGGTTACATTTTAGTGCAGTCTGGCAGGGACACACATCCAAACTGTATCACATGTCTTCCTTCACTTATCCCTAAGTTCATTTTTTTCAAAATTGAAAAGAAAATGTTAAAAGTCTTACAGTTTCATTTAAGGTATATGGTGAAATTTCTGAAGAGCAATGGATGATAGGAAGGCAGATAATACAATGTATACTGGGAATAGAGAAGAGAAAAATTTTGCCCATGAGAAACCTTTGGGTAGTGGGCTCCAGGAGGAAGATACTTGAGATTCGTCAGCATCTTCAGAATGTGCTTTTGGGAATTTTCTTGATTCTTATTCAACCCCTGGCTGGCAGCAGTTAAAAATATTGCAATGTTACTCATTTTTTTGTGGTAATATATTTATGTGGTTCAAAAAATCAAAAGAAAGAAAAAGGTACACTGAAAATTACTCTTTTTATTCCTTATCCTAGCCACACATTTCTCTTCCCTGGAGATTACCAATGTTACTCTGTGTGTGTGTGTGTGTGTGTGTGTGTATGTGTGCGTGTACGTGTGTATGTGTATGTATATCTTTCCAAAGGTATTTCATGTGTAGATTAATCAAAATTAAATCCCCATCATATTATCTTCTTTTTCTTACATAAATTGTAGCGTATTTCAAAAACTCTTTTGGCTTTATTTTTTTCCACTTAATGTATCTTGGATGTATTTCTGCATTCAGACATAAAGAGCTTCCTCCTTTCTCATAGCTCTGGGATATTCCATTGTATGCACGCACCATCATTTATTTACTTGGGTTCTATAGGTGGGCATTTGGATTGCTTTCAGTTTTTTCCTGTTACAAACAATATTGCAATGAATTACTTTGAGCAAACATTATTTCACTGTGCAAGCATATCTTTAGCATAATTCCTAGGTCTGAGATTGCTAAACATTTTTAACTTTGATAGATATGGCCAAATTATTCTCCATAGGGGATGTACCAATTTATAGGCCTATCAGCTATGTGTGAGAGTTGACATCAGTTTTTATTATTATATTTTAAGCTGGAAATCACCTTACATATCACTTTTCCATTTCTCTTGTGCTATGAATAGGGAGTCCAGGGCTCAGAGATAGAACCAAGGTCACGCTGATAGTCTGTTTTTGAGGTGGTCGTGAATCTGGGTATCCTAACTGTTTAGCCTGAGTGATCTTGCATAACCTCAGGGTGCACAGATGTGTACTGTCCCTGGCAAACATGTCATCTCACTGAGTATCATCAACTGGGAGGAGTACATAGAACCTGTCTCTTAGTACCCAAAGTTCTCAGTAGGGGCTTCTTTTTTGGGCTGCTACATAATGTTTGCTTCTCTTAAAATCAGGGCTAACATACCCACTGCCAAGCCAGTTGTGGCCTGAGAAAATCTAAGCTGACATCCAGGCAGGGCAGAACCCACAATTAGATCCTGTGGGACTTGGGGAAAGGGACTATCTTGGCACCTGGACCTCTTCGGGAGCCTGTTGAGAGAAGAACAATGTCATTCAGGATTATTTTCCTAATGAGATACCTCTTGCTGTCAGAATGCCCTCATGCTTGGCATCTCCTGCATCACCTTTGTCTCATTAGTCCAGGTAATGAATGGCACAGTATACTGCTCATTTTAAAGTGGGATTCTTGTGACATCCCTGCTTCCACTTGAACACAATGTTGGGTTATCCAGGCATCAAGGGGCAGAGGGAAGTTTCCACAGTGAATGAGAGTCATGGGCTGTGGAGTCAGGCCACCTGAACTTGAGTCTTGGTTCTATCAGTGGTAGCCATGTGCTTTTGAGCCAATGATTTCATCTGTCAGCCTCATTTTCTCCACTTGTTAGAGGGGGAGAGTAGCTTAAAGCTATACTAGATAGGATGCAGGAGGTAATGCTGCAGTAACAAACAGCCCCATAAGTCCGAGGCTAGAAAAAAAAAAGTTCAATTTGTTCATATTCCTTGGCATTTGGATAGGGCTCTACTCTATACATGGGATCCAAGATGTGCTAGTTCATTTTGAATCACTATAAAGAAATACCTGAGAATGAAAAATTTATAAAGAAAAGAGGTTTATTTGGCTCTGCATGGTTGTGTAAGCTGTATATGAAGCATAGTGCCAGCATTTGCTTCTGGTGAGGGCCTCAGGAGGCTTCCAATCATGGTGGAAGGCAAAGGGAAACCATTATGTCACATGGCAAGAGATGGAGCAAGAGAGAGGTGGAGGTGCTGGGCTCTTTTAAACAACCAGATCTCATGTGAATGGATTACCACAGGGAGAGCCTTAAGACATTCATGAGGGATCTGCCCCCCATGACCCAAACACCTCCCACCAGGTCCCACCTCCCACACTGGGGATTACTTTTCAACAAGAGATTTGTAGAGGGGGCAAACATTCAAACTATATCATTCCACCCCTGGACCCCAAATATCATGTCCTTCTCACATGCAAAACACATTCATTTCTTCCCAGTAGTTCCCCAAAGTCTTAACTTATTAGAGCATCCACTCAGAAGTCAAAAGTTCATAGTCTTATCTGAGACTCAAAACAAGTTCCTTCCATCCATGAGCCTACAATACCAAAAACAAGTTATTTATTTCAAAGATGCAATAGTAGTACAGGATTAGGTAAACACTGCCATTCCAGAAGGGAGAAATTGGCCCGAAGAAAAGGGCAACAGGCCCCATGCAAGTCTGGAACCCAGCAGGGCAGGCATTAAATCTTAAAGCTCTAAAACAACCTCCTTTGACTCTATGTCCCATATCTAAGGCACATTGGTGCAAGGGGTGGGCTCCCAAGGCCTTGGGCATTCCTGTCCCTGTGGCTTTCTTGGACACAGCCCATGTGGCTGCTCTCATGGGTTGGAGTTGAGTACCTTCTGTTTTTTCAGGCTCAGAGTACAAGCTGCTGGTGGCTCTACCATTCTGGGATCTGGAGGGCAGTGGCCCTCATTCCCACAATTCCACTGTGCAGTACCCTGGTGGGGAATCTTTGTGGGGGCTCCAGCCCCACATTTCTCCATGGCACTGCTCTAGTAGAGTCTCTTTGCAGGGCTCTGCCCTTGTGGCAGGCCAGAGTGCAAGAGTGAAGGATGCTTACCAGCTTCCACCTAGATTTCAGAGGATGTATCAGAAAGCCTGCATTCTGTGCACTTGCAAACATAACACCATGTGGAAGCTTCCAAGGCTTATGGATTGTGCCCTCTGGGCTGGCAACCTGAGCTGTATCTGGGGCCCTTTGAGCCACAGTGGGAGCTGGAGCAGCCAGGATATAGGGAGCAGTGTCCTGAGGCTGGGCAGGGCAGAAGGGTCCCATGCCTGGCCCCTAAAACCATTCTTTCCTCCTATGCCTCTGGGCCTGTGATGGGAGGGGCTGTACTGAGGATCTCTGAAATGGATTTAAGGCCTTTCCCCCATTGTCTTGGCTATTAGCCCTTGTCTCCCTTTTAGTCATGCTAATCTCTCTAGCAAATGGTTTCTCTATAGCCCACTTGAATTCCTCTTCTGAAAAAGTTCTTTCTTTCTCTCCCATATGGCCAGGCTGCAGATTTTCCAATGTTATACTTTCTGCTTTTCTTTTAATTATAAGTTCTGAACTTGGTCACTCCTTTGTTCCCACATCTGATCATAGGCTATTAGAAGCAGCCAGGCCATATCTTGAACACTTTGCTGCTTAGAAATTTATTCTGCCAGTTACCCTAAGTCATCACTCTTAAGTTCAACCTTCCACAGATTCTTAGGGCATGAGCATAATGCAGCCAAGTTTTTTGCTAGGGTGTAACATGAGTGACCTTTATTCTAGTCCCTAATAAATCCTTCATTTCCATCTAAGACCTCATCAGCCTGGCCTTCACTGTCCGTATTTCTATCAGCATTTTGGTCACAACCACTTAACAAGTCTCTAAGACGTTCCAAACTTTCCCTCATCTCCCTCTCTTTTTCTGAAATCTCCAAACTCTTCCAGCCTCTGCCCATTACCAGTTCAAAAACCAGTTCAACATCTTCAGGTACTTTTATAGCAACACTCCATTCCTGGTACCAATTTTCTGTGTTAGTCCATTTTACATTGCTATAAAGGAATATCTGAGGTTGGGTAATTTATAAAGAAAAAAGGTCTATTTGGCTAATGGTTCTACAGGCTGTACACAAAGCATACTGGTAGCATCTATTTCTAGCAAGGGCCCCAGGAAGCTTCCAATAATGGTGGAAGGCAAAAGGGAGCCTGCTTGTCACATGGCAAGAAAGGGAGCAAGGGAGAGAGAAGAAAAGTCCTAGGCTCTTTTAAATAACCAGATCTATGTGAACTTATTACTGCAAGGAGGCCATCAAGCCATTCGTGATGGATCCACCCCTATGACCGAAACACCTTCCACCAGGTCCCACCTCCAACACTGGAGATTACATTTCAACATGAGATTCTGTGGAGGGGACAAACATCCGTAACACACTGCAAGATGATAGAGCAGCCGCCATCTGTAACTTTGCTGGTGACTATGACAAAGAGGAAAAGAGGATGTGGGGAACTGAGCACTGGCCCTTTCTGTCCCGAAGGACCTTAGGTCCTTTGTACTCACATTTTAATAACCAAAGCAAGCTACAAGCTTGGCATGCCTCTGAGTTTACATTACACCATGTAGTATTTGGATTTTCAGTTCTCTGAGGCAGAAACCTCTCTGTACACCTCCACCTGGCAGCCTCCATTTGCAGCACTTGCTGCCCATTCTCTCTGCTATGGATGGGATTTGGTGTCCTCTCTCTGGCTTGACCTTTAACAGTGTAATTCTGCTCGTTAATGCCAATGCTAGCAACATTCCTATGGAGGTAGGCATGGGTAGTCATCACCCATTTCAGGTGTTGTAAAACTGAAACTGCTAGAGACTGTATTCCCTAAGATCACACAGCAAATATATGGAAAAAGAGGGAAGTACAATTTATTAAGTAATACATTCATAATGTCTTTATTATGATAGGGCACTGAGGCCACAGAATGTTAAGCAACTTGTTCAAGCCACTTAGGAGGTAGCTATGGAAAGAGAAAGACCAAGACAGAGACCTACGGGAAATGCAAAGTGGAACGTGTAGAGCATGCCTGCTATCTTGGGCCCTTAACACAAGCTGCAATTTTAGCCCCAAGTATACGGTGTCTATGTTTCTTTCTCTTGGGCAGGGAGGAGAATGGCCACAAGGAGGGCCTGTGTGGAATTTCTAGAGAAATGAGTCATTGTGATGTGGTGATATATTAATCTAACTGAGAAATCTCTCTCTCCAGTGGAATTTTATAGGATGTCAGTTCTCATGTGGTTCTCTTTTTCAAGTAGCTTGGCTCATAGGACACCATGCTTCCTATTAGAGTCTATCCTGTCTGTTCAATGTGGGCTGGGGGCAAGAAAAATCTTGAATTTTATAATATTTTATATTCTTAAAATGATAAAAGAAGACTAATGACAACTTTGAACTAATAATCCTGTCACCCTAGTACATCCAAAGTCTCTTTGATTTTTTGTTTTATCCACATAAATATGTATTTGGCATAGATACCATCAGAAGAGAGTACCATTTTATTTCAGTTATTTTAAAGTTAATGCTATATTACACATATTTTGCATATTTCTTTATGACCTTTAGCATTTTTATAATTTAATAATTGCATACAATTTTAAGGAGTGAATGTACCTACCTGTATTGGTTTTCTATTTTTGCATAAGAAATTACCACAAACTTGGCAGCTTAAAATAATTTATGATCTCAGAGTTCTGTAGGTTAGAAACCTGGGCATAGCATGGTTGGAATCTCTTCAATATAACACAAAGCTGGAGTCAAGGTGTTAGCTGAGCTGAATTTTCATCTGGAGACACTGGATAAAAATCTGCTTCAAGCTCATTGTGTTTTGATTTTCGAGATGGGGTATTGCTGTGTTGCTCAGGCTGGTCTGAAACTCCTGAGCTCAGCTGATCCTCTTGCCTCAGCCTCCCCCAGTAGCTGAGACTAAAGGCATACATCACCATGCCTAGCTCTAGGCTCATCCTTGTTGCTGGTTGAATTCTGATCCTTGTGATGGTGGGACTGAAGGCCCCATTTCTTTGCTGGCTATTAGCCGGTGGCCACTCTCAGCTCCTAGAGGCCACACACATTCTTTGTCATGTGCTTCCTTCATCTTCAAAGCCAAAAATGGAGCCTGTCTCTCAAATAAAAATGTTCTGACACCACACATCTCTTTCGCCAGAAGGAATTTCCATCTTTTTTAAGAGTTCACCTTACTATGTCAGATCTACTCAGAATAATCTCCCTTTCTTAGAGTCAAGGGTGCCATGTAACATAACCTACTCATGGGAATGCTATCTCGGCATATGCATGCTCCCAAGGATTATACAGGGCCCGTATAACAGGATGAAAATGTTAAGAGCCAACAGAATTCTACCAACTCATTATCTTTTCTTACCATTCTATTAATTTCCTAGGGCTGCTACAACAAAGCACCACAAACTGTGTGTGGCAAAAAAAACAACAAACAAAAAAACAACACACAGAAATTTATTCACTCACAGTTCTGGAGGCTAAGAGTCTGACAGCAAGGTGTTAGCAGGGCCAGACTCCTTTTGGAATCTGAAGGGTAATTCTTCCTTGCCTCTTCCTGGCTTTTGGAGGTTGCCTGGCAATCTTTGGCATCCTCGTCTTGTAGATTCATTACTCCAGTCCTCTGTCTTCACACTGCATTCTCCCTGTTTCCCTGTCTGTGCATCTTCTCCTATAAAGACACCAGCCAAATTGGATTAAGGCCAACCCTATTCCAGTATAGTGTTTCATCTTGAACAGATTACATCTGCAACAACCCTATTTCCAAATAAGGTAACATTCTGAGGTACTGAGGGTTAGGACTTCAACATATTCTTTTGGGTGGACACAATTATATGACAATATGCTGTAATTGTATTTTTAGGTATTTCAAGATTCTGTATGGCACATAATTTTGTAATAATCATTGTTGATTCTGTAATAGTTTCAGTTATTTCTTTATCTAGGGAGTCCCTAGAATGAGATCTTTGCACATAACAATTCTTTCTAATGAAGAAAGAAGAAACTAAATTTTTAAAATGACTGCTATGTGCCAGGTGCTGAGATGCCTATGTGCCCATATGTTTTACTTTCTATGCTCAATACAAAATGTTGAGATATTAGCAACTTTTCACAGGATAAAAATACTTTAATGCAGCAAGTAACTTGCTCAAATGTACGTACCTAGTACATCCACTAATCAAGGCCCAGCAAAAAAAAATACAAACTCCAGATGTTTCAAACAGAAGGAATTTAATGTAGGGAATTGGTTGCAAAGATGAGCCAATTCAGAGATTAACAACAAACAGAAGCTATGGTGGGAAGTCCAGCATTGGCCTGAGATGCTACAAGAACATCTGCCTAAAGAAGAGAGGGTTAGTGGGGAGAGAGACAGATAGACACACACACACATACACACACACACACACACACACACACACACACACACACAAACAGAGAGAGAGAGAGAGATAAAGAGAGACAAAGAGAGACAGACAGACACAGACAGACAGACATACATGACCTGGAGTCTCCCTCCTCCTAATCTCCTAAGAGTGCATCTAGCTGATCAAATCAGAAGCCAGCTGAGGAGCTTGGGAAACCTGTTCCCCACCCCCTAATCTCCACTCCAACCTCTCCCCATTATACAGAGCAGAACAGATCAAGGGCAAGGAATCTATCTAATGGTGAACAGGCCTAGGACCATCCTAGTCCATAATAGTAAGAGTAATGTTCATAACATAATCATATCAATAGCTAACATGTACTAAATGCTTATTATTATGTGACAGACAACTACAGTTATTCCCTGATTTCATCCCAGCCTTGAGTCCCCCATGTGTCTAAGCATCTTGGAAGAGTAGACATAACAGAAATGAGAAGCCACAATAGAAGCCAAGGTTGCCATGAGGACTGCATTAAATGAGACAAGGTAATGAGGAAGTGCTTTGCAAGTCTGAGAGCATTGTGCAGGTGACAAGTGACATGATTACAACAGACCAAAGCTGCACTTTCACAGGAGTCTTGATTTGCACATTATCATTATTATTATTGTAAGGTCCTCTGAGCTAGCCACACCATGGTCAAGCCATCGTGACATTCCCTGTCCTTGTGATAATGTACTTTGTGATATTCCCTTTCCTTGTGAATGTACTTTGTAACATTCCTCCCCACCCTAGTGACAATACACCCCCGCACCTCCCCCCACCCCGCCCTTGTGAATGCTGCCTGCAAAAATTGCTCCTAACTCCACCACCTATCCCAAACCTATAAGAACCAACGATAATCCCACCACCCTTCGCTGACTCCTTTCTCGGACTCAGCCCACTTGCACCCAAGTGAATAAACAGCCTTGTTGCTCACTCTAAGCCTGCTCAAGTAGCCTTTTATATGGACGTGTGTAACAATTATTATTATTATTATTTCGAGATACAATTTCACTCTTTTTGCCCATGCTGGGGTGCAGTAGTGCAATCTTGGCTCAGGGCAACCTCTGCCTCCCGGGTTAAAGTGATTCTCCTGCCTCAGCCTCCTGAGTAGCTGGGATTACAGGCATGCACCACCATGCCCAGCTGATTTTGTATTTTTAGTAGAGATGGGGTTTCTCCATGTTGGTCAGGCTGGTCTCGAACTTCCGACCTCAGGTGATCTGCCTGCCTCAATCTCCCAAAGTGCTGGGATTACAGGTATGAGCCACCACGCCCGGCCGCATGTTATTATTTTTGATGCTTATTTGGAATATGATTTGAAGTATGACAACAATCGAATAGGAAAGGTATTCATTTCAGTGTAGGAAGAAAGTAAACAGCCAATACCTGGAGCCTCTATTCTGTATCAGCCCCTACATGACCCTTTCCTTCAGAGAGCTTTGCAGTCTGGGGTTATGCATAATTACAGTTCGGTGTGATGGGTGCATAACAGTGTGTGTGCAGCATAGGGAAGTAGCAGAGAGGCATGAGGGTTTGTTTTGTCTACCTGGGGTCAGAGAAGGCTTCCCAAATTAGTTCTGTCAGAGGATCAGAGAAGAGGGGTTTTCCAGTTAACAGGATCTGAATGTGGAAGGTAGAAAGGCCCAGAATGGTATTTAGTTTGCCATGGCACAAGATGGCATGCATGACATGGAGGTGGACTCAATAGGAAAGCTTGATTATGGAAAGAATTCTGTATCAGGAAAGGAAGTGGAACTTTTTTTTTTTTTTTGGATATCAACGCCTTCCAGCTAAAGACCATTAGGAACACACCCATAGTTGAACAAGTTGGGTTTATGACTTATTGTAGTGAGGGAGAATGTACACCACAGAGAACCATGGGGTGTCTCGGCAAGACAGTGTTAAGGGATTTGGGCTTTGGATGGATGATTTTGGGAGACATCAAGGGGGTGGAGTTTTTTCTAGATTGAGCTGTTAGGAAGTGGGGACAATTCTATGATTGAATATCTGAGGAAACCTAATCTAGAAGGGGATAATAGTAGAGCAAGATTAAAGCTATAATTGGTAGAGTTGCGGCAGCCACTCATTTGAGCTGGACAAGAAAGATACATGGTATTTTGCGATTTGCACAGTGACCTTGGTTTTGTCTTGCTTAGAAAAAAAAATATGAAGTCATCTTGTTCCTTATCACTTCACTGTGGCTACAGAATGACCTGACCTGATCTTGGTGTTGTGTAAGATTGTTTAGGTCCAATAGGGGAACAAAATGGCCTGGGTGAGAAAGTTGGGCCAGCTTCCAACAACATCAAGTTTTAGCTGATAGGACCAAACCCCGGATGACAGGAGCTGCTTTTCTATTTCTTAGAGCACAGTAGGAAGCCGCAGAGAGCTCGTGTGCAGGGGCAAGTAGAGGTGGCATCTGGTTTTACAAAGCTCTCTAAGGCACACGTGATGTTTCTATAAGTGACTGTTCCTTGGATTCTTGTATGGCCTTGGATAAGTTCCTTCCCTCTTTGAGATAAGCTTTTCTGTGTAGTAAATGGAAGGAGTGAGGCTAGATGGTCTCTAAGCTTCGTCTTCCAAGAGCTGAGGTTTAATAAATAAAACCTGGGTTGCAGTAAAAGGAGCAGAAAGAGGAGCATCAGTTGGATCATGAGAACTCTATGTTGCTGGGCCCACTGCACATAGCTCTGCCTACCATAGCCAAGACCACTTTTAGGTTGGGGTTCAACTTCCATTCACCCCACTCCTGGTAACAATGCTCTTTCTTTACTTTTCTCTTATTTCCTTTTCTGTCTCTTTTTTCTTTTCTTTCCTCCTTTCTTTTCTACTATCTTTGTTTTTGTTACTCAACAGAGGAATTTTTTTTATGGAAATAGTCAATGAATAGGTTTTACTGGCTTCCAGTGTGAGCTAATTAAAGGTTCAAACAGCACTTCCATAGAATTCTGGTGTGTCTGTCTCTGTCTCTCTCTCTCTCTCTGTGTCTCTCTTTCCCTTTCTCCACATTCTTATTCTCTGGCCCCACATGGTCAGATGAAGTCTGCAGCAGTACTAATCCCAGCATTCTCCCTTATGGATGAATAAACTATTTATGATTGCAGTTGGGCAGAATTGGGTCGTGTGTCCATCCCTAAACTATGGGAGTGGGAAAGTAGATATGCTGATTGACTTAAGCTAATCTGAACCTACTCTGATCATACCCTGCTGCTGGCAGGATAAATCCCAAACCATATGGGCTGGCTATGGGATAGGGGTCTTTAAGAGAAATTTGCGAAGGTGCTTAACCAGAAGAATTGTGAATTGAATTTGAGAGGCAAAAACAAAACTAAGAGATGTTCTCCTCAGGGATGCTCAGGGAAGTATAAACTGTGTTAGGTAGAGCCTTTGAATCAAGAAGATCTGGTTCTAGCTCTGCCACTGACTTTCTAAGGGAACTTGATAAACACCACCTTGCTACCTCTTGGCCTCTGTTTCCCACTGTAGGTTAATGGTGATAGAACAGTGTTCTCAAAGTTCTGTAGGGCTGTGGATCTTTACAATACTTTCCATGGGCCTGCATTCATTACAGGACACAGGGCAGCCCTCCCAGGGGTGCTGGACGGCCACTGTTTATGGAGATGCACTGAAGTAGATTGTTAAGAGTTTTGCTCCCTTTGCTAGGGGGAAAAGGATCCATGGGGGTTCAGTGTGTCAAGGGAGCTTTGTCAGATGCAGTACAGAGAATGCATTCAGGACTGGAAACATTCAAATGACTTTTCACCCCAGCCTTTTAAAGCCTCTGCAGCAAGGTTGTGGTTTGCCTTCCTTGCAACCTTGGGCTCTCTGCTTCCTCTTTATTATCCGTGTTGATCCCTGGAGATGTTAATGAGCATTGCACATTGAGAAGATGAAGAGAATACCTTCTGGGCCCAACAACATGGAGACACCCCAAACAGCTCAAAGAATAGCTGTCAGAATAGGCCCATCATGATACAAGCACCAATAGTGGAGGACAAAGAACACTCTGTTCAAAGTTCAGCAACACTCCCACAGGAGGTGGGAGGATACTCATGAGGGTGGAACAGGATGTGATTGGTGGGTGCAGACTGTGATTAGCAGCTGTGGGAAATTTGAGGTTAAGCAAGTGTGACAAGTGGGAAGTGGGTAAACAGAGAGGGAGGGGCTGGGATTAGAGTCGGGTTAGGGTAAGGGTTAACCTCGGTGACGCGGGGCTGCACACACTCTTACCTGTTTTGCCACTTGATACCTCTATGGCCTTGCGTATATCTCTCTGAATCTCAGTGCTCGTATCTGTAAAATGGGCAGAAACAAGAACTCTAGATCTAGCTGTTCCACAGTACCTTTGGGGACTCAAATACCTCCAAGGTATGGAGCACTGTAGCAGGCTACTTAGTGTGAGGACTATGAAAACGATGACAGCAGAGCTCGTGATCCAAGTGTCTTCTTGGTGGGACCCTTCTAAATCTTTCCCTGGGACACCACATTCTCCAATTGCGGACATCCAGTCTCTATAGGATTGCCCACATCTTGCTCTGCCTTGGAATTTGTGCACACCATTTCAAGTCCTGAGTTCACCCTGGCCATGCCTGGGAGAGACTATGGGATTTGCAATTCTCAATGTAAACCCCAGGTCCACTTGTCCCTTTTTGGGGAATTTCTTCTCTCCGCTGGCTTTCTTTTCTGAGCTCTGTGAGGTTGAGCATATGCTAAAGAGTCAATGAAGAGAAGAGTCTCTGAGCCTGAAATTTGAAAAGGGGGCCCTCTAATTACATTGCACCATGACATTTTCTCAGTAACATCATTTAAGCATCCCACGGTAGCACCTATCATTACTGACTAATCTACTGTTGTGTGGGTTACTAATGCCTACTGTTACATCAGTGACCTTCCCTGCCTTTCTCTGATTCTGGTTTGGATAACTTACCTTGCAGTTCCAGGATTTTCTCCAGAATGAGCAGGAATGACTCACATTACTGCCCTAAAATCCCGTGGAAATGTATCCCCACTCTCTTCCTTCCCAGTGTGATAAATTTGATTATAACTTACGGATGGCCACTCATGACTCTGCGGTGGTTTAAAATACACCGAAAGATTCATTCGACTAAACTGAGTTGTCAGGTGGAGAGCCAGAGGGAATTCTTGTTGCAGACACAAGTTGTGTTATGTCTGCTGTATGTAGCCTTGTGGCGGCTTTCAAATTGCTGTTGGGAAATAAATCCATTAATCAGTGTGGACCGCCCCCACTGGCTCTGCCTGGCTATAGGCTCCTAGGAGGCAGAATGTCCATCTTACTCCCTCACCTGTCTTAGTGTGTCTGATAATATGCCCTTGATAATTGATTTTTATTTTACTTTAACATTACGCTCCTAAAAAATAAGATCTCCAGTTATAGTAGGTGGAAATGGCCTCAGAGACCTCCTTGTCCAGCCCCTAGATGAGGGTTCTGAGAGCCAGAGAGGGATGGTGACTTATCCCAGGCCACACAGAAAGTCATCAAAAAGCTGGACCAGGCCCTGGTTTCTGACTCCCAGCCCAGGGCTCTGACATCCTTTTGTGCTTTTCTTGGCTGCTCCTGTTAACGAGGGATGCGAGGAATTCTATTTGGGCTTTATTCTACTGTTTTACAGTCTCTTCTGAGTAATAAGGTCGGCTTGTTTAATAAGTTCAGCTTCAAAGTAGGTCAGGGATTTTATTTCTGTGCATGGGCCATTAGCATTCTTAAGTGAGAACACATTTTTTTAAACTGAGAAAATATCCGCGGTGTAGTCGAGGCGCTCTGCGTCTGTTTCCTAAGCCATGTCAGATCCTTTTATACCACACAGCTTGTGTGAGGGGGGCCTGCCAGCCTCCAGGCTTCTTGATGGGGGCTGAGGCTCAGTGGGAGGGACAGGAGAGGACTGCCTGCTGTGGAGAGACCCCAGGAGCTGCATCACACAGAGCTCAGGCGAGAAGGGCAAGGTGACTTCCGTGGGCTTCTCAAGCTGGTGGTCACATCGAAATGAGGTTTGTGTTTCGTTTTGTCAGAGATAATTTTCTGAAAAATCCCCAAACGCTAGGTTAGAGATGGTCGAGTGCTATGTCAAGAAATCTTTCAAATCTCTTGTGACTTAAGTGCTTTCCTGGATTCACTGCCCAGTGGCCAAGCTGGTAGAGAAGAAATCAGGGGTCAGGGTCTCACTGCTGTTGTCAGGGAGAAGGATCAAGACCTGGAAAGATGGGTAGGTAGGAAAGCGGCACATGACACGTCATCTATTTAGGGCTGCTTCTGAGAATAATATCAATTTTATATTTTTAGCAATGACCCAAATTAGTTTGTGGGCTTACTTTTTTTGTCAATTGCTTTTAACCTAAATGGGACTGGTAACACAATCACAGAAAAATTTTGTCGATTCAGAATTCCTTTGTAAGGCACTGTACTTGGCGTAGTGAGGAGTGCAAGCATGATTGGCCATAATCCCTGCCCTGTGATGACTCTCTTGTAGGGGAAAAAGACACAGACATGATACTGACACAATGCAGAGGGTAACAGGACTATGTAGACTACAAAGGCTTCTAGCTGAGTTTCCCACACTAAAGTCTTTCCTGTGTCCCCTTCATGAGTTTTTCCCATCTGTTCTCTTATGTGTTTCATATTATTGCTTTTTAAAAATGACACATGCTTTCCTTGATTTTTCAAATGAGAGTGCATATTACTATGATAGAAGGAAGTCTGTCTTCTTTTACAAGTTAATGTACATTTTTGACTATTAAAATAATTTATAAGTAAATATCCATGAGTGTGCACCTTATTTAATCTCATGTACTGCACTTTGGAACATGTCAGGGAGGCTGCTGGTCTCCTAGAAGGCTTTCTCAAGCAGATGCAATATTAACAGGGCCTTGAAGGAAGAAACTATTTCAGCAGGTGCAAAATGATCACATATACTTGAGATGTGATTTGGTGTATGTGACCATGTATATTTCAGATGTGATCAGTGTAAATATGTGAGGTGGCATTGTTCAGATGTGATCAGTGTAAATATGTGAGGTGTCTCAATGCCTAAGGATTCCGTGGGAGTATAGAGTAAGAGGTAATGCACTGGTCCCTTGAGACTGTGCTTTTTACTCCTTTTTAGGTTGTTTGCAAAGAAAACATCATGAGACTAGATTTCTTCTCCATCGTCTCTCCTCTTCATTGCCAAGTTTTTCAGGCATTATTACTACATCGTTGTTAGTTGTTTGTTGGGTTAATCTATGCAGAGCTATCTGTAAGCATTAGAAATCCTTCCTGTATCCCAAGTCAGGGAGAGGCAGATAAGAAGGGCCATTTATTTGTTCGTTCATTCATTCATTCATTCATTCATTCATGTATGCATTCATTGTTGCCTCTGATGCTAGAGTTAGACACACAGAGATGCATAAGACATGACCACCCAAAGACCCGGGCGGTTGGGGAATCACCTAGAGGCCAAGCATATAATGAGTGTTCAGGAAATCTTTGGATGAATGAATAAATGATGCCTCCCAATGTTTCTCCAACTTGGCTGCATATTGGAGACAACTAGGGAATTTTTGACAATTTTAACTTCCCGCATAGATTCTGATTTCATTGGTAAGGGTTGAGACCTAAGCATTAGGAACTCCAAAACTTCTCTGCATGATTCTAATGTGCAGCCAAGTTTGAGGCCACTGGTGCAACCCATGAAGATATTTTTTTTAGAGTGGGATAGCTTAATACAAAGGACTTTTAGTAAAAGCAGTACTTGGACCTTAGTTGGAAATGGACTTGGAGGGACCCAGGCGTTTGCCATTTAGGTGTGGGTACAATTTAGTCCTTTCAGAGGGGTCCTGTAAGCATTAAGCCCTGCAGTTTTCATAATGACACACCTCATTTCTTAGAGAGGCCCAGTTTATGCTTCTTGTCTGTAAAGGAACTGGTTACTTTAGCTTTTGAATTGACCTTAAAACCCCTAAATGTGCTCACATCAGCCTTCTGGGCAGAACATCGATAGTTCAGGGTCAATCTTGAGTACACACTAGCTGTTGGGAAACCTTGTTGGGTTTCCAACTAGGAACATACAATCAAAGTTACATTTCCTTTCCTTTAGGGGAATCAAAGGTAGGAGAGGAAGTTCATGGGGCAATTTGAAGAGTCCATAAATGCCTGCAAGCTGTGAAGAGCTCTATAGGAATGATACGATTAGAGATCAATTCTTTTTTTAAAAAAAGTTAATACTTCGGGAAAATTGCTACATTAAACCTGTGTGTTCTTTGTTATATGTGGCTTTAAGCAGATTGCTTTACTGATTAAGATCTAGATGAGGCTTTAGGCAAGAATTTTAAGAGAACTTTGTTATTGCTTATATGTGTTCTTCCTCAATGAAGAATGATGGCAATTTCACTGAGACCATCAATGTGCCCCATTGAATAGGCCAAGGTATATCTTTGAAGCAGAGCATGCTTTCAAATTCACTTCTCATTTTATTGTGTACATGCCCACAAAGGCGAGTTTTTTCCATTTTTCCTACTTTTTTACCACCCCATTGATGAAATAAAGAAGTAGATTTTAGGACGAGCTTTATTATTAAGTGATGCTTCACGTGCTGGAACATTTGAATTAACAATCCTTGCTGTGTGTGTGAAGACCCAGTGTCTGCCCCATGGCCGTGTCTGTTTTGTATTGAGTTCCATGTGTGCAAACATCCATCCATATCTTACTGACCATTTCCTTACCGGTTATCTTCCTTTCGAGTAATTTGCAAGTTAATGTCTTCCTTGATATCAGGATCATAGAATATACAGAGGAAATGTATAAAATGGCCAGAAGTTGCGCATGTTTATTTACCACTGTAAAATAAAACACTGGGTTAACCAAATGTTTGGACACACTTGAAGTGCATTAAAATGCCTCCTTTGACAGTGTCCTTCAATAACAGTAACCCGTATCCTTTTATGTTTATCTGAAACAGATTCAGCCACATCTTCTCCAGGCTTTTGCCTACTTTCTAAGCTTCACCTTCAATGGTGATTCTGAAACTGATGTTAAAGGAAGTGTCAAGTTTTTCTGTTTCTTTTTTTGTTTATTTGTTTTGTTTTTTTCTCTGGTGCATCCGCTTGTACCTTTTTATTATATTAACTTCAAGCTAAGACTTTTTTAAGACACAAAAAAAGTCTGGTAATATTAAGCTACATTATTAGCTATCTATGGAGTATGTTTGATGTCTTAGTTGTCTATGACCTATGTTACAAAATAAAGTGCCTTAAGAAACATTTATTATCTCACAAGAATGCCTTAGGAGCTTTAGTGCAGCTTGATAGCTGGTTCTGGCTGGAGTCACTCAGAAGGCTGCAAGCAGGGTGTCTACTGGGGCTACAGTTGTCTCAGGGCCTGACTAGGATAGGATCTGCTCCCAAGCTCGCAGAGCTCCTGGCTGTCTTCAGAAGACTCACTTCAAAGATCATTCATGGCCGGGCGGGGTGGCTCACACCTGTAATCCCAGCACTTCGGAAGGCCAAAGCAGGTGGATCATGAGGTCAGGAGATGCAGACCATCCTGGCTAACATGGTGAAACCCAGTCTCTACAAAAAATACAAAAAATTAGCCGGGTGTGGTAGCAGGTGCCTGTAGTCCCAGCTACTTGGGAGGCTGAGGCAGGAGAATGGTGTGAACCCGGGGGGAAGAGCTTGCAGTGAGCCGAGATCATGCCACTGCACTCCAGCCTGGGCGACAGAGCGAGGCTCTGTCTCAAAAAAAAAAAAAAATAATTCATGTGGCTATTGGAAGGCTTTAGAACCTTGTTAGTTGTTGGCTTAAATATGTGTTTCTTTATGAAACCACTCATGACATGGCAGAGAGAGGAAACAGAGAAAGGAGAACGGGAGAGAGGAGGAGGGAAGGAGGGAGGGAGGGAGGAAGCGAAACAGAAAGATAAAAAGGGAGAGAAGAGGGAGGAGGAAGGGGGACAGGAGGAGAGAAATAGAGGAAAAAAGAGATCAGGGGAAAGTGAGAAGAAGGAGAAAGAGAGAGATGATTGGGAGATAGAAAAAGAGAGGGTTTAGGGGAGAGGGAAGAAAAGGGAGGGAAGAGCAGAGGAAAAGGGGAAAGGGAAGGGGAAGAGAGAAGGAGAGAGGCAAGTAAAATGGTAGACTTAGTGTAACAGAATCTCAGAAATATTATCACATCGCTTTTGCTGTACTCTGCTAGAAGCGAGTCACTAGGTCCAGCCCACTCTCTAAGTGATAGGGTTACTGAAGGCCATGAATGACAGGAGGAGGGAGTCACTGAGGGTCATTGTAGAGGCTGGAGGCTGCAGGCTGCCAATAATTGGTCTTTAAATATCACCACAGCAGTGATGGTCTTATGCAGATGTTGCCAGATTTTCTTGCATGAGAGATATCAAGTTTTAGCCCTTTGAAGATTTACAGTAGTAAAAGTCACATATTAAGTATCTAAGTCTATCTTACATTTTCCAGATTGACAGCTGCTTACTAATGAATCATTAATTGAACTTGGGGTAGTGATCCCATCTTCTTCCTTGTTAAGTTCAATGAAGAGACTCTGAAGGACAGTGCTGTGTTGGATACATGCTTCCCAGTTTGTAGGTTGTTCCAAATTGTATGGTCTTCCATCTTTTCCACAGTTTTGAGTATATTCTTTAATTTTCTTATTTTAAATTAACTATTCATCATCCTGACCGAAAACATAATTTTTAAAATATCAAACTTCTAAAAAATAAATACCACTAAAACTTTCAAAACAATCCAGACATATTTTTCAGCATATCTGTTATTCAGAAACTCTATGGTAGGAAATAGAATCAAGCGTAGTTGTGTGTTTGTGAACCAAATATTTGACTGAACACCATTTCATCAGGAATCTGAATGGATTTGTGAGCTCTGATACATTTGAGTATAATTAAAAGTAAAAAGTTAATACAGACCTGACATCAAAAGCATGATTTCTAACTGAAAAATTGATAAATTGAACCTTATTAAAGTTAAAATTTTTGCTCTGTGAAAGCTCAGGCAAGGAGGATGAAAAGATAAGCTACAGAGTGAAAGAAAATATTTGCCAACCATATATATGACAAAGGACTAATGTCTAGAATATATCAAGAATTCTTAAAACTCAATGACAAAACAATTAGAAAATTTGCAAAAGATATGATGAGATATTTCACCCTCCCGCCTCGGCCTCCCAAAGGGCTGGGATTACAGGCATGAGCCACCCCCGCCTGGCCATGCATGATCTTTGCAGTGGGTCTTCTGAAGACAGCCAGGAGCTCTGTGAGCTTGGAAGCAGATCCTATCCTAGTCAGGCCCTGAGAGGACTGTAGCCACAGTAGACATCCTGTTTGCAGCCTTCTGAGTGACCCCAGCCAGAACCAGCTATCAAGCTGCACTAGGCTGTACAGATGAGATAAACACTTGAAAAGATGTTCCATGCTATTAGCCATTAAGGTAGTATAAATTAAAACCACAGTGAAACATCACTACATACTTATCAGAATGGCTAAAAAGAAATAGTGACAATAGTAGTACAGGTGAGGAACTGGACCACTCATGCATTGATAGTAGTAATGTAAAATGATGTAGCCGCTGTGGAAAGCAGTTTGATAGTTCTGAATTCCATATGACCCAGAGATTGAACTCCAAGGAATTTACCCCAGAAAAATGAAAACTTATGTTCACACAAAAACCTATACATAACTGTTCATGGCAGTTTTATTTTAATAGCAAAAACCTGAAAATAGCCTAGATGACCCTTAACGGGAGAATGGTTAAACAACATTCAACACAACAATAGACCCATATGTATATCACATGTAAACTACACAGCAACAAAAATAAATGAACTATCCGTGCACACAAAAACTTGGACTAGGCCGGGCATAGTGGCTCATGCCTGTAATCCCAGCACTTTAGGAGGCCAAGGCAGGTGGATCACGAGGTCAGGAGATCGAGACCATCCTGGCTAACACAGTGAAACCCCGTCTCTACTAAAAATACAAAAAATTAGCCGGGCATGGTGGCGGGTGCCTGTAGTCCCAGCTACTTGAGAGGCTGAGGCAGGAGAATGGCGTGAACCTGGGAGGTGGAGGTTGCAGTGAGCTGAGATCGCGCCGCTGCACTCCAGCCTGGGCGACAGAGCGAGACTCTGGCTCAAAAAAAAAAAAAAAAGAAAATAAAATAAAAGAAAAAAAACCTGGAGTAATTTCCAGGGTATGATGGCAGGTGACAAAAACAGTCCCAAGAGATTATATATTGTCTTTTTGGAAATAACAAAATTTTAGAAGTAGAAAACAGATTGGTGGTTCCCAGGGATGAATGATGAGGTGGGGAAGTGGGGAGGGAGGTGGTTGTGGTTCTAAAGGAGTAGCGTGAGAAACCCTTGTGGTCCACTTTAATTTCCTTATGGATTATAGTTTGCCTACCCCAGGGTCAGAAACATTCTATTTTATATAAATCTTATTGTTTACCTTTTACATATAGGTCTATAGTACCCTGGAATTGACTTTGTTTATAGTATAAAGTAGGGCACAATGTTGAAGGTTATTTTTTCATATGGATGCCTAAATAATCCTAATTGTTTTGTTGAGAATACACTTCTCCTACCACAGTGAAGTGTCAGCTGTATCACAGATCAAGTGATTATCAATATGTGGATTTGTTTCTTGCCTCCATTGTTTCTTGAACTGTTTTTCAATTTCTTAATTACTGTAGCTTAATACCTCATTTTCTTAATTATTGTAGCTTAATAATAAATCTTAATTTCCTAAAAGGTAAGCTCTCTAACTTTCTTTTCCTTTTTAAATATTGCTTTGAATATTCCTGGCCTTTTGCATTTTTATATAAACTTCAGAATAAGTTTGTCAAATTGTCTAGAAAGCCTGACAGATATTTTATTAGGATAGCTTATACTTCAACATAAGGAGAATATACAACTTTACAATATTGATTCTTCTAATTCATGAGCATGGAATATCTCTCCATTTATTTGGATCTTTAAAAATGTATCCCAGTAATGTCTGGCAGTTTTCAGTGAAGAAGAATACATGTATATACACAAATGCACATATAGGTATATATACATCCCCAGATATTTTAATACTTTGCTGGTGCTTTTGTAAGTAATTATTCAATTTGTTTGTTATTGAAGTAGAACAGAATGCAGTAAAGGACATAAAGTGCGTTAACCTTATGTGGATAGCTCAATGTCTTTCATATACATGTACACCCATATTACCATCTTCCAAATCAAGGTGTAAATTATTGTGGTACCTAGTTTCATCATGTTTCTTCCCAGTCGACTACTCCTTCCCCTAGAGGTCACCATTATTATGATGTCTATTACCATTGATTGGGTAAATGGCACTTTTTAAATTTCATTTTATAATTGTTTATATTTAATCTATGGAACTTTTCTAAATTAACTTGTTAATTTTTATCATAATTTGAGATTTTTAAAGAATTTTCTACACACACAATTATGTAGTCTATGAATAATGAAAGCTTTATTACTTCATTTCCAACATTTATTTCTTTTATTTCTTTTTCTTGCCTCATTGCATTGGCTAAAACTACCAGTAGAATTGGGGAAATCAGGGAAAAGTGTGTAGTATTTTACCATTGATTATGATGTTAGAGTAATGTGTTAGATACCCTTTGTCAGATTATAGGACTTTCCTTCTATTTCTAGTTTTCTAAAAGTTTTATCATGAATGGCTGTTGATTTCCATCAAGTGCTTCCTCAGCATCTCTTGAGACAACTATGTGATTTTTATCTTTCAGTTTGTTAATATGATGAGTTATACTGATTGATTTTCTAATATTAAATCAATCTTGTAGTCCCAGCATAAACTTAATGTGGTTATAACCTGTTATTCATTTTATATATCACAGGATTGGCTTGGTAATACAATATGTAGGATTTTAGTTTACGTGTTTACGAGGGAGATTGGCCTAAAAGTTTCATGTGATATCTTTGTGAAGTCTTGGAATGAAAGCTATCCTGGGCTTGTAAAGTAAGTTTGGAAGTAATTCTTCTCTTTGGAGTCTCTGAAATAATTTGTGTAAAGGTGATATTTCATTGAAACCTTTTGTGTGTGTTAAAATTCAAACCTACCCAACACCTTCAAGCAGGATTTTGTTCCAAGATGTTCTAGCTAAAGACTTGCTTTCTATGGGCCCTTGGAAATCACTGTATATGTCATTGAGTTCCCTGGGCCTATGCTTGAGAAATACATGAATAAGATGTTAGAAATACCTAGAACAGTGCCTGCAATGTCATAAACAATATATTTACCTTTTCCTTCCTGTTTCCTCATGTTCTCTTCCTCTACAGAAGCACCTAGAGGCAGTGACCTGTGGTAGACAACAGCATGAAGCCACTAATTCTATTCTTGGAGCCCAGCGTCCATCTGGCTTAGTCAGAATCATGGCTTTTGGAGACAGGGACAGAGGTCTATGGGACCTTGCAGAATTGTGTTGTTTCGAAGTCCTTTCCCAAAGAGCAGTGAGTTAGGCTGTGCTAAGTCTCTCTTCAGGCAAGATACGGCAGGGGCAGAGGCAGCCCTAGGGGAATGAGGGAGGATTTGGAAGAAGCTCGTTTTTCAGTTCCTTTGCATAAGGGAGGGTGTCATCTCTTAAACTCTTCCCACAAACTGAGTAGGCTCTATGGATAAGCCTCTTAATCCATCTGGACACCCCTTCCTGACACTTCAGAGCAGTCGATACTTCTAGTCATTTCTAGCCATTTCAGCAGCTTACAGACTAATTATGCATCTCCCCCCTTGCACATAGGGATAGGCCAAGGAGAAGAATTTGCAAAATAACAATATCTCTAAAGCCACAGACACCTTCTGCGTAAGCCTTTCTTTCTGTGGCTGGTAGCGTAGCAACTGACGAAGCTTCCTGGACTCAGGTTGCCCTGAATTGCATGTTTCTTCCCTCACTCCCTACCACCCCCTTTCTCTCTACTTTGTCATCTTGTCATATTTGTTCTGCTATGGCAGCTACTGTGTTTTTCCTCCAGTGCTTTCTGAAAGTGAGTTGCCTGTCCTGGTGGGAGATTAGTGGCTACCACATGCATAAAGCTGACATTGATTTTATCGAACGTGATACATGTGATGCATGAGCCCAAGATGCCCTGAGAGCTCAGATGCTCAGAGGGGGCATCTCAGGAGGCTAGAGGCGCTGGGCTGAATGGCCCATTACAGGAGAAGGCTGTGGAATGGGGAGAAAGACCAGTGCAGGGGTCCAAAGCTAATAGCCATGGGAAGAAAGGAATAACTCACGTTTATGTAGGGCCTGTCATTTTTCAGGCACTTACACTTGATCTTCACAAGGACCCAGTGAGGTATGACCATGACCCTGATTTTACATGGGAAGAAACTCAGCCACAAGGGAGTTATATCACTTGCTTAATGTCACACCATTAAATAATAGAGATTGCAAGGCAACCTCTGTCTGACCCAGTGATCTTTTACTTTCCAGTACACCTCACTTCCCTTTGTAAGTGAAAGTGAATATGAAAATGCAAAGGGATGAAGTGTATTGGGCATAGTTTGGAGAAGCTAGCATAGAGTACTGGGGTACTGCACAGGGAAATTGAGGTAGACTTCCACTTATGTGGGCTGCGCAGGCATTGTGGAGGTCAAGGGGAGACTCACCCAGCATGTTGAACACTAGCTTTGTACTGGTCCATATGCCTTGCTCCTTACATTCAATCCATGACCAAGTCCTGTCCTTTCAGTCTCCCAACCCAACCCTCGGCCTAGTTCCTCTGCCTCTGCCTCTCCAGCCCCGTGGCCATTACTTGAGTTATGCCTCCATCATTTCTTTCCTCAATGTAATTGACACAACTTCCTTATTGGTCCCCCTGTCTGTTTCTCTCCCTTAGACCCATTATTCACCGTGCACTCAGAGGAGTTGTCCCTAAAACTCTTGTGCCTACGTGACACCACTGCTTACACAGCCTCAGGATGAAGACCATTCCTGATCAGGTCACTTTTGACCTCTCTGATTGCCTTTTTGCTGGCCCCCCACCCCTGCTCCCCATCACCTGTGTTTCAGCAGGATATACCATCCGTGCATGACCCAGTCTTGTCTTTGTGAATAACCCCACCCTTGTGCCTGTTAGACTCTCCTTTTCCTTTAAGACCAAGATCATGATTTGATTGCTCTAGGAAGCCTTCCCTAACATCCTCCATCTAATTTGGATATCTCTCCTTGTATTAGTTTTTGATTGCTGCTGTAACCAATCACAAAGTTAGTGGTCTAAGACAACACAAATTTATGATCTTATAGCATTGGAGGTCAGAAGTCTAAAATGGGTCAGTGGGGCTGTGTTCCTTTGACTCTAGGGAAGAGTCCATTCCCTTGCCTTTTGTAGATTCTAGACGTCACCAGCTTTCCCTGCCTAGTGGTCCCTTTCTCCACCCTCACAGCCAGAACATAGCATCTTCCAATCGCTCTCTCCGACTCTCCTGCCTCCCTTCTTCACTTATCCAGGATACTACATATCCAGGATATGCTCCCTACTCAAGATCCTTAACTTAATCACAGCTTCAGAGTCTATACAAGTTTTGGAGTCTATGTAAGTTTTGGGGATTAGGAATTGAGCATCTTTTGGGACCACTATTCTGTGTATGATACTGAAATGAGAGATTTCCCTTATCTCCCTTGCAGGATGTGAAACGGGTGTGGCTCACTCCTTCAGTTGCCCACTGTACCAGAAGAATTGGATCACATGTGGGCTCAAAGGATGAGTGCGAGGTTTTATCCGTGGAGGTGGCTCTCAGTGAGATGGATGGGGAGCCAGAAGGGGAGGATGGAGTGGGAAGGTGGTCTTCCCCTGGAGTTGGGCCGCCCAGTGGCAGATTCTTATCTGACTGCCTCCAGCTGAACCCCCCTCAGCGTCCAGACATCCTTTCTCTTCTGTCTTTCTCTGCCACATTGTTCCATTGTCACTGGTCTGCTGGTTCCAACGTTCAGCCACTTGTATGTGTGCCCACTAAGGTCTTGGGTTTATATGGGGACAGGATTGGAGGTATGGTGGGCCAAAAGGCAACTTTTTGGGTGCGAAAACAGAAATGTCTGTGCTGACTTAGCTCTGTGGGTCTTCAGGCTTGAGGGTGGGGCCCTTACTGGGGAACCACCCTCTTCTACCCAGTGCTTCCCTGTCTTCTGTCTGTATCAATACCACACAACTGTGTGAGTCCACAGGACTCTGGGCCTGCCACTTCCCAGCCTGTATCACTTTCTTCTATAGCTCATTGGTTTCTGCATCCTTCCCTAGTCTCTTAGTCTCCTCCAGGGTAGAGACAGTTATTTGCTTTGACTCCACATCCCCAAACATAGCAGAGTCAGCCCTCATTACTTGTTAGTTAGGCAGAATATGATATCTCCCAGCCTTCATGTACCTGCCTCACTGTGTCGCTGACCAGGGTGCTGAGAACAGTGGGGCATCAGCTCACTGTGTGAGTTAAAATCATGGCCTCTAGAGCAAGACAGCCTGAGTATCCCAGCACACTCACTAATTAGCCACATGACCTTGGGCAATTTGTACCTTGGTCTCCTCATGTGAAAAATAAAGATAATTATAATACCTATTGATATAAATCACAGTCCAGGAGGGAAACCCTAAATCACACCAGGTATTTCAAACAGAGGGTTTTTATTGAAGGGAATCCATTACACAGTGATGAAAGGCTGTCAGTGCAAAAGTGGGACGCTAAGGTAGCCAAAAATGGCAGGAAGTGGTGACCACACCTGGGGCTGGGGTAACAAAATGGAATAGGAGGGGTTATGGTACCTAGAAGTCTGTAGGAGGAGCACAGCAGGGCTGATTCTGAGACCTCTGAGGAGGGAGACCCCACAGATTGTACTGCAGCTGTAAGGGGCATGGCCTAGGTTATATTAGTTCCTTCAGAAAGATACTGTGCCATGGGTGCTACAAAGACCAGAAAAGATGAAGGCCTGGAGCGTAGCAGCCCCTGTTGCTGGAATGATGCTACAAGGACCTTGAAGCAGAAAGAGAGCATCTTCTTCCTTCTTCCAGCATCCCAGTCTCCATCTGAAGTCTCCCATCACTAGGACTGGACCAAAGCCAGCTGGCAAGGTAGTTTAGAGATGTTGTTAGTGGGGTCCCAGCTCCAGAATTACATAACTGATGTAACAGGGTGGGCTTGAGGCAAAAAGACCAGAGCTGAATACTAGCACACTCCTTTAGTCTCCTCATCTATAAATGCATACTAGAATAGTACTTACTTTCCGGTGTGATATGAGGAATAAATGAATTTGTATGTAAATCCCGAAATAGAGCCAGGCACGCAGTGAACATTATGAGAATGTTATTTGTCCTTGCTGCGTGACAGTAATAATAACAGCTCTCACCATCCTGTGGGTGTACAGACGTGGTTGTCTCTGGAACTCTTAAGATCCAAACTGGATAAGGCAAGAGTTTCTTTCACCCCATTCTTCATAGCAGGGCTGCTTGGCTGAGGTGGGGGAGGGGAGTGAAGGGTGCCCATTTGTGAACCCATGCTGCCCTGGAACAAGGTGCTCCTGAAGCATGGCCTTTGATTCCAAAGCTTTAGAATCCAGCTTCTCCTAGCCCCTCCTTTGGAGGTGACAGACTCTTGATTCATGCTTTCTGAGGACTCCTGATTAGCAGGCAAGGAAAGGAAGGCTCTTCTAGAATGTTTACTCTGCTCTTAATTTTGGGAAGTGGCCCAGCAAAGAGTAATCTTGAAAATGTTGAGGTTTTGGGGGATAAGGGGGAGCCGGGGCAGACAGAGTGTTGCAGATCATAAAACTTCATCTGGTGCTAAGTTGTTATTGAATTATGCATTTCTGAATGACTTCACTGGTTGCAACATGATGTTGTTAAGTAGACTGAGGCTGAGCTCTTAAATTTATTTGCTGGTAGGAGTTTTGGCAGGAGTACACACTGACATGACTGTAGACTGTCTTGATCCTGACACAGGAAGGGGAATGCGTTTGATGGGATCTTTCTGTCTCTCTGTTGGGGGGGCACAAAATAAGAATATCAGTTAAGGCTGTCACTGACAGCTGAATGGCTCATCGGTGGCTGGTTGGGAGGATGATGATATTAGTAGCAAAGACAGTTTACTTGTTACGTGTAGGAACTGTTCTAAAGTATCAACTATAATAATTTATATAATCTTTATGGCAATTACCATGAGGAAGATGTTACTATATCCCCAGTTTACAGGTGAGGCAGTTTAGACACAAAGAGGTTAAGTAACTTTCCCTCGTTTTCATAATATGTTAGACTGGATTTCCCCAAAAAACAGATCCTTTAGCATGGATTTGCGAATAGTTTATCTAAGTTGTAGGGAACACTGGTAAACAGGAGACGAAGTGAGACTGAGAAGAAAGAAAGCCCCTTAAAGAGTGCACTATGGGCTGAGCAGGGTGGCTCACGCCTGTAATCCCAGCACTTTGGGACACTGAGGCGGATGGATCACAAGGTCAGGAGATCCAGACCATCCTGGCCAACATGGTGAAACCCCGTCTCTACCAAAAATATAAAAAATTAGCCGGGCATGGTGGCGCATGCCTGTAGCACCTGTAGTTCTAGCTACTCAGGAGGCTGAGGCAGGAGAATCACTTGAACCCGGGAGGCGGAGGCTGCGGTGAGCTGAGATCGCGCCACTGCACTCCAGCCTGGGTGACAGAGTGAGACTCTGTCTCAAAAAAAAAAAAAAAAAAAAAAAAAAAAAAAAAAAAAAAAAAAAGAGTGCACTATGAGCTGGAAGTGCTAGAGGATATCTGGTGCTCAGTCCCACCCAGGACCATCTAAAAGACTGAATAAAGCCACCCCATTGTCCCACTAGGGGTCAAGGAAACCTGGATGTTTATCCACCAACTTCCATCCCTCACTGGGTAAGGGCTGCTCCTGGGAGTGGTAACACCTGGGCTTGCGGGTAGGTGGGAAGTGCAATGCCTGTAGCCACAGAGCAGGCGGTATTGACACAGCTGCTTTCTAGGTAACCTTGGTGTCCTCATCTGTAATAAGGGTGTAGTACTGTCTGCTTTGTGTTGTCACTATGGAGAGAAAAATGAGGAAACAGGTAAACTACTGTGTGGTTGCAATGATTAGAGGATTATCTGAAAGTCAAGTGTCAAAACTCACAGTGGAGGTCTTTGAGGGGGTCCCAGAGGTAGCCAGGATGTCTCCTTGTTAGTGAACTATTGGTGAGGAACTTGCTGGGAAAATGGATGTAATCGTGGTTCTTGACTCCTGCTACCTGGGCAGATAGGAGGGGAGATTGACTGCTAAACACTCCTAGTGATTGAGAGCAGAGAACTGCAAGAGAGGTCACATCCAGATGTAAAAGCTTGAAATATATAAAAACCTTACCTATTTCAAATGCTTATATTTATAATAAGCAACTGATGCAGGTTTACTAGGCATTTGTAAAAAAATCAAATAAGAAACAGAATAAAGAAAAAATAGTACCTATATTCTCATAACCCTAAGAAAAACGTCAGCGTTTTCATGTATTTAAATCTAGATGTTTTAAGCTTAGGTAGATGAGATTTGTTTGTTGAATTTAGTTCAGCAAAGTGAAGGAGAGACTTTTTCATAGGAATTTATGATGTCCCTTTTCAGGATGATGGCCGAAGCTAAAGTTAACCGTTCATAATGAAATTGCTTGTTTTTAAGCATTCCCTAAATGCTGTGTGGATGAAAGGCATGCCATTCTGCCCCTTCTTACAGATTGGGCTATGTGTTCACTTCAGTCTGGCACAAGATCATGCTCCTCTTCTAGACTCACATCTGAGAAAGGAGGGTCTTGTGGTAGCTAACCATCTCATAGGACTGATCATTCTTATATCACAATTCCCCTATGCTAGAGGTCATGATTTTGATTCATCACAAGGCGGACTAGGGTAAATCTTCAAGCAGTTTTTCTCTAAGGGAAGGCATGCACATAGCATTTTCTTCTCTGCGTTCTTCAGAAACTGAGAGCATTTTTTCTGCTGGCTTTGAAAATGCACCACAACTAACCTCCTATAAAACTCTTGGGACTGGAAACATCCCCCTTAAGACCTTTTGTGTATACCATTGTCTTTATCATAATGTACCATTGTCTTTATCATAATGGTTAGGAGTGCAGACCCCGGGCATGTTGCCTTGGCCTCAGTCCTGGATTTTGAATGACTAACTGTTTGACTTTGGATGGGTATCTACCCACCCATAAAGTTGCTGTGAAGACTAAATGAATCAATACTGTAGAACACTAAGGGCAGTCAGAGGTGTCTGAAAGTGTGCAGTACATGGGAGCTGCCCCATGGTGTTATTTGTGATTATTCTCATCATCCTCTTCCTCATCACATCCCAGTGTTTGAAACTGTAATGATAAAGTCTGGAACCAGAGTTTTTAGTCTTTTTATTTTGTTTTGATAGATATCTGTTATTTTTTCTGAAGGCTTATGGGAATTTTTCTTTAGTTTTATATTTCAAAAATATTGCCAGTATGTACTTAAGCTGAAGTCTCATCATTGATTTTGCCTGGAACCCACTGTGCTCTTCAGAGTCTGCAAACTCAGGCCTTTGGGTATTTCAGAGAAGTTTTCTTTACATATGTCTTTGATTGTTGCTTTCTGTCAGTTGTTTGATGTCTTCTCTCTAAATACTTCCAATCCTTTGCTTAGAGGTGCATTCAGTATTCTCTACAACATCGTACTTCTTGTTCTTTTTCATCTCTTTGTTGCCACCCTCAACCTTTCACTTTGGGAAAACTTATCAAATATTTTTTCTACCCATTTAAGTAAGACATCAGATATTTATTGACCACTGGCTGTATGTTTGGTTAGGGCACAAAGACTAATTTTTTTTTTTTTGAGACAGAGTCTCGCTGTGTTGCCCAGGTTGGAGTGCAGTGGCATGATCCTGGCTCACTGCAACCTCTGCCTCCCAGGTCCAAGCGATTCTCCTGCCTCAGCCTCCCGAGTAGCTGGAATTACAAGTGCTTACCACCGTGCCCAGCTAATTTTTAGTAGAGACAGGGTTTCACCATGTTGGTCAGGCTGGTCTCAAACTCCTGACCTCAAGTGATCCTCCTGCCTTGGCCTCCCAATGTGCTGGGATTACAGGAATGAGTCACCGTTCCCAGCCAACAAAGACTAATTCTGATTGGCACCTACTGGAGGATTTGATGCTATATCTACTTAGGTTGTGTCCAAGGACTGTGAGCCCAAGCCAGGGAAGAATGAGAAGGCTGGGCTACTGCCGATTGCTCACTGTTAGGGTAGTCATTCAGTACACATAGAATCCCTGTGGCCCTTGGTAGAGAAAATTTAGGGACTTTTATGACTTGAATCTTTCATTGTCAAGGTAAAATAAATTTGAGGACCATGAAGATTGAGTAGAGTCACACATCTGGCTAGTGGTAAGCCAAGGTCAAGGAAAGCTTGAACCCTGGCCCCAAGGTAGTCCTTTTTGATCCTCAGTCCATTATTGTATGAAAACAGTGTTGCGCATAAATCGTAGAAAGTTTAATCAGCATTGAACATCTACTCTGTGCCTAGCCCTGTGCTACACGAAAGTAAGTCGTCATGAAGCAGTTTTGAAAAGAAAAATAGGCATGGTTTAGTTAAAAGTAATTGAAGGCTGGGCATGGTGGCTCAAGCCTGTAATCCCAGCCCTTTGGGAGGCTGAGGAGGGTGGATCACCTGAGATAAGGAGTTTGAGACCTGCCTGGCAAACATGGAGAAACCACGTCTCTACTAAAAGTACAAAAATTAGCTGGACGTGGTGACAGGTGCCTGTAATCCCAGCTACTTGGGAGACTGAGGCAGGAAAATCGCTTGAACCCAAGAGTTGGAGGTTTCAGTGAGCCGAGATTGCACCACTGCACTCCAGCCTGGGTGACAGGGTGAGACTCTGTCTCAAAACAAAACAAAACAAAACAAAAAAAACAAGTAAAAGGAAAGCCATTCTAGTTGGGAAAAATGGCACAGACAAAAGTCTGGAAATGAGAATGGCACAACCGTGTTTCTGTCTGTGTATGAATGTGTTTGTGTTGGTGGCTAGGGTTGGGTGGGTGGAGGCATTCCCACAGACCTGGAGGGTCAGTGAATAGAAAATGCAGTTAAAAGGGTGATCAGGTGGGGTGAGACGTGTGGTGTAAAGTGTTGGAGGCTAGGTTACACTCACCTTAATCATATCAAGGCTCACTTCACGTCTTAGTAACGTTTGGTTTTTCTCAAAACGTTTGATTTCTATCTAGAGCAGACAGTACATGCGCACAGCTCCATCTCCAGCTATTTGAAACACTTTTACTCTCTGTAGGAATTTCTAGGGAGTCAAACTGTTACAAGTGCTCACAGCAGGGAAAAGAAAGACAGAATTGTTCTGGAGATTGATGCCTGAGGATGTGGCAGAATTACAGGAAGGGGTCACTTCACCATCTACATGTTGAAGGAGAGCCTTGGAAGCTCAGGGCCGCTGCTGCCCAGGTCTCATGGATGGCTCCTGGCATCCTTGTCCTCGCAGCGCTTTGATGCCTGGCTGGAAGGCACTGATGTCATCTCCCAGCTCAGCCCTCAGCTCCATGAAGGCAAGACTTCCTCCTCCTTAATTTAGTTGCAAACTTTGTGAGCAGAGGGTGCTGTCAGATGTTAAACACTTACTCCTGGCTTTGCACAGATGATGGTGTGGAGTCTGTTAAGAGGGCATTGGTTGTGTTAGAAGTGAAAAGCCTCATGGATAAGAAACTGGTGTGTGCCTGAACAACCTCTTGTTTGAAAAACTGTTAGGAATTCAAGCATCTGATGGTGCTGATAAGAGGGAATGGTATAGGAGTAAAGGCTCATTTTCTCCCAATTTTCTGAGGTTCCCTTTCAGGTAATTAGTGGCATTCTCTTCATCCAGTGAGTCACATATCCATATTTTTGTTTTTTTTAACTTTTAAGGTATCACTTATATGCATAAAAATACTTCTGTTTAAAGTTCACAGTTTAATGAGTTTTACATAACCCCAGTTAAGATACAGAAATGGTTATAACCTCCCAAATTTTTCTTATGCCTTCTTTCAGGCAGTCATCTCCCTTATAGTAACACTATTTTGATTTCTGTTATTTAATTACCCAAATCAATATATAGAGAACATTCTAACATCCCAGAAACTTCCCTCAGGCTCTGTCCCGGTCAGTACCTGCCCCTCAGGTCACTATGCTTCTGGCTTTTATCACCATAGAGCAGTTTTTCTTGTTCTTGAACTTTTCACATAAGTGGGGTCATCATGCATTCTTTTATTTTTCTTTTGCATGAATTTTTTTGAGATTTACTCATGTTGTTGTGTGTGTCTGTGTCTGCAGCTTGTTCATTTCTTGCTGAGCAGCGTTCCATTGTGTATATGTGTATCCCTTTATGGATCCATAAGCTCTTACCTAGGTCTGGCTCCCAGGGCCTCTCTATTCTCGAATGCCCTCCTTCTCAACAGCTTCTGAGTCAGCTTCCTTCTCTCCTGACTTCTCTTTGTCAATCCTCGAGTGAAGGCTGGAAGGGGAGCTCCATGCAGCCAAGATTGTGTCTGTGCCTAGGACAGTGTGTGACCAGCAGCAGGGACTCAACATTCATAGAACGAGTGAATGAATGAGTGTCCAGGGCACATCGTTTGAATTGTTGACCAGTGTAGCCCAAGCAACTGAGAACTAGGGGACCCCCAGGAATTTTTCTTTGTTCATAGACTCAACATGAGTGGTCCCAGCAGAACACTCCCCTAAGTGCTCTCTGCAAGAGCTTCCCTAACCTCTAGACCAGATTGGGTCCTTTCACAGGCTTCAAAACTGCCTCTGCCACCCGCATCATGACTTTACTACACTTTGTTATCACTGATTTACTTGGCTGCATTAAATTTCATGCGCTCAGTGCTCTGTCTGGCAAATGAGATACACAGGGGTTTCCTTTTCCTCCCTGCTGACTCTAGCCATTGGACTGGATGGCCCTGTACATTTCCTATACTGTCTTCTTGAAGAGTTCATCTTAGAGATAGAGAACTGCTATAAATAGATAGGGTTTGTCTATGTATTTTTAAAATAATGTGCTGCTTACCAAAAACATTCTGTGCTATATTTTTGCTTCTCTCTCTTTGAACCACCAGTACCTGTGCCTTCTAAACAATGCCAATTATGAATCAATGGATCACTGAAAAAAGAAAGAATAAAGCACACAATAATCTGATGGCTTCCTTGGTGCCAGATAGAGGAAACACCGTGATAAACTTACATGGTCTACTCTTGAGGGGATGGAGAGAGAGATAACCGTGAGGCTAATCTGCACACAAATGTGTGAAGTCGCAAGTCATTTGAGATAGGGACATTTATATACTCAAGGGGATGTTTGTTACTATACTTGCACATGCCATTAGAAATACATGAAAAGAAGCTAACCATTTGGAAAGATTTAATACTTTATTTTCTTTCTGGTGGTCAGCAATTGAATACTGCTGTCTGAAATAGGAGAGCAGAAAACCATGGTGAAAAGTCAATGGAAAAGAACTAAATGGGGCCACTCACTCAGCCTCCAAACTATTGAAGTCTGCAACTCTTAATTCTGTAGAGGTCTAGTCTGTGAATAATTATATTAAGGAATTGGGCAGAGTCATCACAGAGCTGCAAAATATCACCCCTGGGGCCTCATTGGAGACTGATGGGAGCTCTGGAGAGTTGATAATGGCAATCAAAGGTTCCATATATTTAACATGCACAAAGGATGAGCTTAGAAATTATCTGCCTGCCAACCTAGCTTCTCTACCTGGAACAAATTATCCAAAAATCAATTTGCAAACACCTTTGAGATAACAAGGTCTTGAGTAATAACCTCCATGGCTTTGTAAAGAAAAGCATCTAGCTTGACTAATCTGCTTAATTTCCTTCTCTGACCAAATGGCAGGCTATAATAGAGGCAATCTGGAGTTGTCCCTTAAGATTTGCTTCGAGTCACACTGAGAAAATATTGTCCACCCCTGTTTCATAGCAATTATTCTGTTTCTAGAGAATCTTTGCTTCTAGGTAATTAATTGGAAGGGAAATGCTTAGTGCGTCTCTATCTCAAAGCCCTTACCTGAGTTCCAAGCTAAAATGTATACCTGCCTTCTATCCATGTGAATAACCCAGAGGCCCTCTATAAGTGAAATATTCTCAAACAAATGCACATTGTATTCTACCCTCATATGCCTCCTCTGTGCCTGCCCTTTCTCCTCTTCCTTGTTCTACTCTTCATTTCCTCTTGTTCATACCCTTTGACATATAATCCCATTCCTCGCAGTTGGTTCTAAGAAAACATGAGATAAGACAGACTGAAGTCTTTGCACAAAGATGTTCATTGCAGCATTATTTACCATAGCAAAACATGAACAACTCATGGGTCCAGCAATCAGAGAATAGTTAGTGTGATAACCTGATGGATTGTTATGCAAATATTAAAGACAATGATGATAAAGCTCAAGCAGTATATGAAAAAAAAAATCCTTACAATATAAGTGAAGGAAGAAAAATGAATCTACATTGGGTCTATGTGTTATTATAACAACACAAAAAATGTGTCAGTACATAAATATTGGAATGGACATGGAAGAATAAAAATGGCTATGTTGGATGTTAGAGATATTTTCTCTTTCTTCCATTTTTCTCCATTTTCTTCCATTTCTTCTCATATTTTCTCTTTCTTCCATTTTCTTTATTGTTCTGCCATTTTTACTGCAAATAAAAATAACAAATATATTCAGTTTGATTTTTTTAAAGATGAGTATTAAGAGGCAGACAGCTTTCCTTGGTGCAAGTTGGTCCAGGAAGGCATGCGGATATAAGTTTTATCCTACACTACCTTCTCCATGACCTTGGTTAGGTGACCTGATTTCTTAGGTTGTCAGTTTTTTTTTTTTTCCCCATTAAAGTTAAGGTGATAATGCTGTCCCAAGAATTACATGAATGATACGTGTGAGATTTTAAAGTACATAAGAAGTACAAGGTAAGTGTTAATTTTTGTAGCTTTGCCATGGGCTAATAATTGCAAGGAAGAGGCTACAATCCAAGCCTGCTGAACCTCTGGTCTACTTAGCTGACTGCGTGGAACTCAGTGGAAGAGAGGTGGCAGCACAGAGTAGATGCACGATAACTCAGCACAACTTTTCCTTTAACCCCTCATTCCTGCTGGGTCTGCTGTGACCCATGACTTTCTCTGCTGGAAGAAACCTGCTGGGGTTGAGGCAGAAGCTGAATTCTTGCTGTGCCATCATTCTTTTTCTACTTAGGCTCATATCACTTTTTGGAAAGAACTTCACTAACAATCTGTGTGTTCTATGTAAGAAATGTTTATAGACCTCAGGCTCCCCTGGTTTTGTGCCAAACTTTACTTCAGCAAAAGCAGGTTTTCCTTTGAGGCTAGAAAACAGAGTATTCACCCAGCAGCTTTGCTGTGTTCTGGGAAAACCATTTCCTCACATGGCCTTCTTTCTTTCATTTCTTTAAATGAAGGAGATAAGGTAGGCATTGAATATAGCTATTGAAGAAATACTGATTCAGGTACTTACATGCAAACCCTTAAAGTAGGGCATGAATGGGATTTAAAAGGGTTTTCAGGCCAGGCGTGTTGGCTCATGCCTGTAATCCCAGCACTTTGGGAGGCTGAGGCCAGCGGATCACCTCAGGTGGTCTGGAGTTCAAGACCAGCCTGGCCAACATGGTGAAACCCCATCTGCACTACAAATACAAAAATTAACCAGCCGTGGTGGCAGGTGCCTGTAATCCCAGCTACTTGGGAGGCTGAGGCATGAGAATTGCTTGAACCAGGGAGGCAGAGGTTGCAGTGAGCCGAAATGGCCCCACT